>NC_000022.11:13285243-13885243 GCF_000001405.40 Homo sapiens
AGCATTCTGTGAAACTTGTTTGTGATGTGTGTACTCAACTAACAGTGTTGAACCTTTCTTTTTACAGAGCAGTTTTGAAACACTCTTTTTGTAGAATCTGCGAGGGGATATTTGGATACATTTCAGGATTTCGTTGGAAACGGGAATATCTTCATATAAAATCTCGACAGAAGCATTCTCAGAAACTTCTTTGTGATATGTGCATTCAAGTCACAGAGTTGAATATTCCCTTTCACAGAGTAGGTTTGAAACACTCTTTTTGTAGTATCTGAAAGTGGACATTTGGAGCGCCTTGACACCTACGGTGAAAAGGGAAATATCTTCCCATAAAAACTAGACAGAAGCAATCTCAGAATCTTCTTTGGGATATATGCACGCAGCTAACAGAGTTGAACCTTTCTATTGACAGAGCAGTTTTGAAACAGTCTTTCTGTGGAATCTACAAGTGGATATTTGGATAGCTTGGAGGATTTCGTTGGAAACGGGATTACGTATAAAAAGTAGACAGCAAGCATTCTCATAAACTTGTTTGTGATGTGTGAACTCAGCTAACAGGCGTGGATCTTTCTTTTGATACAGCAGTTTTGAAAAACACTTTTTGTTGAATCTGCAAGTGGACATTTGGATAGATTTGAAGATTTCGTTGGAAACGGGAATATCTTCATATCAAATCTAGACAGAAGCATTCTCAGAAACGTCTTTGTGATGTTTGCATTCAACTCATAGAGTTGAACATTCCGTTTCAGAGAGCAGGTTTGAAGCACTCTTTTTGTAGTATGTGCAAGTGGATATTTGGAGCGCTCTGAGGCCTACGGTGAAAAAGCAGATATCTTCCCATAACCACTAGACAGAAACATTCTCAGAAACTCCTTTATGACGTATGCACCTCACCTAACAGAGAAGAACCTTCCTTTTGACAGAGCAGTTTTGATACACTCTTTTTGTAGAATCTGCAAGTGGATACTTGGATAGCTGTGAAGATTTCGTTGGAAACGGGAATATCTTCCTATAAAATCTAGACAGAAGCATTCTCAGAAACTGCTCTGTGATGTCTGCATTCAAGTCACAGAGTTGAACATTGCCTTTCCTAGAGTAGGTTTGAAACGCTCTTTTTGTAGTATATGGAAGTGGACGTTTCGGACGGTTTGAGGCCCATGGTGATAAAGGGAATATCTTCCCCTACAAGCTAGAAAGAAGCATTCTGTGAAACTTGTTTGTGATGTGTGTACTCAACTAAGAGAGTTGAACCTTTCTTTTTACAGAGCAGTTTTGAAACACTCATTTTGTAGAATCTGCGAGGGGATATTTGGATAGATTTCAGGATTTCGTTGGAAACGGGAATATCTTTATATAAAATCTCGACAGAAGCATTCTCAGAAGCTTCTTTGTGATATGTGCATTCAAGTCACAGAGTTGAATATTCCCTTTCACAGAGTAGGTTTGAAACACTCTTTTTGTAGTATCTGGAAGTGGACATTTAGAGCGCCTTGACGCCTACGGGTGAAAAGGGAAATATCTTCTCATAAAAAGTAGACAGAAAGCAATCTCAGAATCTTCTTTGGGATATATGCACGCAGCTAACAGAGTTGAACCTTTCTATTGACAGAGCAGTTTTGAAACAGTCTTTCTGTGGAATCTGCAAGTGGACATTTGGATAGCTTGGAGGATTTCGTTGGAAACGGGATTACGTATAAAAAGTAGACAGCAGCATCCTCAGAAACTTCTTTGTGATGTGTGCATTCAAGTCACAGAGTTGAACATTCCCCTTCGTACAGCAGTTTTGAAACACTCTTTGTGTATTATCTGGGAGTGAACATTAGGACAGCTTTCAGGTCTATGGTGAGAAAGGAAATATCTTCAAATAAAAACAAGACAGAAGCATTCTCATAAACTTGTTTCTGATGTGTGAACTCAGCTAACAGAGGTGGATCTTTCTTTTGATAGAGCAGTTCTGAAAAACACTTTTTGTTGAATCTGCAAGTGGATATTTGCATAGATTTGAAGATTTCGTTGGAAACGGGAATATCTTCATATCAAATCTAGACAGAAGCATTCTCAGAAACGTCTTTGCGATGTTTGCATTCAACTCATAGAGTTGAACATTCCGTTTCAGAGAGCAGCTTTGAGGCACTCTTTTTGTAGTATGCGCAAGTGGATATTTGGAGCGCTCTGAGGCCTACGGTGAAAAAGCAAATATCTTCCCATAACCACTAGACAGAAACATTCTCAGAAACTCCTTTATGACGTATGCACTCACCTAACAGAAAAGAACCTTCCTTTTGACAGAGCAGTTTTGATACACTCTTTTTGTAGAATCTGCAAGTGGATATTTGGATAGATGTGAAGATTTCGTTGGAAACGGGAATATCTTCCTATAAAATCTAGACAGAAGCATTCTCAGAAACTGCTCTGTGATGTCTGCATTCAAGTCACGGAGTTGAACATTGCCTTTCCTAGAGCAGGTTTGAAACGCTCTTTTTGTAGTATATGGAAGTGGACGTTTCGGACGGTTGGAGGCCCATGGTGATAAAGGGAATATCTTCCCCTACAAGCTAGAAAGAAGCATTGTGTGAAACTTGTTTCTGATGTTTGTACTCAACTAACAGAGTTGAACCTTTCTTTTTACAGAGCAGTTTTGAAACACTCTTTTTGTAGAATCTGCGAGGGGATATTTGGATACATTTCAGGATTTCGTTGGAAACGGGAATATCTTCATATAAAATCTCGACAGAAGCATTCTCAGAAACTTCTTTGTGATATGTGCATTCAAGTCACAGAGTTGAATATTCCCTTTCACAGAGTAGGTTTGAAACACTCTCTTTGTAGTATCTGGAAGTGGACATTTGGAGCGCCTTGACGCCTACGGTGAAAAGGGAAGTATCTTCCCATAATAACTAGACAGAAGCAATCTCAGAATCTTCTTTGGGATATATGCACGCAGCTAACAGAGTTGAACCTTTCTGTTGACAGAGCAGATTTGAAACAGTCTTTCTGTGGAATCTGCAAGTGGATATTTGGATAGATTGGAGGATTTCGTTGGAAACGGGATTACGTATAAAAAGTAGACAGCAGCATCCTCAGTAAACTTCTTTGTGATGTGTGCATTCAAGTCACAGAGTTGAACATTCCCTTTCGTACAGCAGTTTTGAAACACTCTTTCTGTAGTATCTGGAAGTGAACATTAGGACAGCTTTCAGCTCTATGGTGAGAAAGGAAATATCTTCAAATATAAACTAGACAGAAGCATTCTCATAAACTTGCTTGTGATGTGTGAACTCAGCTAACAGAGGTGAATCTTTCTTTTGATAGAGCAGTTCTGAAAAACACTTTTTGTTGAATCTGCAAGTGGACATTTGGATAGATTTGAAGATTTCGTTGGAAACGGGAATATCTTCATATCAAATGCTAGACAGAAGCATTCTCAGAAACGTCTTTGTGATGTTTGCATTCATCTCATAGAGTTGAACATTCCCTTTCAGAGAGCAGCTTTGAAGCACTCTTTTTGTAGTATGTGCAAGGGGATATTTGGAGCGCTCTGAGGCCTAAGGTGAAAAAGCAAATATCTTCCCATAACCACTAGACAGAAACATTCTCAGAAACTCCTTTATGACGTATGCACTCACCTAACAGAGAAGAACCTTCCTTTTGACAGAGCAGTTTTGATACACTCCTTTTGTAGAATCTGCAAGTGGATATTTGGATAGCTGCGAAGATTTCCTTGGAAACGGGAATATCTTCCTATAAAATCTAGACAGAAGCATTCTCAGAAACTGCTCTGTGATGTCTGCATTCAAGTCACAGAGTTGAACATTGCCTTTCATAGAGCAGGTTTGAAACGCTCTTTTTGTAGTATATGGAAGTGGAATTATCGGACGGTTTGAGGCCCATGGTGATAAAGGGAATATCTTCCCCTACAAGCTAGAAAGAAGCATTCTGTGAAACTTGTTTGTGATGTGTGTACTCAACTAAGAGAGTTGAACCTTTCTTTTCACAGGGCAGTTTTGAAACACTCTTTTTGTAGAATCTGCGAGGGGATATTTGGATAGATTTCAGGATTTCGTTGGAAACGGGAATATCTTCATACAAAATCTCGACAGAAGCATTCTCAGAAACTTCCTTGTGATATGTGCATTCAAGTCACAGAGTTGAATATTCCTTTTCACAGAGTAGGTTTGAAACACTCTTTTTGTAGTATCTGGAAGTGGACATTTGGAGCGCCTTGACGCCTACGGTGAAAAGGGAAATATCTTCCCATAAAAACTAGACAGAAGCAATCTCAGAATCTTCGTTGGGATATATGCACGCAGCTAACAGAGTTGAACCTTTCTATTGACAGAGCAGTTTTGAAACAGTCTTTCTGTGGAATCTGCAAGTGGATATTTGGATAGCTTGGAGGATTTCTTTGGAAACGGGATTACGTATAAAAAGTAGACAGCCAGCATCCTCAGAAACTTCTTTGTGATGTGTGCATTCAAGTCACAGAGTTGAACATTCCCTTTCGTACAGCAGTTTTGAAACACTCTTTCTGTAGTATCTGGAAGTGAACATTAGGACAGCTTTCAGGTCTATGGTGAGAAAGGAAATATATTCAAATAAAAACTAGACAGAGAATTCTGATAAACTTGTTTGTGAAGTGTGAACTCAGCTAACACAGGTGGATCTTTCTTTTGATACAGCAGTTTTGAAAAACACTTTGTTGAATCTGCAAGTGGACATTTGCATAGATTTGAAGATTTCGTTGGAAACGGGTATATCTTCATAACAAATCTAGACAGAAGCATTCTCAGAAACGTCTTTGTGATGTTTGCATTCAACTCATAGAGTTGAACATTCCCTTTCAGAGAGCAGCTTTGAAACACTCTTTTTGTAGTATGTGCAAGTGGATATTTGGAGCGCTCTGAGGCCTACGGTGAAAAAGCAAATATCTTCCCATAACCACTAGACAGAAAACATTCTCAGAAACTTCTTTATGACGTATGTACTCAACTAGCAGAGAAGAACTTTCCTTTTGACAGAGCAGTTTTGATACACTCTTTTTGTAGAATCTGCAAGTGGATATTTGGATAGTTGTGAAGATTTCGTTGGAAACGGGAATATCTTCCTATAAAATCTAGACAGAAGCATTCTCAGAAACTGCTCTGTGATGTCTGCATTCAAGTCACAGAGTTGAACATTGCCTTTCATAGAACAGGTTTGAAACGCTCTTTTTGTAGTATATGGAAGTGGATGTTTCGGACGGTTGGAGGCCCATGGTGATAAAGGGAATATCTTCCCCTACAAGCTAGAAAGAAGCATTGTGTGGAACTTGTTTGTGATGTGTGTACTCAACTAACAGAGTTGAACCTTTCTTTTTACAGAGCAGTTTTGAAACTCTCTTTTTGTAGAATCTGCGAGGGGATATTTGGATAGATTTCAGGATTTCTTTGGAAACGGGAATATCTTCATATAAAATCTCGACAGAAGCATTCTCAGAAACTTCTTTGTGATATGTGCATTCAAGTTACAGAGTTGAATATTCCCTTTCACAGATTAGGTTTGAAACACTCTTTTTGTAGTATCTGGAAGTGGACATTTGGAGCGCCTTGACGCCTACGGTGAAAAGGGAAATATCTTCCCATAAAAACTAGACAGAAGCAATCTCAGAATCTTCTTTGGGATATATGTACGCAGCTAATAGAGTTGAACCTTTCTATTGACATAGCAGTTTTGAAACAGTCTTTCTGTGGAATCTGCAAGTGGATATTTGGATAGCTTGGAGGATTTCGTTGGAAACGGGATTACGTATAAAAAGTAGACAGCAGAATCCTCAGAAACTTCTTTGTGATGTGTGCATTCAAGTCACAGAGTTGAACATTCCCTTTCGTACAGCAGTTTTGAAACACTCTTTCTGTAGTATCTGGAAGTGAACACTAGGAGAGCTTTCAGGTCTATGGTGAGAAAGGAAATATCTTCAAATAAAAACTAGACAGAAGCCTTCTCATAAACTTGTTTGTGATGTCTGAACTCAGCTAACAGAGGTGGATCTTTCTTTTGATAGAGCAGTTCTGAAAAACACTTTTTGTTGAATCTGCAAGTGGACATTTGGATAGATTTGAAGATTTCGTTGGAAACGGGAATATCTTCATATCAAATCTAGACAGAAGCATTCTCAGAAACGTCTTTGTGATGTTTGCATTCAACTCATAGAGTTGAACATTCCGTTTCAGAGAGCAGATTTGAGGCACTCTTTTTGTAGTATGTGCAAGTGGATATTTGGAGCGCTCTGAGGCCTACGGGGAAAAAGCAAATATCTTCCCATAACCACTAGACAGAAACATTCTCAGAAACTCCTTTATGACGGTATGCACTCACCTAACAGAGAAGAACCTTCCTTTTGACAGAGCAGTTTTGATACACTCTTTTTGTAGAATCTGCAAGTGGATATTTGGATAGCTGTAAAGATTTCGTTGGAAACGGGAATATCTTCCTATAAAATCTAGACAGAAGGATTCTCAGAAACTGCTCTGTGATGTCTGCATTCAAGTCACAGAGTTGAACATTGCCTTTCATAGAGCAGGTTTCAAGCACTCTTTTTTTAGTATATGGAAGTGGACGTTTCGGACGGTTTGAGGCCCATGGTGATAAAGGAAATATCTTCCCCTACAAGCTAGAAAGAAGCATTCTGTGAAACTTGTTTGTGATGTGTGTACTCCACTAACAGAGTTGAACCTTTCTTTTTGCAGAGCAGTTTTGAAACACTCTTTTTGTAGAATCTGCGAGGGGATATTTGGATAGATTTCAGGATTTCGTTGGAAAGGGGAATATCTTCATATAAAATCTCGACAGAAGCATTCTCAGAAACTTCCTTGTGATATGTGCATTCAAGTCACAGAGTTGAATATTCCCTTTCACAGAGTAGGTTTGAAACACTCTTTTTGTAGTATCTGGAAGTGGACATTTGGAGCGCCTTGACGCCTACGGTGAAAAGGGTAATATCTTCCCATAAAAACTAGACAGAAGCAATCTCAGAATCTTCTTTGGGATATATGTACGCAGCTAACAGAGTTGAACCTTTCTATTGACAGACCCGTTTTGAAACAGTCTTTCTGTGGAATCTGCAAGTGGATATTTGGATAGCTTAGAGGATTTCTTTGGAAACGGGATTACGTATAAAAAGTAGACAGCAGCATCCTCAGAAACTTCTTTGTGACGTGTGCATTCAAGTCACAGAGTTGAACATTCCCTTTCGTACAGCAGTTTTGAAACACTCTTTCTGTAGTATCTGGAAGTGAACATTAGGACAGCTTTCAGGTCTATGGTGAGAAAGGAAATATCTTCAAATAAAAACTAGACAGAAGCATTCTCATAAACTTGTTTGTGATGTGTGAACTCAGCCAACAGAGGTGGATCTTTCTTTTGATAGAGCAGTTCTGAAAAACACTTTTTGTTGAATCTGCAAGTGGACATTTGGATAGATTTGAAGATTTCGTTGGTAACGGGAATATCTTCATATCAAATCCTAGACAGAAGCATTCGCAGAAACGTCTTTGTGATGTTTGCATTCAACTCATAGAGTTGAACATTCCGTTTCAGAGAGCAGCTTTGAGGCACTCTTTTTGTAGTATGTGCAAGTGGATATTTGGAGCGCTCTGAGGCCTACGGTGAAAAAGCAAATATCTTCCCATAACCACTAGACAGAAACATTCTCAGAAACTCCTTTATGACGTATGCACTCACCTAACAGAGAAAAACCTTCCTTTTGACAGAGCAGTTTTGATACACTCTTTTTGTAGAATCTGCAAGTGGATATTTGGATAGCTGGGAAGATTTCGTTGGAAACGGGAATATCTTCCTATAAAATCTAGACAGAAGCATTCTCAGAAACTGCTCTGTGATGTCTGCATTCAAGTCACAGAGTTGACGATTGCCTTTCATAGAGCAGGTTTAAAACGCTCTTTTTGTAGTATATGGAAGTGGACGTTTCGGACGGTTTGAGGCCCATGGTGATAAAGGAAATATCTTCCCCTACAAGCTAGAAAGAAGCATTCTGTGAAACTTGTTTGTGATGTGTGTACTCAACTAACAGAGTTGAACCTTTCTTTTTACAGAGCAGTTTTGAAACACTCTTTTTGTAGAATCTGCGATGGGATATTTGGATACATTTCAGCATTTCGTTGGAAACAGGAATATCTTCATATAAAATCTCGACAGAAGCATTTTCAGAAACTTCTTTGTGATATGTGCATTCAAGTCACAGAGTTGAATATTCCCTTTCACAGAGTAGGTTTGAAACACTCTTTTTGTAGTATCTGGAAGTGGACATTTGGAGCGCCTTGACACCTACGGTGAAAAGGGAAATATCTTCCCATAAAAACTAGACAGAAGCAATCTCAGAATCTTCTTTGGGATATATGCACGCAGCTAACAGAGTTGAACGTTTCTATTGACAGAGCAGTTTTGAAAGAGTCTTTCTGTGGAATCTGCAAGTGGATATTTGGATAGCTTGGAGGATTTCGTTGGAAACGGGATTACGTATAATAAGTAGACAGCAGCATCCTCAGAAACTTCCTTGTGATGTCTGCATTCAAGTCACAGAGTTGAACATTCCCTTTCGTACAGCAGTTTTGAAACACTCTTTCTGTAGTATCTGGAAGTGAACATTAGGACAGCTTTCAGGTCTATGGTGAGAAAGGAAATATCTTCAAATAAAAACTAGACAGAAGCATTCTCATAAACTTGTTTTGATGTGTGAACTCAACTAACAGAGGTGCTTCTTTCTTTTTATACAGCACTTTTGAAAAACACTTTTTGTTGAATCTGCAAGTGGACATTTGGATAGATTTGAAGATTTCTTTGGAAACGGGAATATCTTCATATCAAATCTAGACAGAAGCATTCTCAGAAACGTCTTTGTGATGTTTGCATTCAACTCATAGAGTTGAACATTCCGTTTCAGAGAGCAGCTTTGAAGCACTCTTTTTGTAGTATGTGCAACTGGATATTTGGAGAGCTCTGACGCCTACGGTGAAAAAGCAAATATCTTCCCATAACCACTAGACAGAAACATTCTCAGAAACTCCTTTATGACGTATGCACTCAACTAATAGAGAAGAACCTTCCTTTTGACAGAGTAGTTTTGATACACTCTTTTTGTAGAATCTGCAAGTGGATATTTGGACAGCTGTGAAGATTTCGTTGGAAACGGGAATATCTTCCTATAAAATCTAGACAGAAGCATTCTCAGAAACTGCTCTGTGATGTCTGCATTCAAGTCACGGAGTTGAACATTGCCTTTCATAGAGCAGGTTTGAAACGCTCTTTTTGTAGTATATGGAAGTGGACGTTTCGGACGGTTTGAGGCCCATGGTGATAAAGGGAATATCTTTCCCTACAAGCTAGAAAGAAGCATTCTGTGAAACTTGTTTGTGATGTGTGTACTCAACTAACAGAGTTGAACCTTTCTTTTTACAGAGCAGTTTTGAAACACTGTTTTTGTAGAATCTGCGAGGGGATATTTGGATAGATTTCAGGATTTCGTTGGAAAGGGGAATATCTTCATATAAAATCTCGACAGAAGCATTCTCAGAATCTTCTTTGTGATATCTGCATTCAAGTCACAGAGTTGAATATTCCCTTCCACAGAGTAGGTTTGAAACACTCTTTTTGTAGTATCTGGAAGTGGACATTTGGAGCGCCTTGACGCCTACGGTGAAAAGGGAAATATCTTCCCATAAAAACTAGACAGAAGCAATCTCAGAATCTTCTTTGGGATATATGCACGTAGCTAGCAGAGTTGAACCTTTCTATTGACAGAGCAGTTTTGAAACAGTCTTTCTGTGGAATCTGCAAGTGGATATTTGGATAGCTTGGAGGATTTCGTTGGAAACGTGATTACGTATAAAAAGTAGACAGCAGCATCCTCAGGAACTTCTTTGTGATGTGTGCATTCAAGTCACAGAGTTGAACATTCCCTTTCGTACAGCAGTTTTGAAACACTCTTTCTGTAGTATCTGGAAGTGAACATTAGGACAGCTTTCAGGTCTATGGTGAGAAAGGAAATATCTTCAAATAAAAACTAGACAGAAGCATTCTCATAAACTTGTTTGTGATGTGTGAACTCAGCTAACACACGTGGATCTTTCTTTTGATAGAGCAGTTCTGAAAATCACTTTTGTTGAATCTGCAAGTGGACATTTGGATAGATTTGAAGATTTCGTTGGAAACGGGAATATCTTCATATCAAATCTAGACAGAAGCATTCTCAGAAACGTCTTTGTGATGTTTGCATTCAACCCATAGAGTTGAACATTCCGTTTCAGAGAGCAGCTTTGAAGCACTCTTTTTGTAGTGTGTGCAAGGGGATATTTTGAGCGCTCTGAGGCCTAAGGTGAAAAAGCAAATATCTTCCCATAACCACTAGACAGAAACATTCTCAGAAACTCCTTTATGACGTATGTACTCAACTAACAGAGAAGAACCTTCCTTTTGACAGAGCAGTTTTGATACACTCTTTTTGTATAATCTGCAAGTGGATATTTGGATAGCTGTGAAGATTTCGTTGGAAACGGGAATATCTTCCTATAAAATCTAGACAGAAGCATTCTCAGAAACTGCTCTGTGATGTCTGTATTCAAGTCACAGAGTTGAACATTGCCTTTCATAGAGCAGGTTTGAAACGCTCTTTTTGTAGTATATGGAAGTGGATGTTTCGGACGGTTGGAGGCCCATGCTGATAAAGGGAATATCTTCCCCTACAAGCTAGAAAGAAACATTCTGTGAAACTTGTTTGTGATGTGTGTACTCAGCTAACAGAGTTGAACCTTTCTTTTTACAGAGCAGTTTTGAAACACTCTTTTTGTAGAATCTGCGAGGGGATATTTGGATAGATTTCAGGATTTCGTTGGAAAAGGGAATATCTTCATATAAAATCTCGACAGAAGACCGAAGCATTCTCAGAAACTTCATTGTGATATCTGCATTGAAGTCACAGACTTGAATACTCCCTTTCACAGAGTAGGTTTGAAACACTCTTTTTGTAGTATCTGGAATTGGACATTTGGATCGCTTTGACGCCTATTGTGAAAAAGGAAATATCTTCCCCTAAAAACTAGACAGAAGCAACCTCAGAATGTTCTTTGGGATGTATGCACGCAGCTAACAGAGTTGAACCTTTGTATTGACAGAGCGGTTTTGAAACACTCTTTTTGTGGAATCTGCAAGTGGATATTTGGATAGCTTGGAGGATTTCGTTGGAAACGGGATTACGTATAAAAAGTAGACAGCAGCATCCTCAGAAACTTCTTTGTGATGTGTGCATTCAAGTCACATAGTTGAACATTCCCTTTCGTACAGCAGTTTTGAAACACTCTTTCTGTAGTATCTGGAAGTGAACATTAGGACAGCTTTCAGCTCTATGGTGAGAAAGGAAATATCTTCAAATAAAAACTAGACAGATAAGCATTCTCATAAACTTGTTTGTGATGTGTGAACTCAGCTAACAGAGGTGGATCTTTCTTTTGATAGAGCAGTTCTGAAAAACACTTTTTGTTGAATCTGCAAGTGGAGATTTGGATAGATTTGAAGATTTCGTTGGAAACGGGAATATCTTCATATCAAATCTAGACAGAAGCATTCTCGGAAACGTCTTTGTCATGTTTGCATTCAACTCATAGAGTTGAACATTCCGTTTCAGAGAGCAGCTTTGAAGCACTCTTTTTGTAGTATGTTCAAGGGGATATTTGGAGCGCTCTGAGGCCTAAGGTGAAAAAGCAAATATCTTCCCATAACCACTAAACAGAAACATTCTCAGAAACTCCTTTATGACGTATGCACTCACCTAACAGAGAAGAACCTTCCTTTTGACAGAGCAGTTTTGATACACTCTTTTTGTAGAATATGCAAGTGGATATTTGGATAGCTGTGAAGATTTCGTTGGAAACGGGAATATCTTCCTATAAAATCTACACAGAAGCATTCTCAGAAACTGCTCTGTGATGTCTGCATTCAAGTCACAGAGTTGAACATTGCCTTTCATAGAGCAGGTTTGAAACGCTCTTTTTGTAGTATATGGAAGTGGATGTTTCAGACGGTTGGAGGCCCATGGTGATAAAGGGAATATCTTCCCCTACAAGCTAGAAAGAAGCATTCTGTGAAACTTGTTTGTGATGTGTGTACTCAACTAACAGAGTTGAACCTTTCTTTTACAGAGCAGTTTTGAAACACTCTTTTTGTAGAATCTGCGAGGGGTATTTGGATAGATTTCAAGATTTCGTTGGGAACGGGAATATCTTCATATAAAATCTCGACAGAAGCATTCTCAGAAACTTCTTTGTGATATCGGCATTCAAGTCACAGAGTTGAATATTCCCTTTCACAGAGTAAGTTTGAAACAATCTTTTTGTAGTATCTGGAAGTGGACATTTGGATCGCCTTGACGCCTACGGTGAAAAGGGAAATATCTTCCCATAAAAACTAGACAGAAGCAATCTCAGAATCTTCTTTGGGATATATGCACGCACCTAACAGAGTTGAACCTTTCTATTGACAGAGCAGTTTTGAAACAGTCTTTCTGTGGAATCTGCAGGTGGATATTTGGATAGCTTGGAGGATTTCGTTGGAAACGGGATTACGTATAAAAAGTAGACAGCAGCATCCTCAGAAACTTCTTTGTGATGTGTGCATTCAAGTCACAGAGTTGAACATTCCCTTTCGTACAGCAGTTTTGAAACACTCTTTCTGTAGCATCTGGAAGTGAACATTAGTTCAGCTTTCAGGTCTATGGTGAGAAAGGAAATATCTTCAAATAAAAACTAGACAGAAGCATTCTCATAAACTTGTTTGTGATGTCTGAACTCAGCTAACAGAGGTGGACCTTTCTTTTGATAGAGCAGTTCTGAAAAACACTTTTTGTTGAATCTGCAAGTGGACATTTGGATAGATTTGAAGATTTCGTTGGAAACGGGAATATCTTCATATCAAATCTAGACAGAAGAATTCTCGGAAACGTCTTTGTGATGTTTGCATTCAACTCATAGAGTTGAACATTCCCTTTCAGAGAACAGCTTTGAAGCACTCTTTTTGTAGTATGTGCAAGGGGATATTTGGAGCGCTCTGAGGCCTAAGGTGAAAAAGCAAATATCTTCCCATAACCACTAGACAGAAAACATTCTCAGAAACTTCTTTATGACGTATGTACTCAATTAGCAGAGAAGAACTTTCCTTTTGACAGAGCATTTTTGATACACTCTTTTTGTAGTATCTGCAAGTGGATATTTGGATAGCTGTGAAGATTTCGTTGGAATCGGGAATATCTTCCTATAAAGTCCGGACAGAAGCATTCTCAGAAACTGATCTGTGATGTCTGCATTCAAGTCACAGAGTTGAACATTGCCTTTCATAGAGCAGGTTTGAAACGCTCTTTTTGTAGTATATGGAAGTAGACGTTTCGGACGGTTTGAGGCCCATGGTGATAAAGGGAATATCTTCCCCTACAAGCTAGAAAGAAGCATTCTGTGAAACTTTTTTGTGATGTGTGTACTCAACTAACAGAGTTGAACCTTTCTTTTTACAGAGCAGTTTTGAAACACTCTTTTTGTAGAATCTGCGAGGGGATATTTGGATAGTTTTCAGGATTTCGTTGGAAACGGGAATATCTTCATATAAAATCTCGACAGAAGCATTCTCAGAAACTTCATTGTGATATCTGCATTCAAGTCACAGAGTTGAATATTCCCTTTCACAGAGTAGGTTTGAAACACTCTTTTTGTAGTATCTGGAAGTGGACATTTGGAGCGCCTTGACACCTACGGTGAAAAGGGAAATATCTTCACATAAAAACTAGACAGAATCAATCTCAGAATCTTCTTTGGGATATATGCAGGCAGCTAACAGAGTTGAACCTTTCTATTGACAGAGCAGTTTTGAAACAGTCTTTCTGTGGAATCTGCAAGTGGATATTTGGATAGATTGGAGGATTTCGCTGGAAACGGGATTACGTATAAAAAGTAGACAGCAGCATCCTCAGAAACTTCTTTGTGATGTGTGCATTCAAGTCACAGAGTTGAACATTCCCTTTCGTACAGCAGTTTTGAAACACTCTTTCTGTAGTATCTGGAAGTGAACATTAGGACAGCTTTCAGGTCTATGGTGAGAAAGGGAATATCTTCAAATAAAAACTAGACAGAAGCATTCTCATAAACTTGTTTGTGATGTGTGAACTCAGCTAACAGAGGTGGATCTTTCTTTTCATAGAGCAGTTCTGAAAAACACTTTTTGTTGAATCTGCAACTGGACATTTGGATAGATTTGAAGATTTCGTTGGAAACGGGAATATCTTCATATCAAATCTAGACAGAAGCATTCTCAGAAACGTCTTTGTGATGTTTGCATTCAACTCATAGAGTTGAACATTCCGTTTCAGAGAGCAGGTTTGAAGCACTCTTTTTGTAGTATGTGCAAGTGGATATTTGGAGCGCTCTGAGGCCTACGGTGAAAAACAAATATCTTCCCATAACCACTAGACAGAAACATTCTCAGAAACTCCTTTATGACGTATGTACTCAACTAACAGAGAAGAACCTTCCTTTTGAAAGAGCAGTTTTGATACACTCTTTTTGTAGAATCTGCAAGTGGATATTTGGATAGCTGTGAAGATTTCGATGGAAACGGGAATATCTTCCTATAAAATCTAGACAGAATAATTCTCAGAAAGTGCTCTGTGATGTCTGCATTCAAGTCACAGAGTTGAACATTGCCTTTCATAGAGCAGGTTTGAAACACTCTTTTTGTAGTATATGGAAGTGGACGTTTCGGACGGTTTGAGGCCCATGGTGATAAAGGGAATATCTTCCCCTACAAGCTAGAAAGAAGCATTCTGTGAAACTTGTTTGTGATGTGTGTACTCAACTAACACAGTTGAACCTTTCTTTTTACAGAGCAGTTTTGAAACACTCTTTTTGTAGAATCTGCGAGGGGATATTTGGATACATTTCAGGATTTCGTTGGAAACGGGAATATCTTCATATAAAATCTCGACAGAAGCATTCTCAGAAACTTCTTTGTGATATCTGCCTTTAAGTCACAGAGTTGAATATTCCCTTTCACAGAATAGGTTTGAAACACTCTTTTTGTAGTATCTGGAAGTGGACATTTGGAGCGCCTTGACACCTACGGTGAAAAGGGAAATATCTTCCCATAAAAACTAGACAGAAGCAATCTCAGAATCTTCTTTGGGATATATGCACGCAGCTAACAGAGTTGAACCTTTCTAGTGACAGAGCAGTTTTGAAACAGTCTTTCTGTGGTATCTGCAAGTGGATATTTGGATAGATTGGAGGATTTCGTTGGAAACGGGATTACGTATAAAAAGTAGACAGCAGCATCCTCAGAAACATCCTTGTGATGTGTGCATTCAAGTCACAGAGTTGAACATTCCCTTTCGTACAGCAGTTTTGAAACACTCTTTCTGTAGTATCTGGAAGCGAACTTTAGGACAGCTTTCAGGTCTATAGTGAGAAAGGATATATCTTCAAATAAAAACTAGACAGAAGCATTCTCATAAACTTGTTTGTGATGTGTGAACTCAGCTAACAGAGGTGGATCTTTCTTTTGATAGAGCAGTTCTGAAAAACACTTTTTGTTGAATCTGCAAGTGGACATTTAGGGATAGATTTGAAGATTTCGTTGGAAACGGGAATATCTTCATATCAAATCTAGACAGAAGCATTCTCAGAAACGTCTTTGTGATGTTTGCATTCAACTCATAGAGTTGAACATTCCGTTTCAGAGACCAGCTTTGAAGCACTCTTTTTGTAGTATGTGCAAGTGGATATTTGGAGCGCTCTGAGGCCTACGGTGAAAAAGCACATATCTTCCCATAACCACTAGACAGAAACATTCTCAGAAACTTCTTTATGACGTATGTACTCAACTAGCAGAGAAGAACTTTCCTTTTGACAGAGCATTTTTGATACACTCTTTTTGTAGTATCTGCAAGTGGATATTTGGATAGCTGTGAAGATTTCGTTGGAATCGGGAATATCTTCCTATAAAGTCCGGACAGAAGCATTCTCAGAAACTGCTCTTTGATGTTTGCATTCAAGTCACAGAGTTGAACATTGCCTTTCATAGAGCAGGTTTCAAGCACTCTTTTTTTAGTATATGGAAGTGGACGTTTCGGACGGTTTGAGGCCCATGGTGATAAAGGAAATATCTTCCCCTACAAGCTAGAAAGAAGCATTCTGCGAAACTTGTTTGTGATGTGTGTACTCAACTAACAGAGTTGAACCTTTCTTTTTACAGAGCAGTTTTGAAACACTCTTTTTGTAGAATCTGCGAGGGGATATTTGGATAGATTTCAGGATTTCGTTGGAAACGGGAATATCTTCATATAAAATCTCGACAGAAGCATTCTGAGAAACCTCTTTGTGATACCTGCATTCAAGTCACAGGGTTGAATATTCCCTTTCACAGAGTATTTTTGAAACACTCTTTTTGTAGTATTTGGAAGTGGACATTTGGAGCGCCTTGACACCTACGGTGAAAAAGGAAATATGAAATATCTTCCCATAAAAACTAGACAGAAGCAATCTCAGAATCTTCTTTGGGATATATGTACGCAGCTAATAGAGTTGAACCTTTCTATTGACAGAGCAGTTTTGAAACAGTCTTTCTGTGGAATCTGCAAGTGGATATTTGGATAGCTTGGAGGATTTCATTGGAAACGGGATTACGTATAAAAAGTAGACAGCAGCATCCTCAGAAACTTCTTTGTGATGTGTGCATTCAAGTCACAGAGTTGAACATTCCCTTTCGTACAGCAGTTTTGAAACACTCTTTCTGTAGTATCTGGAAGTGAACATTAGGACAGCTTTCAGCTCTATGATGAGAAAGGAAATATCTTCAAATAAAAACTAGACAGAAGCATTCTCATAAACTTGTTTGTGATGTGTGAACTCAGCTAACACACGTGGATCTTTCTTTTGATAGAGCAGTTCTGAAAAACACTTTTTGTTGAATCTGCAAGTGGACATTTGGATAGATTTGAAGATTTCGTTGGAAACGGGAATATCTTCATATCAAATCTAGAGAGAAGCATTCTCAGAAACGTCTTTGTGATGTTTGCATTCAACTCATAGAATTGAACATTGCGGTTCAGAGAGCAGCTTTGAAGCACTCTTTTTGTAGTATGTGCAAGTGGATATTTGGAGCGCTCTGAGGCCTACGGTGAAAAAGCAAATATCTTCCCATAACCACTAGACAGAAACACTCTCAGAAACTCCTTTATGACGTATGTACTCAACTAACAGAGAAGAACTTTCCTTTTGACAGAGCATTTTTGATACACTCTTTTTGTACTATCTGCAAGTGGATATTTGGATAGCTGTGAAGATTTCGTTGGAAACGGGAATATCTTCCTATAAAACCTAGACAGAAGCATTCTCAGAAACTGCTCTGTGATGTCTGCATTCAAGTCACAGAGTTGAACATTGCCTTTCATAGAGCAGGTTTCAAACACTCTTTTTTTAGTATATGGAAGTGGACGTTTCGGACGGTTTGAGGCCCATGGTGATAAAGGAAATATCTTCTCCTACAAGCTAGAAAGAAGCATTCTGTGAAACTTGTTTGTGATGTGTGTACTCAACTAACAGAGTTGAACCTTTCTTTTTACAGAGCAGTTTTGAAACACTCTTTTTGTAGAATCTGTGAGGGGATATTTGGATACATTTCAGCATTTCGTTGGAAACGGGAATATCTTCATATATAATCTCGACAGAAGCATTCTCAGAAACTTCATTGTGATATCTGCATTCAAGTCACAGAGTTGAATATTCGCTTTCACAGAGTAGGTTTGAAACACTCTTTTTGTAGTATCTGGAAGTGGACATTTGGAGCGCCTTGACACCTACGGTGAAAAGGGAAATATCTTCCCATAAAAACTAGACAGAAGCAATCTCAGAATCTTCTTTGGGATATATGCACGCAGCTAACAGAGTTGAACCTTTCTATTGACAGAGCAGTCTTGAAACAGTCTTTCTGTGGAATCTGCAAGTGGATATTTGGATAGCTTGGAGGATTTCGTTGGAAACGGGATTAAGTATAAAAAGTAGACAGCAGCATCCTCAGAAACTTCTTTGTGATGTGTGCATTCAAGTCACAGTGTTGAACATTCCCTTTCGTACAGCAGTTTTGAAACACTCTTTCTGTAGTATCTGGAAGTGAACATTAGGACAGCTTTCAGGTCTATGGTGAGAAAGGAAATATCTTCAAGTAAAAACTAGACAGAAGCATTCTCATAAACTTGTTTGTGATGTGTGAACTCAGCTAACAGAGGTGGAACTTTCTTTTGATAGAGCAGTTCTGAAAAACACTTTTTGTTGAATCTGCAAGTGGACATTTGGATAGATTTGAAGATTTCGTTGGAAACGGGAATATCTTCATATCAAATCTAGACAAAAGCATTCTCAGAAACGTCTTTGTGATGTTTGCATTCAACTCATAGAGTTGAACATTCCGTTTCAGAGAGCAGCTTTGAAGCACTCTTTTTGTAATATCTGCAAGTGGATATTTGGAGCGCTCTGAGGCCTACGGTGAAAAAGCAAATATCTTCCCATAACCGCTAGACAGAAACATTCTCAGAAACTGCTTTATGACGTATGCACTCAACTAACAGAGAAGAACCTTCCTTTTGACAGAGCAGTTTTGATACACTCTTTTTGTAGAATCTGCAAGTGGATATTTGGATAGCTGTGAAGATTTCTTTGGAAACGGGAATATCTTCCTATAAAATCTAGACAGAAGCATTCTCAGAAACTGCTCTGTGATGTCTGCATTCAAGTCACAGAGTTGAACATTGCCTTTCCTAGAGCAGCTTTGAAAAGCTCTTTTTGTAGTATATGGAAGTGGACGTTTCGGATGGTTTGAGGCCCATGGTGATAAAGGGAATATCTTCCCCTACAAGCTAGAAAGAAGCATTCTGTGAAACTTGTTTGTGATGTGTGTACTCAACTAACAGAGTTGAACCTTTCTTTTTACAGAGCAGTTTTGAAACACTCTTTTTGTAGAATCTGCGAGGGGATATTTGATAGATTTCAGGATTTCGTTGGAAACGGGAATATCTTCATATAAAATCTCGACAGAAGCATTTTCAGAAACTTCTTCGTGATATCTGCATTCAAGTCACAGAGTTCAATATTCCCTTCCATAGAGAAGGTTTGAAACACTCTTTTTGTAGTATCTGGAAGTGGACATTTGGAGCGCCTTGACACCTACGGTGAAAAGGGAAATATCTTCCCATAAAAACTAGACAGAGGCAATCTCAGAATCTTCTTTGGGATATATGCACGCAGCTAACAGAGTTGAACCTTTCTATTGACAGAGCAGTTTTGAAACAGTCTTTCTGTGGAATCTGCAAGTGGATATTTGGATAGCTTGGAGGATTTCGTTGGAAATGGGATTACGTATAAAAAGTAGACAGCAGCATCCTCAGAAACTTCTTTGTGATGTGTGCATTCAAGTCACAGAGTTGAACATTCCCTTTCGTACAGCAGTTTTGAAACACTCTTTCTGTAGTATCTGGAAGTGAACATTAGGACAGCTTTCAGGTCTATGGTGAGAAAGGAAATATCTTCAAATAAACACTAGACAGAAGCATTCTCATAAACTTGTTTGTGATGTGTGAACTCAGCTAACACACGTGGATCTTTCTTTTGATAGAGCAGTTCTGAAAAACACTTTTTGTTGAATCTGCAAGTGGACATTTGGATAGATTTGAAGATGTCGTTGGAAACGGGAATATCTTCATATCAAATCTAGACAGAAGCATTCTCAGAAACGTCTTTGTGATGTTTGCATTCAACTCATAGAGTTGAACATTCCGTTTCAGAGACCAGCTTTGAAGCACTCTTTTTGTAGTATGTGCAAGTGGATATTTGGAGCGCTCTGAGGCCTACGGTGAAAAAGCAAATATCTTCCCATAACCACTAGACAGAAACATTCTCAGAAACTCCTTTATGACGTATGCACTCACCTAACAGAGAAGAACCTTCCTTTTGACAGAGCAGTTTTGAAACACTCTTTTTGTAGAATCTGCAAGTGGATATTTGGATAGCTGTGAAGATTTCGTTGGAAACGGGAATATCTTCCTATAAAATCTATACAGAAGCATTCTCAGAAACAGCTCTGTGATGTCTGCATTCAAGTCACAGTGTTGAACATTGCCTTTCATAGAGCAGGTTTGAAACGCTCTTTTTGAAGTATATGGAAGTGGACGTTTCGGACGGTTTGAGGCCCATGGTGATAAAGGGAATATCTTCCCCTACAAGCTAGAAAGAAGCATTCTGTGAAACTTGTTTGTGATGTGTGTACTCAACTAACAGAGTTGAACCTTTCTTTTTACAGAGCAGTTTTGAAACACTCTTTTTGTAGAATCTGCGAGGGGATATTTGGATACATTTCAGGATTTCGTTGGAAACGGGAATATCTTCATATAAAATCTCGACCGAAGCATTCTCAGAAACTTCTTTGTGATATCTGCATTCAAGTCACAGGGTTGAATATTCCCTTTCACAGAGTAGGTTTGAAACACTCTTTTTGTAGTATCTGGAAGTGGACATTTGGAGCGCCTTGACACCTACGGTGAAAAGGGAAATATCTTCCCATAAAAACTAGACAGAAGCAATCTCAGAATCTACTTTGGGATATATGCACGCAGCTAACAGAGTTGAACCTTTGTATTGACAGAGCAGTTTTGAAACAGTCTTTCTGTGGAATCTGCAAGTGGATATTTGGATAGCTTGGAGGATTTCGTTGGAAACGGGATTACGTATAAAAAGTAGACAGCAGCATCCTCAGAAACTTCTTTGTGTTGTGTGCATTCAAGTCACAGAGTTGAACATTCCCTTTCGTACAGCAGTTTTGAAAAACTCTTTCTGTAGTATCTGGAAGTGAACATTAGGACAGCTTTCACGTCTATGGTGAGAAAGGAAATATCTTCAAATAAAAACTAGACAGATAGCATTCTCATAAACTTGTTTGTGATGTGTGAACTCAGCTAACACAGGTGGATCTTTCTTTTGATTGAGCAGTTCTGAAAAACACTTTTTGTTGAATCTGCAAGTGGACATTTGGATAGATTTGAAGATTTCGTTGGAAACGGGAATATCTTCATATCAAATCTAGACAGAAGCATTCTCAGAAACGTCTTTGTGATGTTTGCATTCAACTCATAGAGTTGAACATTCCGTTTCAGAGACCAGCTTTGAAGCACTCTTTTTGTAGTATGTGCAAGTGGATATTTGGAGCGCTCTGAGGCCTACGGTAAAAAGCAAATATCTTCCCATAACCACTAGACAGAAACATTCTCAGAAACTCCTTTACGACGTATGCACTCACCTAAGAGAGAAGAACCTTCCTTTTGACAGAGCAGTTTTGATACACTCTTTTTGTAGAATCTGCAAGTGGATATTTGGATAGCTGTGAAGATTTCGTTGGAAACGGGAATAACTTCCTATAAAATCTAGACAGAAGCATTCTCAGAAACTGTTCTGTGATGTCTGCATTCAAGTCACAGAGTTGAACATTGCCTTTCATAGAGCAGGTTTGAAACGCTCTTTTTGTAGTATATGGAAGTGGACGTTTCGGACGGTTTGAGGCCCATGGTGATAAAGGGAATATCTTCCCCTACGAGCTAGAAAGAAGCATTCTGTGAAACTTGTTTGTGATGTGTGTACTCAACTAACAGAGTTGAACCTTTCTTTTTACAGAGCAGTTTTGAAACACTCTTTTTGTAGAATCTGCGTGGGGATATTTGGATACATTTCAGCATTTCGTTGGAAACGGGAATATCTTCATATAAAATCTCGACAGAAGCATTCTCAGAAACTTCTTTGTGATATGTGCATTCAAGTCACAGAGTTGAATATTCCCTTTCACCGAGTAGGTTTGAAAAACTCTTTTTGTAGTATCTGGAAGTGGACATTTGGAGCGCCTTGACGCCTACGGTAAAAAGGGAAATATCTTCCCATAAAAACTAGACAGAAGCAATCTCAGAATCTTCTTTGGGATATATGCACGCAGCTAACAGAGTTGAACCTTTCTATTGACATAGCAGTTTTGAAACAGTCTTTCTGTGGAATCTGCAAGTGGATATTTGGATAGCTTGGAGGATTTCCTTGGAAACGGGATTACGTATAAAAAGTAGACAGCAGCATCCTCAGCAAACTTCTTTGTGATGTGTGCATTCAAGTCACAGTAGTTGAACATTCCCTTTCGTACAGCAGTTTTGAAACACTCTTTCTGTAGTATCTGGAAGTGAACATTAGGACAGCTTTCAGGTCTATGGTGAGAAAGGTAATATCTTCAAATAAAAACTAGACAGAAAGCATTCTCATAAACTTGTTTGTGATGTGTGAACTCATCTAACAGAGGTGGATCTTTCTTTTGATAGAGCAGTTCTGAAAAACACTTTTTGTTGAATCTGCAAGTGGACATTTGGATAGATTTGAAGATTTCGTTGGAAACGGGAATATCTTCATATCAAATCTAGACAGAAGCATTCCCAGAAACGTCTTTGTGATGTTTGCATTCAACTCATAGAGTTGAACATTCCCTTTGAGAGAGCAGCTTTATAGCACTCTTTTTGTAGTATGTGCAAGGGGATATTTAGAGCGCTCTGAGGCCTAAGGTGAAAAAGCAAATATCTTCCCATAACCACTAGACAGAAACATTCTCAGAAACTCCTTTATGACGTGTGCACTCACCTAACAGAGAAGAACCTTCCTTTTGAAAGAGCAGTTTTGATCCACTCTTTTTGTAGAATCTGCAAGTGGATATTTGGATAGCTGTGAAGATTTCGTTGGAAACGGGAATATCTTCCTATAAAATCTAGACAGAAGCATTCTCAGAAACTGCTCTGTGATGTCTGCATTCAAGTCACAGAGTTGAACATTGACTTTCATAGAGCAGGTTTGAAACGCTCTTTTTGTAGTATATGGAAGTGGATGTTTCGGACGGTTGGAGGCCCATGGTGATAAAGGGAATATCTTCCCCTACAAGCTAGAAAGATAAGCATTCTGTGAAACTTGTTTGTGATGTGTGTACTCAACTAACAGAGTTGAACCTTTCTTTTTACAGAGCAGTTTTGAAACACTCTTTTTGTAGAATCTGCGAGGGGATATTTGGATAGATTTCAGGATTTCGTTGGAAACGGGAATATCTTCATATAAAATCTCGACAGAAGCATTCTCAGAAGCTTCTTTGTGATATGTGCATTCAAGTCACAGAGTTGAATATTCCCTTTCACAGAGTAAGTTTGAAACACTCTTTTTGTAGTATCTGGAAGTGGACATTTGGAGCACCTTGACGCCTACGGTGAAAAGGGAAATATCTTCTCATAAAAAGTAGACAGAAGCAATCTCAGAATCTTCTTTGGGATATATGCACGCAGCTAACAGAGTTGAACCTTTCTATTGACAGAGCAGTTTTGAAACAGTCTTTCTGTGGAATCTGCAAGTGGATATTTGGATAGCTTGGGGGATTTCGTTGGAAACGGGATTACGTATAAAAAGTAGACAGCAGCATCCTCAGAAACATCCTTGTGATGTGTGCATTCAAGTCACAGAGTTGAACATTCCCTTTCGTACAGCAGTTTTGAAACACTCTTTCTGTAGTATCTGGAAGTGAATTTTAGGAGAGCTTTCAGGTCTATAGTGAGAAAGGATATATCTTCAAATAAAAACTAGACAGAATCATTCTCATAAACTTGTTTGTGATGTGTGAACTCAGCTAACAGACGTGGATCTTTCTTTTGATACAGCAGTTTTGAAAAACACTTTTTGTTGAATCTGCAAGTGGACATTTGGATAGATATGAAGATTTCGTTGGAAACGGGAATATCTTCATATCAAATCTAGACAGAAGCATTCCCAGAAACGTCTTTGTGATGTTTGCATTCAACTCATAGAGTTGAACATTCTCTTTCAGAGAGCAGCTTTGAAGCACTCTTTTTGTAGTATTTGCAAGGGGATATTTGGAGCGCTCTGAGGCCTAAGGTGAAAAAGCAAATATCTTCCCATAACCACTAGACAGAAACATTCTCAGAAACTCCTTTATGACGTATGCACTCAGCTAACAGAAAAGAACCTTCCTTTTGACAGAGCAGTTTTGATACACTCTTTTTGTAGAATCTGCAAGTGGATATTTGGATAGCTGTGAAGATTTCGTTGGAAACGGGAATATCTTCCTATAAAATCTAGACAGAAGCATTCTCAGAAACTGCCCTGTGATGTCTGCATTCAAGTCACAGAGTAGAACATTGCCTTTCATAGAGGAGGTTTCAAACACTCTTTTTTTAGTATATGGAAGGGGACGATTCGGACAGTTTGAGGCCCATGGTGATATAGGAAATATCTTCCCCTACAAGCTAGAGAGAAGCATTCTGTGAAACTTGTTTGTGATGTGTGTACTCAACTAACAGAGTTGAACCTTTCTTTTTACAGAGGAGTTTTGAAACACTCTTTTTGTAGAATCTGCGAGGGGTTATTTGGATAGAATTCATGATTTCGTTGGAAAAGGGAATATCTTCCTATAAAATCTCGACAGAAGCATTCTCAGAAACTTCTTTGTGATATGTGCATTCAAGTCACAGAGTTGAATATTCCCTTTCACAGAGTAGGTTTGAAACACTCTTTTTGTAGTATCTGGAAGTGGACATTTGGAGCGCCTTGACACCTACGGTGAAAAGGGAAATATCTTCCCATAAAAATTCGACAGAAGCAATCTCAGAATCTTCTTTGGGATATATGCACGCAGCTAACAGAGTTGAACCTTTCTATTGACAGAGCAGTTTTGAAACAGCCTTTCTGTGGAATCTGCAAGTGGATATTTGGATAGCTTGGAGGACTTCGTTGGAAACGGGATTACGTATAAAAAGTAGACAGCAGCATCCTCAGAAACTTCTTTGTGATGTGTGTATTCAAGTCACAGAGTTGAACATTCCCTTTCGTACAGCAGTTTTGAAACACTCTTTCTGTAGTAACTGGAAGTGAACATTAGGACAGCTTTCAGGTCTATGGTGAGAAAGGAAATATCTTCAAATAAAAACTAGACAGAAGCATTCTCATAAACTTGTTTGTGATGTGTGAACTCAGCTAACAGACGTGGATCTTTCTTTTGATACAGCAGTTTTGAAAAACACTTTTTGATGAATCTGCAAGTGGACATTTGGATAGATTTGAAGATTTCGTTGGAAACGGGAATATCTTCATATCAAATACTAGACAGAAGCATTCTCAGAAACGTCTTTGCGATGTTTGCATTCAACTCATAGAGTTGAACATTCCGTTTCAGAGAGCAGCTTTGAGGCACTCTTTTTGTAGTATGTGCAAGTGGATATTTGGAGCGCTCTGAGGCCTACGGTGAAAAAGCAAATATCTTCCCAAAACCACTAGACAGAAACATTCTCAGAAACTCCTTTATGACGTATGCACTCACCTAACAGAAAAGAACCTTCCTTTTGACAGAGCAGTTTTGATACACTCTTTTTGTAGAATCTGCAAGTGGATATTTGGATAGCTGTGAAGATTTCGTTGGAAACGGGAATATCTTCCTATAAAACCTAGACAGAAGCATTCTCAGAAACTGCTCTGTGATGTCTGCATTCAAGTCACAGAGTTGAACATTGCTTTTCATAGAGCAGGTTTGAAACGCTCTTTTTGTAGTATATGGAAGTAGACTTTTCGGACGGTTTGAGGCCCATGGTGATAAAGGGAATATCTTCCCCTACAAGCTAGAAAGAAGCAATCTGTGAAACCTGTTTGTGATGTGTGTACTCAACTAACAGAGTTGAACCTTTCTTTTTACAGAGCAGTTTTGAAACACTCTTTTTGTAGAATCTGCGAGGGGATATTTGGATAGATTTCAGGATTTCGTTGGAAACGGGAATATCTTCATATAAAATCTCGACAGAAGCATTCTCAGAAACTTCCTTGTGATATGTGCATTCACGTCACAGAGTTGAATATTCCCTTTCACAGAGTAGGTTTGAAACACTCTTTTTGTAGTATCTGGAAGTGGACATTTGGAGCGCCTTGACACCTACGGTGAAAAGGGAAATATCTTCCCATAAAAACTAGACAGAAGCAATCTCAGAATCTTCTTTGGGATATATGCACGCAGCTAACAGCAGTTGAACCTTTCTATTGACAGAGCAGTTTTGAAACAGTCTTTCTGTGGAATCTGCAAGTGGATATTTGGATAGCTTGGAGGATTTCGTTGGAAACGGGATTAAGTATAAAAAGTAGACAGCAGCATCCTCAGAAACTTCATTGTGATGTGTGCATTCAAGTCACAGAGTTGAACATTCCCTTTCGTACAGCAGTTTTGAAACACTCTTTCTGTAGTAACTGGAAGTGAACATTAGGACAGCTTTCAGGTCTATGGTGAGAAAGGAAATATCTTCAAATAAAAACTAGACAGAAGCATTCTCATAAACTTGTTTGTGATGTGTCAACTCAGCTAACAGAGGTGGATCTTTCTTTTGATAGAGCAGTTCGGAAAAACACTTTTTGTTGAATCTCCAAGTGGACATTTGGATAGATTTGAAGATTTCGTTGGAAACGGGAATATCTTTATATCAAATCTAGACAGAAGCATTCTCAGAAACGTCTTTGTGATGTTTGCATTCAACTCATAGAGTTGAACATTCCGTTTCAGAGAGCAGGTTTGAAGCACTCTTCTTGTAGTATGTGCAAGTGGATATTTGGAGCGCTCTGAGGCCTACGGTGAAAAAGCAAATATCTTCCCATAACCACTAGACAGAAACATTCTCAGAAACTCCTTTATGACGTATGCACTCACCTAACAGAAAAGAACCTTCCTTTTGACAGAGCAGTTTTGATACACTCTTTTTGTAGAATCTGCAAGTGGATATTTGGATAGTTGTGAAGGTTTCGTTGGAAACGGGAATATCTTCCTATAAAATCTAGACAGAAGCATTCTCAGAAACTGCTCTGTGATGTCTGCATTCAAGTAACAGAGTTGAACATTGCCTTTCCTAGAGCAGGTTTGAAACGCTCTTTTTGTAGTATATGGAAGTGGACGTTTCGGACGGTTTGAGGACCATGGTGATAAAGGGAATATCTTCCCCTACAAGCTAGAAAGAAGCATTGTGTGAAACTTGTTTGTGATGTGTGTACTCAACTAACAGAGTTGAACCTTTCTTTTTACAGAGCAGTTTTGAAACACTCTTTTTGTAGAATCTGCGAGGGGATATTTGGATACATTTCTGCATTTCGTTGGAAACGGGAATATCTTCATATAAAATCTCGACAGAAGCATTCTCAGAAACTTTCCTTGTGATATGTGCATTCAAGTCACAGAGTTGAATATTCCCTTTCACAGAGTAGGTTTGAAACACTCTTTTTGTAGTATCTGGAAGTGGACATTTGGAGCGCCTTGACACCTACGGTGAAAAGGCAAATATCTTCCCATAAAAACTAGACAGAAGCAATCTCAGAATCTTCTTTGGGATATATGCACACAGCTAACAGAGTTGAACCTTTCTATTGACAGAGCAGTTTTGAAACAGTCTTTCTGTGGAATCTGCAAGTGGATATTTGGATAGATTGGAGGATTTCATTGGAAACGGGATTACGTATAAAAAGTAGACAGCAGCATCCTCAGAAACTTCTTTGTGATGTGTGCATTCAAGTCACAGAGTTGAACATACCCTTTCGTACAGCAGTTTTGAAACACTCTTTCTGTAGCATCTGGAAGTGAACATTAGGACAGCTTTCAGCTCTATGGTGAGAAAGGAAATATCTTCAAATAAAAACTAGACAGAAGCATTCTCATAAACTTGTTTGTGATGTGTGAACTCAGCTAATAGACGTGGATCTTTCTTTTGATAGAGCAGTTCTGAAAAACACGTTTTGTTGAATCTGCAAGTGGACATTTGGATAGATTTGAAGATTTCATTGGAAACGGGAATATCGTCATATCAAATCTAGACAGAAGCATTCTCAGAAACGTCTTTGTGATGTTTGCATTGAACTCATAGAGTTGAACATTCCCTTTCAGAGAGCAGCTTTGAAGCACTCTTTTTGTAGTATGTTCAAGTGGACATTTGGAACGCTCTGAGGCCTACGGGGAAAAAGCAAATATCTTCCCATAACAACTAGACAGAAACATTCTCAGAAACTTCTTTATGACGTATGTACTCAACTAGCAGAAAAGAACTTTCCTTTTGACAGAGCTTTTTTGATACACTCTTTTTGTAGTATCTGCAAGTGGATATTTGGATAGCTGTGAAGATTTCGTTGGAATCGGGAATATCTTCCTATAAAGTCTGGACAGAAGCATTCTCAGAAACTGCTCTGTGATGTCTGTATTCAAGTCACAGAGTTGAACATTGCCTTTCATAGAGCAGGTTTGAAACGCTCTTTTTGTAGTATATGGAAGTGGACTTTTCGGACGGTTTGAGGCCCATGGTGATAAAGGGAATATCTTCCCCTACAAGCTAGAAAGAAGCATTCTGTGAAACTTGTTTGTGATGTCTGTACTCAACTAACAGAGTTGAACCTTTCTTTTCACAGAGCAGTTTTGAAACACTCTTTTTGTAGAATCTGCGAGGGGATATTTGGATAGATTTCAGGATTTCGTTGGAAACGGGAATATCTTCATACAAAATCTCGACAGAAGCATTCTCAGAAACTTCTTTGTGATATCTCCATTCAAGTCACAGAGTTGAATATTCCCTTTCACAGAGTAGGTTTGAAACACTCTTTTTGTAGTATCTGGAAGTGGAGATTTGGAGCGCCTTGACGCCTACGGTGAAAAGGGAAATATCTTCCCATAAAAACTAGACAGAAGCAATCTCAGAATCTTCTTTGGGATATATGCACGCAGCTAACAGAGTTGAACCTTTCTATTGACAGAGCAGTTTTGAAACAGTCTTTCTGTGGAATCTGAAAGTGGATATTTGGATAGCTTGGAGGATTTCGTTGGAAACGGGATTAAGTATAAAAAGTAGACAGCAGCATCCTCAGAAACTTCTTTGTGATGTGTGCATTCAAGTCACAGAGTTGAACATTCCCTTTCGTACAGCAGTTTTGAAACACTCTTTCTGTAGTATCTGGAAGTGAACATTAGGACAGCTTTCAGGTCTATGGCGAGAAAGGAAATATCTTCAAATAAAAACTAGACAGAAAGCATTCTCATAAACTTGTTTGTGATGTGTCAACTCAGCTAACAGAGGTGGATCTTTCTTTTGATAGAGCAGTTCGGAAAAACACTTTTTGTTGAATCTCCAAGTGGACATTTGGATAGATTTGAAGATTTCGTTGGAAACGGGAATATCTTTATATCAAATCTAGACAGAAGCATTCTCAGAAACGTCTTTGTGATGTTTGCATTCAACTCATAGAATTGAACATTCCCTTTCAGAGAGCAGCTTTGAAGCACTCTTTTTGTAGTATGTGCAAGGGGATATTTTGAGCGCTCTGAGGCCTAAGGTGAAAAAGCAAATATCTTCCCATAACCACTAGACACAAACATTCTCAGAAACGCCTTTATGACGTATGCACTCACCTAACAGAAAAGAACCTTCCTTTTGACAGAGCAGTTTTGATACACTCTTTTTGTAGAATCTGCAAGTGGATATTTGGATAGCTGTGAAGATTTCGTTGGAAACGGGAATATCTTCCTATAAAATCTAGACAGAAGCATTCTCAGAAACTGCTCTGTGGTGTTTGCATTCAAGTCACAGAGTTGAACATTGGCTTTCATAGAGCAGCTTTCAAACACTCTTTTTTTAGTATATGGAAGTGGACGTTTCGGACGGTTTGAGGACAATGGTGATAAAGGAAATATCTTCCCCTACAAGCTAGAAAGAAGGATTCTGTGAAACTTGTTTGTGATGTGTGTACTCAACTAACAGAATTGAACCTTTCTTTTTACAGAGCAGTTTTGAAACACTCTTTTTGTAGAATCTGCGAGGGGATATTTGGATAGATTTCAGGATTTCGTTGGAAACGGGAATATCTTTATATAAAATCTCGACAGAAGCATTCTCAGAAGCTTCTTTGTGATATGTGCATTCAAGTCACAGAGTTGAATATTCCCTTTCACAGAGTAGGTTTGAAACACTTTTTTTCTAGTATCTGGAAGTGGACATTTGGAGCGCATTGACACCTACGGTGAAAAGGGAAATATCTTCTCATAAAAAGTAGACAGAAGCAATCTCAGAATCTTCTTTGGGATATATGCACGCAGCTAACAGAGTTGAACCTTTCTATTGACAGAGCAGTTTTGAAACAGCCTTTCTGTGGAATCTGCAAGTGGATATTTGGATAGCTTGGAGGATTTCGTTGGAAACGGGATTAAGTATAAAAAGTAGACAGCAGAATCCTCAGAAACTTCTTTGTGATGTGTGCATTCAAGTCACAGAGTTGAACATTCCCTTTCGTACAGCAGTTTTGAAACACTCTTTCTGTAGTATCTGGAAGTGAACATTAGGACAGCTTTCAGGTCCATGGTGAGAAAGGAAATATCTTCAAATAAAAACTAGACAGAAGCATTCTCATAAACTTGTTTGTGATGTGTGAACTCAGCTAACAGAGGTGGATCTTTCTTTTGATAGAGCAGTTCTGAAAAACACTTTTTGTTGAATCTGCAAGTGGACATTTGGATAGATTTGAAGATTTCGTTGGAAACGGGGATATCTTCATATCAAATCTAGACAGAAGCATTCTCAGAAACGTCTCTGTCATGTTTGCATTCAACTCATAGAGTTGAACATTCCCTTTCAGAGAGCAGCTTTGAAACACTCTTTTTGTAGTATGTGCAAGTGGATATTTGGAGCGCTCTGAGGCCTACGGTGAAAAAGAAAATATCTTCCCATAACCACTAGACAGAAACATTCTCAGAAACTCCTTTATGACGTGTGCACTCACCTAACAGAGAAGAACCTTCCTTTTGACAGAGCAGTTTTGATACACTCTTTTTGTAGAATCTGCAAGTGGATATTTGAATAGCTGTGAAGATTTCGTTGGAAACGGGAATATCTTCCTATAAAATCTAGACAGAAGCATTCTCAGAAACTGCTCTGTGATGTCTGCATTCAAGTCACAGAGTTGAACATTGCCTTTCATAAAGCAGGTTTGAAACGCTCTTTTTGTAATATATGGCAGTGGACGTTTCGGACGGTTTGAGGCCCATGGTGATAAAGGGAATATCTTCCCCTACAAGCTAGAAAGAAAGCATTGTGTGAAACTTGTTTGTGATGTGTGTACTCAACTAACAGAGTTGAACCTTTCTTTTCACAGAGCAGTTTTGAAACACTCTTTTTGTAGAATCTGCGAGGGGATATTTGGATAGATTTCAGCATTTCGTTGGAAACGGGAATATCTTCATATAAAATCTCGACAGAAGCATTCTCAGAAACTTCTTTGTGATATCTGCATTCAAGTCACAGAGTTGAATATTCCCTTTCACTGAGTAGGTTTGAAACACTCTTTTTGTAGTATCTGGAAGTAGACATTTGGAGCGCCTTGACGCCTACGGTGAAAAGGGAAATATCTTCTCATAAAAAGTAGACAGAAGCAATCTCAGAATCTTCTTTGGGATATATGCACGCAGCTAACAGAGTTGAACCTTTCTATTGACAGAGCAGTTTTGAAACTGTCTTTCTGTGGAATCTGCAAGTGGATATTTGGATAGCTTGGAGGATTTCGTTGGAAACGGGATTACGTATAAAAAGTAGACAGCAGCATCCTCAGAATCTTCCTTATTGATGTGTGCTTTCAAGTCACAGAGTTGAACATTCCCTTTCGTACAGCAGTTTTGAAAAACTCTTTCTGTAGTATCTGGAAGTGAACTTTAGGAGAGCTTTCACGTCTATAGTGAGAAAGGATATATCTTCAAATAAAAACTAGACAGAAGCATTCTCATAAACTTGTTTGTGATGTGTGAACTCAGCTAACAGACGTGGATCTTTCTTTTGATACAGCAGTTTTGAAAAACACTTTTTGTTGAATCTGCAAGTGGACATTTGGATAGATATGAAGATTTCGTTGGAAATGGGAATATCTTCATATGAAATCTAGACAGAAGCATTCTCAGAAACGTCTTTGTGATGTTTGCATTCAACTCATAGAGTTGAACATTCCGTTTCAGAGAGCAGCTTTGAGGCACTCTTTTTGTAGTATGTGCAAGTGGATATTTGGAGCGCTCTGAGGCCTACGGTGAAAAAGCAAATATCTTCCCATAAACACTAGACAGAAACATTCTCAGAAAATCCTTTATGACGTATGCACTCACCTAACAGAGAAGAACCTTCCTTTTGACAGAGCAGTTTTGATACACTCTTTTTGTAGAATCTGCAAGTGGATATTTGGATAGCTGTGAAGATTTCGTTTGAAACGGGAATATCTTCCTATAAGATCTAGACAGAAGCATTCTCAGAAACTGCTCTGTGATGTCTGCATTCAAGTCACAGAGTTGAACATTGCCTTTCATAGAACAGGTTTGAAACGCTCTTTTTGTAGTATATGGAAGTAGACGTTTCGGACGGTTTGAGGCCCATGGTGATAAAGGGAATATCTTCCCCTACAAGCTAGAAAGAAGCATTCTGTGAAACTTGTTTGTGATGTGTGTACTCAACTAACAGAGCCTTTCTTTTTACAGAGCAGTTTTGAAACTCTCTTTTTGAAGAATCTGCGAGGGGATATTTGGATAGATTTCAGGATTTCGTTGGAAACGGGAATATCTTCATATAAAATCTCGACAGAAGCATTCTCAGAAACTTCTTTGTGATATGTGAATTCAAGTCACAGAGTTGAATATTCCCTTTCACAGAGTAGGTTTGAAACACTCTTTTTGTAGTATCTGGAAGTGGACATTTGGAGCGCCTTGACGCCTACGGTGAAAAGGGAAATATCTTCCCATAAAAACTAGACAGAAGCAATCTCAGAATCTTCTCTGGGATATATGCACCCAGCTAACAGAGTTGAACCTTTCTATTGACAGAGCAGTTTTGAAACAGTCTTTCTGTGGAATCTGCAAGTGGATATTTGGATAGCTTGGAGGATTTCGTTGGAAACGGGATTACGTATAAAAATTAGACAGCAGCATCCTCAGAAACTTCTTTGTGATGTGTGCATTCAAGTCACAGAGTTGAACATTCCCTTTCGTACAGCAGTTTTGAAACACTCTTTCTGTAGTATCTGGAAGTGAACATTAGGACAGCTTTCAGGTCTATGGTGAGAAAGGCAAAATCTTCAAATAAAAACTAGACAGAAGCATTCTCATAAACTTGTTTGTGATGTGTGAACTCAGCTAACAGAGATGGATCTTTCTTTTGATAGAGCAGTTCTGAAAAACACTTTTTGTTGAATCTGCAAGTGGATATTTGGATAGATTTGAAGATTTCGTTGGAAACGGGAAGATCTTCATATCAAATCTAGACAGAAGCATTCTCAGAAACGTCTTTGTGATGTTTGCATTCAACTCATAGAGTTGAACATTCCCTTTCAGAGAGCAGTTTTGAAGCACTCTTTTTGTAGTAAGTGCAAATTGACATTTGGAGCGCTTTGAGGCCTAAGGGGAAAAAGCAAATATCTTCCCATAACCAGTAGACAGAAACATTCTCAGAAACTCCTTTATGACGTATGCACTCACCTAACAGAGAAGAACCTTCCTTTTGACAGAGCAGTTTTGATACACTCTTTTTGTATAGTCTGCAAGTAGATATTTGGATAGCTGTGAAGATTTCGTTGGAAACGGGAATATCTTCCTATAAAATCTAGACAGAAGCATTCTCAGAAACTGCTCTGTGATGTCTGCATTCAAGTCACAGTGTTGAACATTGCCTTTCATAGAGCAGGTTTCTAACACTCTTTTTTTAGTATATGGAAGTGGACGTTTCGGACGGTTTGAGGCCCATGGAGATAACGGGAATATCTTCCCCTACAAGCTAGAAAGAAGCATTGTGTGCAACTTGTTTGTGATGTGTGTAGTCAAGTAACAGAGTTGAACCTTTCTTTTTACAGAGCAGTTTTGAAACACTCTTTTTGTAGAATCTGCGAGGGGATATTTGGATAGATTTCAGGATTTCGTTGGAAACGGGAATATCTTCATATAAAATCTCGACAGAAGAATTCTCAGAAACTTCTTTGTGATATCTGCATTCAAGTCACAGAGTTGAATATTCCCTTTCACAGAGTAGGTTTGAAACACTCTTTTTGTAGTATCTGGAAGTGGTCATTTGGAGCGCCTTGACGCCTACGGTGAAAAGGGAAATATCTTCCCATAAAAACTAGACAGCAGCAATCTCAGAATCTTCTTTGGGATATATGCACGCAGCTAACAGAGTTGAACCTTTCTATTGACAGAGCAGTTTTGAAACAGTCTTTCTGTGGAATCTGCAAGTGGATATTTCGATAGCTTGGAGGATTTCGTTGGAAACGGGATTAAGTATAAAAAGTAGACAGCCGCATCCTCAGAAACTTCTTTGTGATGTGTGCATTCAAGTCACAGAGTTGAACATTCCCTTTCGTACAGCAGTTTTGAAACACTCTTTCTGTAGTATCTGGAAGTGAACATTAGGACAGCTTTCAGGTCTTTGGTGAGAAAGGAAATATCTTCAAATAAAAACTAGACAGAAGCATTCTCATAAACTTGTTTGTGATGTGTGAACTCAGCTAACAGAGGTGGATCTTTCTTTTGATAGAGCAGTTCTAAAAAACACTTTTTGTTGAATCTGCAAGTGGACATTTTGATAGATTTGAAGATTTCGTTGGAAACGGGAATATCTTCATATCAAATCTAGACAGAAGCATTCTCAGAAACGTCTTTGTGATGTTTGCATTCAACTCATAGAGTTGAACATTCCGTTTCAGAGAGCAGCTTTGAAGCACTCTTTTTGTAGTATGTGTAAGCGGATATTTGGAGCGCTCTGAGGCCTACGGTGAAAAAGCAAATATCTTCCCATAACCACTAGACAGAAACACTCTCAGAAACTCCTTTATGACGTATGCACTCACCTAACAGAGAAGAACCTTCCTTTTGACAGAGCAGTTTTGAAACACTCTTTTTGTAGAATCTGCAAGTGGATATTTGGATACCTGTGAAGATTTCGTTGGAAACGGGAATATCTTCCTATAAAATCTAGACAGAAGCATTCTCAGAAACTGCTCTGTGATGTCTGTATTCAAGTCACAGAGTTGAACATTGCCTTTCATAGAGCAGGTTTGAAACGCTCTTTTTGTAGTATATGGAAGTGGACGTTTCGGACGGTTTGAGGCCCATGGTGATAAAGGGAATATCTTCCCCTACAAGCTAGAAAGAAGCATTCTGTGAAACTTGTTTGTGATGTGTGTACTCAACTAACAGAGTTGAACCTTTCTTTTTACAGAGCAGTTTTGAAACAGTCTTTTTGTAGAATCTGCGAGGGCATATTTGGATAGATTTCAGGATTTCGTTGGAAAGGGGAATATCTTCATATAAAATCTCGACAGAAGCATTCTCAGAAACTTCTTTGTGATATCTGCATTCAAGTCACAGAGTTGAATATTCCCTTTCACAGAGTAGGTTTGAAACACTCTTTTTGTAGTATCTGGAAGTGGACATTTGGAGCGCCTTGACGCCTACGGTGAAATGGGAAATATCTTCCCATAAAAACTAGACAGAAGCAATCTCAGAATCTTCTTTGGGATATATGCACTCAGCTAACAGAGTTGAACCTTTCTATTGACAGAGCAGTTTTGAAACAGTCTTTCTGTGGAATCTGCAAGTGGATATTTGGATAGATTGGAGGATTTCGTTGGAAACGGGATTACGTATAAAAAGTAGACAGCAGCATCCTCAGAAACTTCTTTGTGATGTGTGCATTCAAGTCACAGAGTTGAACATTCCCTTTCGTACAGCAGTTTTGAAACACTCTTTCTGTAGTATCTGGGAGTGAACATTAGGACAGCTTTCAGGTCTATGGTGAGAAAGGAAATATCTTCAAATAAAAACTAGACAGAAGCATTCTCATAAACTTTTTTCTGATGTGTGAACTCAGCTAACAGAGGTGGATCTTTCTTTTGATAGAGCAGTTCTGAAAAACACTTTTTGTTGAATCTGCAAGTGGACATTTGGATAGATTTGAAGATTTCGTTGGAAACGGGAATATCTTCATATCAAATCTAGACAGAAGCATTCTCAGAAACGTCTTTGTGATGTTTGCATTCAACGCATAGAGTTGAACATTCCGCTTCAGAGAGCAGCTTTGAAGCACTCTTTTTGTAGCATGTGCAAGTTGACATTTGGAGCGCTCTGAGGCCTACGGGGAAAAAGCAAGTATCTTCCCATAACCACTAGACAGAAACATTCTGAGAAACTTCTTTATGACGTATGTACTCAACTAGCAGAGAAGAACTTTCCTTTTGACAGAGCATTTTTGATACACTCTTTTTGTAGTATCTGCAAGTGGATATTTGGATAGCTGTGAAGATTTCGTTGGAAACGGGAATATCTTCCTATAAAATCTAGACAGAAGCATTCTCAGGAAACTGCTCTGTGATGTCTGCATTCAAGTCACAGCAGTTGAACATTGCCTTTCATAGAGCAGGTTTGAAACGCTCTTTTTGTAGTATATGGAAGTGGACTTTTCGGACGGTTTGAGGCCCATGGTGATAAAGGGAATATCTTCCCCTACAAGCTAGAAAGAAGCATTCTGTGAAACTTGTTTGTGATGTGTGTACTCAACTAACAGAGTTGAACCTTTCTTTTTACAGAGCAGTTTTGAAACACTCTTTTTGTAGAATCTGCGAGGGGATATTTGGATAGATTTCAGGATTTCGTTGGAAACGGGAATAACTTCATATAAAATCTCGACAGAAGCATTCTCAGAAACTTCCTTGTGATATGTGCATTCAAGTCACAGAGTTGAATATTCCCTTTCACAGAGTAGGTTTGAAACACTCTTCTTGTAGTATCTGGAAGTGGACATTTGGAGCGCCTTGACGCCCACGGTGAAAAGGGAAATATCTTCCCATAAAAACTAGACAGAAGCAATCTCAGAATCTTCTTTGGGATATATGCACGCAGCTATCAGAGTTGAACCTTTCTATTGACAGAGCAGTTTTGAAACAGTCTTTCTGTGGAATCTGCAAGTGGATATTTGGATAGCTTGGAGGATTTCGTTGGAAACGGGATTACGCATAAAAAGTAGACAGCAGCATCCTCAGAAACTTCTTTGTGATGTGTGCATTCAAGTCACAGAGTTGAACATTCCCTTTCGTACAGCAGTTTTGAAACACTCTTTCTGTAGTATGTGGAAGTGAACATTAGGACAGCTTTCAGGTCTATGGTGAGAAAGGAAATATCTTCAAATAAAAACTAGACAGAAGCATTCTCATAAACTTGTTTGTGATGTGTGAACTCAGCTTAGAGACGTGGATCTTTCTTTTGATAGAGCAGTTCTGAAAAACACGTTTTGTTGAATCTGCAAGCGGACATTTGGATAGATTTGAAGATTTCGTTGGAAACGGGAATATCTTCATATCAAATCTAGACAGAAGCATTCTCAGAAACGTCTTTGTGATGTTTGCATTCAACTCACAGAGTTGAACATTCCCTTTCAGAGAGCAGCTTTGAAGCACTCTTTTTGTAGTATGTGCAAGGGGATATTTGGAGCGCTCTGAGGCCTAAGGTGAAAAAGCAAATATCTTCCCCTAACCACTAGACAGAAACATTCTCAGAAACTCCTTTATGACGTATGCACTCAACTAACAGAGAAGAACCTTCCTTTTGACAGAGCAGTTTTGATACACTCTTTTTGTAGAATCTGCAAGTGGATATTTGGATAGCTGTGAAGATTTCGTTGGATACGGGAATATCTTCCTATAAAATCTAGACAGAAGCATTCTCAGAAACTGGTCTGTGATGTCTGCATTCAAGTCACAGAGTTGAACATTGCCTTTCATAGAGCAGGTTTGAAACGCTCTTTTTGTAGTATATGGAAGTAGACGTTTCGGACGGTTTGAGGCCCATGGTGATAAAGGGAATATCTTCCCCTACAAGCTAGAAAGAAGCATTCTGTGAAACTTTTTTGTGATGTGTGTACTCCACTAACAGAGTTGAACCTTTCTTTTTACAGAGCAGTTTTGAAACACTCTTTTTGTAGAATCTGCGAGGGGATATTTGGATAGTTTTCAGGATTTCGTTGGAAACGGGAATATCTTCATATAAAATCTCGACAGAAGCATTCTCAGAAACTTCTTTGTGATATGTGCATTCAAGTCACAGTGTTGAATATTCCCTTTCACAGAGTAGGTTTGAAACACTCTTTTTGTAGTATCTGGAAGTGGACATTTGGAGCGCCTTGACGCCTACGGTGAAAAGGGAAATATCTTCCCATAAAAACTAGACAGACGCAATCTCAGAATCTTCTTTGGGATATATGTACGCAGCTAATAGAGTTGAACCTTTCTATTGACAGAGCAGTTTTGAAACAGTCTTTCTGTGGAATCTGCAAGTGGATATTTGGATAGCTTGGAGGATTTCGTTGGAAACGGGATTACGTATAAAAAGTAGACAGCAGCATCCTCAGAAACTTCTTTGTGATGTGTGCATTCAAATCACAGAGTTGAACATTCCCTTTCGTACAGCAGTTTTGAAACACTCTTTCTGTAGTATCTGGAAGTGAACATTAGGACAGCTTTCAGGTCTATGGTGAGAAAGGAAATATCTTCAAATAAAAACTAGACAGAAGCATTCTCATAAACTTGTTTGTGATGTGTGAACTCAGCTAACAGACGTGGATCTTTCTTTAGATAGAGCAGTTTTGAAAAACACTTTTTGTTGAATCTGCAAGTGGACATTTGGATAGATTTGAAGATTTCGTTGGAAACGGGAATATCTTCATATCAAATCTAGACAGAAGCATTCTCAGAAAAGTCTTTGTGATGTTTGCATTCAACTCATAGAGTTGAACATTCCGTTTCAGAGAGCAGCTTTGAAGCACTCTTTTTGTAGTATGTGCAAGTGGATATTTGGAGCGCTCTGAGGCCTACGGTGAAAAAGCAAATATCTTCCCATAACCACTAGACAGAAACATTCTCAGAAACTCCTTTATGACGTATGCACTCACCTAACAGAGAAGAACCTTCCTTTTGACAGAGCAGTTTTGATACACTCTTTTTGTAGAATCTGCAATTGGATATTTGGATAGCTGTGAAGATTTCGTTGGAAACGGGAATATCTTCCTATAAAATCTAGACAGAAGCATTCTCAGAAACTGCTCTGTGATGTCTGCATTCAAGTCACAGAGTTGAACATTGCCTTTCATAGAGCAGGTTTGAAACGCTCTTTTTGTAGTATATGGAAGTGGATGTTTCGGACGGTTTGAGGCCCAAGGTGATAAAGGGAATATCTTCCCTACAAGCTAGAAAGAAGCATTCTGTGAAACTTGTTTGTGATGTGTGTACTCAACTAACAGAGTTGAACATTTCTTTTTACAGAGTAGTTTTGAAACACTCTTTTTGTAGAATCTGCGAGGGGATATTTGGATAGATTTCAGGATTTCGTTGGAAACGGGAATATCTTCATATAAAATCTCGACAGAAGCATTCTCAGAAACTTCTTTGTGATATCTGCCTTTAAGTCACAGAGTTGAATATTCTCTTTCACAGAGTAGGTTTGAAACACTCTTTTTGTAGTATCTGGAAGTGGACATTTGGAGCGCCTTGACGCCTACGGTGAAAAGGGAAATATCTTCCCATAAAAACTAGACAGAAGCAATCTCAGAATCTTCTTTGGGATATATGCACGCAGCTAACAGAGTTGAACCTTTCTATTGACAGAGCAGTTTTGAAACAGTCTTTCTGTGGAATCTGCAAGTGGATATTTGGATAGCTTGGACGATTTCGTTGGAAACGGGATTACGTATAAAAAGTAGCCAGCAGCATCCTCAGAAACTTCTTTGTGATGTGTGCATTCAAGTCAGAGAGTTGAACATTCCCTTTCGTACAGCAGTTTTGAAACACTCTTTCTGTAGTATCTGGAAGTGAACATTAGGACAGCTTTCAGGTCTATGGTGAGAAAGGAAATATCTTCAAATAAAAACTAGACAGAAGCATTCTGATAAACTTGTTTGTGAAGTGTGAACTCAGCTAACAGAGGTGGATCTTTCTTTCGAAACAGCAGTTTTGAAAAACACTTTTTGTTGAATCTGCAAGTGGACATTTGAATAGATTTGAAGATTTCGTTGGAAACAGGAATATCTTCATATCAAATCTAGACAGAAGCATTCTCAGAAACGTCTTTGCGATGTTTGCATTCAACTCATAGAGTTGAACATTCCGTTTCAGAGAGCAGCTTTGAAGCACTGTTTTTGTAGTATGTGCAAGTGCATATTTGGAGCGCTCTGAGGCCTACGGTGAAAAAGCAAATATCTTCCCATAACCACTAGACAGAAACATTCTCAGAAACTCCTTTATGACGTATGTACTCAACTAACAGAGAAGAACCTTCCTTTTGAAAGAGCAGTTTTGATACACTCTTTTTGTAGAATCTGCAAGTGGATATTTGGATAGCTGTGAAGATTTCGTTGGAAACGGGAATATCTTGCCTATAAAATCTAGACAGAAGCATTCTCAGAAATTGCTCTGTGATGTCTGTATTCAAGTCACAGAGTTGAACATTGCCTTTCATAGAGCAGGTTTGAAACGCTCTTTTTGTAGTATATGGAAGTGGATGTTTCGGACGGTTGGAGGCCCATGGTGATAAAGGGAATATCTTCCCCTACAAGCTAGAAAGAAGCATTCTGTGAAACTTGTTTGTGATGTGTGTACTCAACTAACAGAGTTGAACCTTTCCTTTTACAGAGCAGTTTTGAAACACTCTTTTTGTAGAATCTGCGAGGGGATATATGGATAGATTTCAGGATTTCGTTGGAAACGGGAATATCTTCATATAAAATCTCGACAGAAGCATTCTCAGAAACTTCCTTGTGATATGTGCATTCAAGTCACAGAGTTGAATATTCCCTTTCACAGAGTAGGTTTGAAACACTCTTTTTGTAATATCTGAAAGTGGACATTTGGAGCGCCTTGACGCCTACGGTGAAAAGGGAAATATCTTCCCATAAAAACTAGACAGAAGCAATCTCAGAATCTTCTTTGGGATATATGCACGCAGCTAACAGAGTTGAACCTTTCTATTGACAGAGCAGTTTTGAAACAGTCTTTCTGTGGATTCTGCAAGTGGATATTTGGATAGCTTGGAGGATTTCGTTGGAAACGGGATTACGTATAAAAAGTAGACAGCAGCATCCTCAGAAACTTCTTTGTGATGTGTGCATTCAAGTCACAGAGTTGAACATTCCCTTTCATACAGCAGTTTTGAAACACTCTTTCTGTAGTATCTGGAAGTGAACATTAGGACAGCTTTCAGCTCTATGGTGAGAAAGGAAATATCTTCAAATATAAACTAGACAGAAGCATTCTCATAAACTTGTTTGTGATGTGTGAACTCAGCTAACAGAGGTGGATCTTTCTTTTGATAGAGCAGTTCTGAAAAACACTTTTTGTTGAATCTGCAAGTGGACATTTGGATAGATTTGAAGATTTCGTTGGAATCGGGAATATCTTCATATCAAATCTAGACAGAAGCATTCTCAGAAACGTCTTTGTGATGTTTGCATTCAACTCATAGAGTTGAACATTCCCTTTCAGAGAGCAGCTTTGAAGCAGTCTTTTTGTAGTATGTGCAAGTGGATATTTGGAGCGCTCTGAGGCCTACGGTGAAAAAGCAAATATCTTCCCATAACCACTAGACAGAAACATTCTCAGAAACGCCTTTATGACGTATGCACTCACCGAACAGAAAAGAACCTTCCTTTTGACAGAGCAGTTTTGATACACTCTTTTTGTAGAATCTGCAAGTGGATATTTGGATAGCTGTGAAGATTTCGTTGGAAACGGGAATATCTTCCTATAAAATCTAGACAGAAGCATTCTCAGAAACTGCTCTGTGATGTCTGCATTCAAGTCACAGAGTTCAACATTGTCTTTCATAGAGCAGGTTTGAAACGCTCTTTTTGTAGTATATGGAAGTGGACGTTTCGGACGGTTTGAGGCCCATGGTGATAAAGGGAATATCTTCCCCTACAAGCTAGAAAGAAGCATTCTGTGAAACTTGTTTGTGATGTGTGTACTCAACTTACATAGTTGAACCTTTCTTTTTACAGAGCAGTTTTGAAACACTCTTTTTGTAGAATCTGCGAGGGGTTATTTGGATAGATTTCAGGATTTCGTTGGAAACGGGAATATCTTCATATAAAATCTCGACAGAAGCATTCTCAGAGACTTCCTTGTGATATGTGCATTCAAGTCACAGAGTTGAATATTCCCTTTCACAGAGTAGGTTTGAAACACTCTTTTTGTAGTATCTGGAAGTGGTCATTTGGAGCGCCTTGACGCCCACGGTGAAAAGGGAAATATCTTCCCATAAAAACTAGACAGAAGCAATCTCAGAATCTTCTTTGTGATATATGCACGCAGCTGACAGATTTGAACCTTTCTATTGACTGAGCAGATTTGAAACAGTCTTTCTGTGGAATCTGCAAGTGGATATTTGGATAGATTGGAGGATTTCGTTGGAAACGGGATTACGTATAAAAAGTAGACAGCAGTATCCTCAGAAACTTGCTTTGTGATGTGTGCATTCAAGTCACAGAGTTGAACATTCCCTTTCGTACAGCAGTTTTGAAACACTCTTTCTGTAGTATCTGGAAGTGAACATTAGGACAGCTTTCAGGTCTATAGTGAGAAAGGATATATCTTCAAATAAAAACTAGACAGAAGCATTCTCATAAACTTGTTTGTGATGTCTGAACTCAGCTAACAGAGGTGGATCTTTCTTTTGATAGAGCAGTTCTGAAAAACACTTTTTGTTGAATCTGCAAGTGGACATTTGGATAGATTTGAAGATTTCGTTGGAAACGTGAATATCTTCAAATCAAATCTAGACAGAAGCATTCTCAGAAACGTCTTTGTGATGTTTGCATTCAACTCATAGAGTTGAACATTCCGTTTCAGAGAGCAGCTTTGAAGCACTCTTTTTGTACTATGTGCAAGTGGATATTTGGAGCGCTCTGAGACCTACGGTGAAAAAGCAAATATCTTCCCATAACCACTAGACAGAAACATTCTCAGAAACTCCTTTATGACGTATGCACTCACCTAACAGAGAAGAACCTTCCCTTTTGACAGAGCAGCTTTGATACACTCTTTTTGTAGAATCTGCAAGTGGATATTTGGATAGCTGTGAAGATTTCGTTGGAAACGGGAATATCTTCCTATAAAATCTAGACAGAAGCATTCTCAGAAACTGCTCTGTGATGTCTGCATTCAAGTCACAGAGTTGAACATTGCCTTTCATAGAGCAGGTTTGAAACGCTCTTTTTGTAGTATATTGAAGTGGACGTTTCGGACGGTTTGAGGCCCATGGTGATAAAGGGAATATCTTCCCGTACAAGCTAGAAAGAAGCATTCTGTGAAACTTGTTGGTGATGTGTGTACTCAACTAACAGAGTTGAACCTTTCTTTTCACAGAGCAGTTTTGAAACACTCTTTTTGTAGAATCTGCGAGGGGATATTTGGATAGATTTCAGCATTTCGTTGGAAACGGGAATATCTTCATATAAAATCTCGACAGAAGCATTCTCAGAAACTTCCTTGTGATATGTGCATTCAAGTCACAGAGTTGAATATTCCCTTTCACAGAGTAGGTTTGAAACACTCTTTTTGTAGTATCTGGAAGTGGACATTTGGAGCGCCTTGACGCCCACGGTGAAAAGGGAAATATCTTCCCATCAAAACTAGACACAAGCAATCTCAGAATCTTCTTTGGGATGTATGCACCCAGCTAACAGAGTTGAAACTTTCTATTGACAGAGCAGTTTTGAAACAGTCTTTTAGTGGAATCTGCAAGTGGATATTTGGATAGCTTGGAGGATTTCTTTGGAAACGGGATTATGTATACAAAGTAGACAGCAGCATTCTCAGAAACTTCTTTGTGATGTGTGCATTCAAGTCAAAGAGTTGAACATTCCCTTTCGTATAGGAGGTTTGAAACACTCTTTCTCTAGTACCTGGAAGTGAACGGGGCGAGAGCTTTCAGGTCTATGGTGAGAAAGGAAATATCTTCAAATAAAAACTAGACAGAAGCATTCTCATAAACTTGTTTGTGATGTGTGAACTCAGCTAACAGAGGTGGATCTTTCTTTTGATAGAGCAGTTCTGAAAAACACTTTTTGTTGAATCTGCAAGTGGACATTTGGATAGATTTGAAGATTTCGTTGGAAAAGGGAATATCTTCATATCAAATCTAGACAGAAGCATTCTCAGAAACGTCTTTGTGATGTTTGCATTCAACTCATAGAGTTGAACATTCCGTTTCAGAGAGCAGCTTTGAGGCACTCTTTTTGTAGTATGTGCAAGTGGATATTTAGAGCGCTCTGAGGCCTACGTTGAAAAAGCAAATATCTTCCCATAACCACTAGACAGAAACATTCTCAGAAACTTCTTTGTGACGTACGTACTCAACTAACAGAGTTGAACCTTCCTTTTGACACAGCAATTTTGATACAATCTTTTTGTAGAATCTGCAAGTCTATATTTGGATAACTGTGAAGATTTCGTTGGAAACGGGAATTTCTTCCTATAAAATCTAGACAGCAGCATTCTCAGAAACTGCTCTGTGATGTCTGCATTCAAGTCACAGAGTTGAACATTGCCTTTCATAGAGCAGGTTTCAAACACTCTTTTTTTAGTTTATGGAAGTGGACGTTTCGGACGGTTTAAGGCCCATGGTGATAAAGGAAATATCTTCCCCTACAAGCTAGAAAGAAGCATTCTGTGAAACTTGTTTGTGATGTGTGTACTCAACTAACAGAGTTGAACCTTTCTTTTTACAGAGCAGTTTTGAAACACTCTTTTTGTAGAATCTGCGAGGGGAAATTTGGATAGATTTCAGGATTTCCTTGGAAACGGGAATATCTTCATACAAAATCTCGACAGAAGCATCCTCAGAAACTTCTTTGTGATGTGTGCATTCAAGTCACAGAGTTGAACATTCCCTTTCACAGAGTAGGTTTGAAACACTCTTTTTGTAGTATCTGGAAGTGGATATTTGGAGCGCCTTGACACCTACGGTGAAAAGGGAAATATCTTCCCATAAAAACTAGACAGAAGCAATCTCAGAATCTTCTTTGGGATATATGCACGCAGCTAACAGAGTTGAACCTTTCTATTGACAGAGCAGTTTTGAAACAGTCTTTCTGGGGAATCTGCAAGTGGATATTTGGATAGCTTGGAGGATTTCGTTGGAAACGGGATTACGTATAAAAAGTAGACAGCAGCATCCTCAGAAACTTCTTTGTGATGTGTGCATTCAAGTCACAGAGTTGAACATTCCCTTTCGTAGAGCAGTTTTGAAACACTCTTTCTGTAGTATCTGGAAGTGAACATTAGGACAGCTTTCAGCTCTATGGTGAGAAAGGAAATATCTTCAACTAAAAACTAGACAGAAGCATTCTCATAAACTTGTTTGTGATGTGTGAACTCAGCTAACAGAGGTGGATCTTTCTTTTGATAGAGCAGTTCTGAAAAACACTTTTTGTTGAATCTGCAAGTGGATATTTGGATAGATTGAAGATTTCGTTGGAAACGGGAATATCTTCATATCAAATCTAGAGAGAAGCATTCTCAGAAACGTCTTTGCGATGTTTGCATTCAACTCATAGAGTTGAACATTCCGTTTCAGAGAGCAGCTTTGAGGCACTCTTTTTGTAGTATGTGCAAGTGGATATTTGGAGCGCTCTGAGGCCTACGGTGAAAAAGCAAATATCTTCCCATAACCACAAGACAGAAACATTCTCAGAAACTCCTTTATGACTTATGCACTTACCTATCAGAGAAGAATCTTCCTTTTGACAGAGCAGTTTTGATACACTCTTTTTGTAGAATCTGCAAGTGGATATTTGGATAGCTGTGAAGATTTCGCTGGAAACGGGAATATCTTCCTATAAAATCTAGACAGAAGCATTCTCAGAAACTGCTCTGTGATGTCTGCATTCAAGTCACAGAGTTGAACATTGCCTTTCCTATAACAGGTTTGAAACGCTCTTTTTGTAGTATATGGAAGTGGACGTTTCGGACGGTTTGAGGCCCATGGTGATAAAGGGAATATCTTCCCCTACAAGCTAGAAGGAAGCATTCTGTGAAACTTGTTTGTGATGTGTGTACTCAACTAACAGAGTTGAACCTTTCTTTTCACAGAGCAGTTTTGAAACACTCTTTTTGTAGAATCTGCGAGCGGATATTTGGATAGATTTCAGGATTTCGATGGAAACGGGAATATCTTCATATAAAATACTCGACAGAAGCATTCTCAGAAACTTCTTTGTGATATCTGCATTCAAGTCACAGAGTTGAATATTCCCTTTCACAGAGTAGGTTTGAAACACTCTTTTTGTAGTATCTGGAAGTTGACATTTGGAGCGCCTTGACGCCTACGGTGAAAAGGGAAATATCTTCTCATAAAAAGTAGACAGAAGCAATCTCAGAATCTTCTTTGGGATATATGCACGCAGCTAACAGAGTTGAACCTTTCTATTGACAGAGCAGTTTTGAAACAGTCTTTCTGTGGAATCTGCATGTGGATATTTGGATAGCTTGGAGGATTTCGTTGGAAACGGGATTACGCATAAAAAGTAGACAGCTGCATCCTCAGAAACTTCTTTGTGATGTGTGCATTCAAGTCACAGAGTTGAACATTCCCTTTCGTACAACAGTTTTGAAACACTCTTTCTGCAGTATCTGGAAGTGAACATTAGGACAGCTTTCAGGTCTATGGTGAGAAAGGAAATATCTTCAAATAAAAACTAGACAGAAGCATTCTCATAAACTTGTTTGTGATGTGTGAACTCAGCTAACAGAGGTGGATCTTTCTTTTGATAGAGCAGTTCTGAAAAACACTTTTTGTTGAATCTGCAAGTGGACTTTTGGATAGATTTGAAGATTTCGTTGGAAACGTTAATATCTTCATATCAAATCTAGACAGAAGCACTCTCGGAAACGTCTTTGTGATGTTTGCATTCAACTCATAGAGTTGAACATTCCGTTTCAGAGAGCAGCTTTGAAGCACTCTTTTTGTAGTATGTGCAAGTGGATATTTGGAGCGCTCTGAGGCCTACGGTGAAAAAGCAAATATCTTCCCATAACCACTAGACAGAAACATTCTCAGAAACTCCTTTATGACGTATGCACTCACCTAACAGAGAAGAACCTTCCTTTTGACAGAGCAGTTTTGATACACTCTTTTTGTAGAATCTGCAAGTGGATATTTGGATAGCTGTCAAGATTTCGTTGGAAACGGGAATATCTTCCTATAAAATCTAGACAGAAGCATTCTCAGAAACTGCTCTGTGATGCCTGCATTCAAGTCACAGAGTTGAACATTGCCTTTCATAGAGCAGGTTTGAAATGCTCTTTTTGTAGTATATGGAAGTGGACGTTTCAGACGGTTTGAGGCCCATTGTGATAAAGGGAATATCTTCCCCTACAAGCTAGAAAGAAGCATTCTGTGAAACTTGTTTGGGATGTGTGTACTCAACTAACAGAGTTGAACCTTTCTTTTTACAGAGCAGTTTTGAAACACTCTTTTTGTAGAATCTGCGAGGGGATATTTGGATACATTTCAGCATTTCGTTGGAAACGGGAATATCTTCATATAAAATCTCGACAGAAACATTCTCAGAAACTTCATTGTGATATCTGCATTCAAGTCACAGAGTTGAATATTCCCTTTCAGAGAGTAGGTTTGAAACACTCTTTTTGTAGTATCTGGAAGTGGACATTTGGAGCGCCTTGACACCTACGGTGAAAAGGGAAATATCTTCCCATGAAAACGAGACAGAAACAATCTCAGAATCTTCTTTGGGATATATGCACGCAGCTAACAGTGTTGAACCTTTCTATTGACAGAGCAGTTTTGAAACAGTCTTTCTGTGGAATCTGCAAGTGGATATTTGGATAGCTTGGAGGATTTCGTTGGAAACGGGATTAGGTATAAAAAGTAGACAGCAGCATCCTCAGAAACTTCTTTGTGATGTGTGCATTCAAGTCACAGAGTTGAACATTCCCTTTCGTACAGCAGTTTTGAAACACTCTTTCTGCAGTATCTGGAAGTGAACATTAGGACAGCTTTCAGCTCTATGGTGAGAAAGGAAATATCTTCAAATAAAAACTAGACAGAAGCATTCTCATAAACTTGTTTGTGATGTGTGAACTCAGCTAACAGAGGTGGATCTTTCTTTTGATAGAGCAGTTCTTAAAAACACGTTTTGTTGAATCTGCAAGTGGACATTTGGATAGATTTGAAGATTTCGTTGGAAACGGGAATATCTTCATATCAAATCTAGACAGAAGCATTCTCAGAAACGTCTTTGTGATGTTTGCATTCAACTCATGGAGTTGAACATTCCCTTTCAGAGAGCAGCTTTGAAGCACTCTTTTTGTAGTATGTGCAAGTGGACATTTGGAGCGCTTTGAGGCCTACGGGGAAAAAGCAAATATCTTCCCATATCCACTAGACAAAAACATTCTCAGAAACTCCTTTATGACGTATGCACTCACCTAACAGAGAAGAACCTTCCTTTTGACAGAGCAGTTTTGATACACTCTTTTTGTAGAATCTGCAAGTGGATATTTGGATAGCTGTGAAGATTTCCTTGGAAACGGGAATATCTTCCTATAAAATCTAGACAGAAAGCATTCTCAGAAACTGCTCTGTGATGTCTGCATTCAAGTCACAGAGTTGAACATTGCCTTTCATAGAGCAGGTTTGAAACGCTCTTTTTGTACTATATGGAAGTGGATGTTTCGGACGGTTTGAGGCCCATGGTGATAAAGGGAATATCTTCCCCTACAAGCTAGAAAGAAGCATTCTGTGAAACTTGTTTGCGATGTGTGTACTCAACTAATAGATTTGAACCTTTCTTTTTACAGAGCAGTTTTGAAACACTCTTTTTGTAGAATCTGCGAGGGGATATTTGGATAGATTTCAGGATTTCGTTGGAAACGGGAATATCTTCATATAAAATCTCGACAGAAGCATTCTCTGAAACTTCTTTGTGATATGTGCATTCAAGTCACAGAGTTCAATATTCCCTTTCACAGAGTAGGTTTGAGACACTCTTTTTGTAGTATCTGGAAGTGGACATTTGGAGCGCCTTGACGACTACGGTGAAAAGGGAAATATCTTCTCATAAAAAGTAGACAGAAGTAATCTCAGAATCTTCTTTGGGATATATGCACCCAGCTAACAGAGTTGAACCTTTCTATTGACAGAGCAGTTTTGAAACAGTCTTTCTGTGGAATCTGCAAGTGGATATTTGGATAGCTTGGAGGATTTCGTAGGAAACGGGATTACGTATAAAAAGTAGACAGCAGCATCCTCAGAAACTTGTTTGTGATGTGTGCATTCAAGTCACAGAGTTGAACATTCCCTTTCGTACAGCAGTTTTGAAACACTCTTTCTGTAGTATCTGGAAGTGAACATTAGGACAGCTTTCAGGTCTATGGTGAGAAAGGAAATATCTTCAAATAAAAACTAGACAGAAGCATTCTCATAAACTTGTTTGTGATGTGTGAACTCAGCTAACAGAGGTGGATCTTTCTTTTGATAGAGCAGTTCTGAAAAACACGTTTTCTTGAATCTGCAAGTGGACATTTGGATAGATTTGAAGATTTCGTTGGAAACGGGAATATCGTCATATCAAATCTAGACAGAAAGCATTCTCAGCAAACGTCTTTGGGATGTTTGCATTCAACTCATAGAGTTGAACATTCCCTTTCAGAGAGCAGCTTTGAAGCACTCTTTTTGTAGTATGTGCAAGTGGATATTTGGAGCGCTCTGAGGCCTAAGGTGAAAAAGCAAATATCTTCCCATAACCACTAGACAGAAACATTCTCAGAAAGTTCTTTATGACGTATGAACTCAACTAGCAGAGAAGAACTTTCCTTTTGACAGAGCATTTCTGATACACTCTTTTTTTACTATCTGCAAGTGGATATTTGGATAGCTGTGAAGATTTCGTTGGAAACGGGAATATCTTCCTATAAAGTCTGGACAGAAGCATTCTCAGAAACTGCTCTGTGATGTCTGCATTCAAGTCACAGAGTTGAACATTGCCTTTCATAGAGCAGGTTTGAAACGCTCTTTTTGTAGTATATGGAAGTGGACTTTTCAGACGGTTTGAGGCCCATGGTGATAAAGGGAATATCTTCCCCTACAAGCTAGAAAGAAGCATTCTGTGAAACATGTTTGTGATGTGTGTTCTCAACTAACAGAGTTGAACCTTTCTTTTTACAGAGCAGTTTTGAAACACTCTTTTTGTAGAATCTGCGAGGGGATATTTGGATAGATTTCAGGATTTCGTTGGAAACGGGAATATCTTCATATAAAATCTCGACAGAAGCATTCTCAGAAACTTCTTTGTGATATCTGCCTTCAAGTCACAGAGTTGAATATTCCCTTTCACAGAGTAGGTTTGAAACACTCTTTTTGTAGTATCTGGAAGTGGACATTTGGAACGCCTTGGCGCCTATGGTGAAAAGGTAAATATCTTCCCATAAAAACTAGACAGAAGCAATCTCAGAATCTTCTTTGGGATATATGCACGCAGCTAACAGAGTTGAACCTTTCTATTGACAGAGCAGTTTTGAAACAGTCTTTCTGTGGAATCTGCAAGTGGATATTTGGATAGCTTGGAGGATTTCATTGGAAACGGGATTAAGTATAAAAAGTAGACAGCAGCATCCTCAGAAACTTCTTTGTGATGTGTACATTCAAGTCACAGAGTTCAACATTCCCTTTCGTACAGCAGTTTTGAAACACTCTTTCTGTAGTATCTGGAAGTGAACATTAGGACAGCTTTCAGCTCTATGGTGAGAAAGGAAATATCTTCAAATAAAAACTAGACAGAAGCATTCTCATAAACTTGTTTGTGATGTGTGAACTCAGCTAACAGAGGTGGATCTTTCTTTTGATAGAGCAGTTCTGAAAAACACTTTTTTTTGAATCTGCAAGTGGACATTTGGATAGATTTGAAGATTTCTTTGGAAACGGGAATATCTTCATATCAAATCTAGACAGAAGCATTCTCAGAAACGTCTTTGTGATGTTTGCATTCAACTCATAGAGTTGAACATTCCGTTTCAGAGAGTAGCTTTGAAGCACTCATTTTGTAGCATGTGCAAGTGGACATTTGGAGCGCCCTGAGGCCTACGGGGAAAAAGCAAATATATTCCCATAACCACTAGACAGAAACATTCTCAGAAACTCCTTTATGACGTATGTACTCAACTAACAGAGAAGAACCTTCCTTTTGACAGAGCAGTTTTGATACACTCTTTTTGTAGAATCTCCAAGTGGATATTTGGATAGCTGTGAAGATTTCGTTGGAATCGGGAATATCTTCCTATAAAATCTAGACAGAAGCATTCTCAGAAACTGCTCTGTGATGTCTGCATTCAAGTCACAGAGTTGAACATTGCCTTTCATAGAGCAGGTTTGAAACGCTCTTTTTGTAGTGTATGGAAGTGGACTTTTCGGACGGTTGGAGGCCCATGGTGATAAAGGGAATATCTTCCCCTACAAGCTAGAAAGAAAGCATTCTGTGAAACTTGTTTGTGATGTGTGTACTCAACTAACAGAGTTGAACCTTTCTTTTTACAGAGCAGTTTTGAAACACTCTTTTTGTAGAATCTGCGAGGGGATATTTGGATACATTTCAGGATTTCGTTGGAAACGGGAATATCTTCATATAAAATCTCGACAGAAGCATTCTCAGAAACTTCTTTGTGATATGTGCATTCAAGTCACAGAGTTGAATATTCCCTTTCACAGAGTAGGTTTGAAACACTCTTTTTGTAGTATCTGGAAGTGGACATTTGGAGCGCCTTGACACCTACGGTGAGAAGGGAAATATCTTCCCATAAAAACTAGACAGAAGCAATCTCAGAATCTTCTTTGGGATATATGCACGCAGCTAACGGAGTTGAACCTTTCTATTGACAGAGCAGTTTTGAAACAGTCTTTCTGTGGAATCTGCAAGTGGATATTTGGATAGCTTGGAGGATTTCGTTGGCAACGGGATTACGTATAAAAATTAGACAGCAGCATTCTCAGAAACTTCTTTGTGATGTGTGCATTCAAGTCAAAGAGTTGAACATTCCCTTTCGTACAGCAGGTTTGAAACACTCTTTCTCTAGTACCTGGAAGTGAACGTTTCGAGACCTTTCAGGTCTATGGTGAGAAAGGAAATATCTTCAAATAAAAACTAGACAGAAGCATTCTCATAAACTTGTTTGTGATGTGTGAACTCAACTAACAGAGGTGGGTCTTTCTTTTGATACACCAGTTATGAAAAACCCTTTTAATTGAATCTGCAAGTGGACATTTGGATAGATTTGAAGATTTCGTTGGAAACGGGAATATCTTCATATCAAATCTAGACAGAAGCATTCTCAGAAACGTCTTTGCGATGTTTGCATTCAACTCATAGAGTTGAACATTCCGTTTCAGAGAGCAGCTGTGAGGCACTCTTTTTGTAGTATGTGCAAGTGGATATTTGGAGCGCTCTGAGGCCTACGGTGAAAAAGCAAATATCTTCCCATAACCACTAGCAGAAAACATTCTCAGAAACTCCTTTATGACGTATGTACTCAACTAACAGAGAAGAACCTTCCTTTTGACAGAGCAGTTTTGATCCACTCTTTTTGTAGAATCTGCAAGTGGATATTTGGATAGCTGTGAAGGTTTCGTTAGAAACGGAAATATCTTCCTATAAAATGCTAGACAGAAGCATTCTCAGAAACGGCTCTGTGATGTCTGCATTCAAGTCACAGAGTTGAACATTGCATTTCATAGAGCAGGTTTCAAACACTCTTTTTTTAGTATATGGAAGTGGACCTTTCAGACGGCTTGAGGACCATGGTGATAAAGGAAATATCTTCCCCTACAAGCTAGAAAGAAGCATTCTGTGAAACTTGTTTGTGATGTGTGTACTCAACTAACAGAGTTGAACCTTTCTTTTTACAGAGCAGTTTTGAAACACTCTTTTTGTAGAATCTGCGAGGGGATATTTGGATAGATTTCAGGATTTCGTTGGAAACGTGAATATATTCATATAAAATCCCGACAGAAGCATTCTCAGAAACTTCATTGTGATATCTGCATTGAAGTCACAGACTTGAATACTCCCTTTCACAGAGTAGGTTTGAAACACTCTTTTTGTAGTATCTGGAAGTGGACATTTGGATCGCTTTGACGCCTATTGTGAAAAAGGAAATATCTTCCCCTAAAAACTAGACAGAAACGTTCTCAGAAACTCCTTTATGACGTATGCACTCACCTAACAGAGAAGAACCTTCCTTTTGACAGAGCAGTTTTGATACACTCTTTTTGTAGAATCTGCAAGTGGATATTTGGATAGCTGTGAAGATTTCGTTGGAAACGGGAATATCTTCCTATAAAATCTAGACAGAAGCATTCTCAGAAACTGCTCTGTGATGTCTGCATTCAAGTCACAGAGTTGAACATTCCCTTTCATACAGCAGTTTTGAAACACTCTTTCTGTAGTATCTGGAAGTCAACATTAGGACAGCTTTCAGGTCTATGGTGAGAAAGGAAATATCTTCAAATAAAAACTAGACAGAAGCATTCTCATAAACTTGTTTGTGATGTCTGAACTCAGCTAACAGAGGTGGATCTTTCTTTTGATAGAGCAGTTCTGAAAAACACTTTTTGTTGAATCTGCAAGAGGACATTTGGATAGATTTGAAGATTTCGTTGGAAACGGGAATATCTTCATATCAAATCTAGACAGAAGCATTCTCAGAAACGTCTTTGTGATGTTTGCATTCAACTCATAGAGTTGAACATTCCCTTTCAGAGAGCAGCTTTGAAGCACTCTTTTTGTAGTATGTGCAAGTGGATATTTGGAGCTCTCTGAGGCCTACGGTGAAAAAGCAAATATCTTCCCATAACCACTAGACAGAAACATTCTCAGAAACTCCTTTATGACGTATGTACTCATCTAACAGAGAAGAACCTTCCTTTTGACAGAGCAGTTTTGATACACTCTTTTTGTAGAATCTGCAAGTGGATATTTGGATAGCTGGGAAGATTTCGTTGGAAACGGGAATATCTTCCTATAAAATCTAGACAGAAGCATTCTCAGAAACTGCTCTGTGATGTCTGCATTCAAGTCACAGAGTTGAACATTACCTTTCCTAGAGCAGGTTTGAAACGCTCTTTTTGTAGTATATGGAAGTAGACGTTTCGGACGGTTTGAGGCCCATGGTGATAAAGGGAATATCTTCCCCTACAAGCTAGAAAGAAGCATTGTGTGAAACTTGTTTGTGATGTGTGTACTCAACTAACAGAGTTGAACCTTTGTTTTTACAGAGCAGTTTTGAAACACTCTTTTTGTAGAATCTGCGAGGGGATATTTGGATACATTTCAGGATTTCGTTGGAAACGGGAATATCTTCATATAAAATCTCGACAGAAGCATTCTCAGAAACTTCTTTGTGATATGTGCATTCAAGTCACAGAGTTGAAAATTCCCTTTCACAGAGTAGGTTTGAAACACTCTTTTTGTAGTATCTGGAAGTGGACATTTGGAGCGCCTTGACGCCTACGGTGAAAAGGGAAATATCTTCCCATAAAAACTAGACAGAAGCAATCTCAGAATCTTCTTTGGGATGTATGCACGCAGCTAACAGAGTTGAACCTTTCTATTGACAGAGCAGTTTTGAAACAGTCTTTCTGTGGAATCTGCAAGTGGATATTTGGATAGCTTGGAGGATTTCGTTGGAAACGGGATTACGTATAAAAAGTAGACAGCAGCATCTTCAGAAACTTCTTTGTGATGTGTGCATTCAAGTCACAGAGTTGAACATTCCCTTTCGTACAGCAGTTTTGAAACACTCTTTCTGTAGTATCTGGAAGTGAACATTAGGACAGCTTTGAGGTCTACGGTGAGAAAGGCAATATCTTCAAATAAAAACTGGACAAAAGCATTCTCATAAACTTGTTTGTGATGTCTGAACTCAGCTAACAGTAGGTGGATCTTTCTTTTGATAGAGCAGTTCTGAAAAACACTTTTTGTTGAATCTGCAAGTGGACATTTGGATAGATTTGAAGATTTCGTTGGAAACGGGAATATCTTCATATCAAATCTAGACAGAAGCATTCCCAGAACCGTCTTTGTGATGTTTGCATTCAACTCATAGAGTTGAACATTCCCTTTCAGAGAGCAGCTTTGAAGCACTCTTTTTGTAGGATGTGCAAGGGGATATTTGGAGCGCTCTGAGGCCTAAGGTGAAAAAGCAAATATCTTCCCATAACCACTAGACAGAAACATTCTCAGAAACTCCTTTATGACGTATGTACTCAACTAACAGAGAAGAACCTTCCTTTTGACAGAGCAGTTTTGATACACTCTTTTTGTAGAATCTGCAAGTGGATATTGGATAGCTGTGAAGATTTCCTTGGAAACGGGAATATCTTCCTATAAAATCTAGACAGAAGCATTCTCAGAAACTGCTCTGTGATGTCTGCATTCAAGTCACAGAGTTGAACATTGCCTTTCCTAGAGCAGGTTTGAAACGCTCTTTTTGTAGTATATGGAAGTGGACGTTTCGGACGGTTTGAGGCCCATGGTGATAAAGGGAATATCTTCCCCTACAAGCTAGAAGGAAGCATTCTGTGAAACTTGTTTGTGATGTGTGTACTCAACTAACAGAGTTGAACCTTTCTTTTAACAGAGCAGTTTTGAAACACTCTTTTTGTAGAATCTGCGAGGGGATATTTGGATAGATTTCAGGATTTCGTTGGAAACGGGAATATCTTCATATAAAATCTCGACAGAAGCATTCTCAGAAACTTCTTTGTGATATCTGCCTTTAAGTCACAGAGTTGAATATTCCCTTTCACAGAGTAGCTTTGAAACACTCTTTTTGTAGTATCTGGAAGTGGACATTTGGAGCGCCTTGACACCTACGGTGAAAAGGGAAATATCTTCCCATAAAAACTAGACAGAAGCAATCTCAGAATCTTCTTTGGGATATATGCACGCAGCTAACAGAGTTGAACCTTTCTATTGACAGAGAAGTTTTGAAACAGTCTTTCTGTGGAATCTGCAAGTGGATATTTGGATAGCTTGGAGGATTTCGTTGGAAACGGGATTACGTATAAAAATTAGACAGCAGCATCCTCAGAAACATCCTTGTGATGTGTGCATTCAAGTCACAGAGTTGAACATTCCCTTTCATACAGCAGTTTTGAAACACTCTTTCTGTAGTATCTGGAAGTGAACTTTAGGAGAGCTTTCAGGTCTATAGTGAGAAAGGATATATCTTCAAATAAAAACTAGACAGAAGCATTCTCATAAACTTGTTCGTGATGTGTGAACTCAGCTAACACACGTGGATCTTTCTTTTGATAGAGCAGTTCTGAAAAACACTTTTTGTTAAATCTGCAAGAGGACATTTGGATAGATTAGAAGATTTCGTTGGAAACGGGAATATCTTCATATCAAATCTAGACAGAAGCATTCTCAGAAACGTCTTTGTGATGTTTGCATTCAACTCATAGAGTTGAACATTCCCTTTCATAGAGCAGCTTTGAAGCACTCTTTTTGTAGTATGTGCAAGCGGATATTTGGAGCACTCTGAGGCCTAAAGTGAAAAAGAAAATATCTTCCCATAACCACTAGACAGAAACATTCTCAGAAACTCCTTTATGACGTATGCACTCACCTAACAGAGAAGAACCTTCCTTTTGACAGAGCAGTTTTGATACACTCTTTTTGTAGAATCTGCAAGTGGATATTTGGATAGCTGTGAAGATTTCGTTGGAAACGGTAATATCTTCCTATAAAATCTAGACAGAAGCATTCTCAGAAACTGCTCTGTGATGTCTGCATTCAAGTCACAGAGTTGAACATTGCCTTTCATAGAGCAGGTTTGAAACGCTCTTTTTGTAGTATATGGAAGTGGACGTTTCGGACGGTTTGAGGCCCATGATGATAAAGGGAATATCTTCCCCTACAAGCTAGAAAGAAAGCATTCTGTGAAACTTGTTTGTGATGTGTGTACTCAACTAACTGAGTTGAACCTTTCTTTTTACAGAGCAGTTTTGAAACACTCTTTTTGTAGAATCTGTGAGGGGATATTTGGATAGATTTCAGGATTTCGTTGGAAACGGGAATATCTTCATATAAAATCTCGACAGAAGCATTCTCAGAAACTTCTTTGTGATATGTGCATTCAAGTCACCGAGTTGAATATTCCCTTTCACAGAGTAGGTTTGAAACACTCTTTTTGTAGTATCTGGAAGTGGACATTTGGAGCGCCTTGACGCCTATGGTGAAAAGGGAAATATCTTCCCATAAAAACTAGACAGAAAGCAATCTCAGAATCTTCTTTGGGATATATGCACGCAGCTAACAGAGTTGAACCTTTCTATTGACTGAGCAGATTTGAAACAGTCTTTCTGTGGAATCTGCAAGTGGATATTTGGATAGATTGGAGGATTTCGTTGGAAACGGGATTACGTATCAAAAGTAGACAGCAGCATCCTCAGAAACTTCTTTGTGATGTGTGCATTCAAGTCACAGAGTTGAACATTCCCTTTCGTACAGCAGTTTTGAAGCACTCTTTCTGTATTATCTGGGAGTGAACATTAGGACAGCTTTCAGGTCTATGGTGAGAAAGGAAATATCTTCAAATAAAAACTAGACAGAAGCATTCTCATAAACTTGTTTGTGATGTGTGAAGTCAGCTAACAGAGGTGGATCTTTCTTTTGATAGAGCAGTTCTGAAAAACACTTTTTGTTGAATCTGCAAGTGGACATTTGGATAGATTTGAAGATTTCGTTGGAAACGGGAATATCTTCATATCAAATCTAGACAAAAGGATTCTCGGAAACGTCTTTGTAATGTTTGCATTCAACTCATAGAGTTGAACATTCCGTTTCAGAGAGCAGCTTTGAAGCACTCTTTTTGTAGTATGTGCAAGTGGATATTTGGAGCGCTCTGAGGCCTACGGGGAAAAAGCAAATATCTTCCCATAAACACTAGACTGAAACATTCTCAGAAACTCCTTTATGACGTATGCACTCACCTAACAGAGAAGAACCTTCTTTTTGACAGAGCAGTTTTGATACACTCTTTTTGTAGAATCTGCAAGTGGATATTTGGATAGCTGTGAAGATTTCGTTGGAAACGGGAATATCTTCCTATAAAATCTAGACAGAAGCATTCTCAGAAACTACTCTGTGATGTCTGCATTCACGTCACAGAGTTGAACATTGCCTTTCATAGAGCAGGTTTGAAACACTCTTTTTGTAGTATATGGAAGTGGACGTTTCGGACGGTTTGAGGCCCATGGTGATAAAGGGAATATCTTCCCCTACAAGCTAGAAAGAAGCATTCTGTGAAACTTGCTTGTGATGTGTGTACTCAACTAACAGAGTTGAACCTTTCTTTTCACAGAGCAGTTTTGAAACACTCTTTTTGTAGAATCTGCGAGGGGATATTTGGATAGATTTCAGGATTTCGTTGGAAACGGGAATATCTTCATATAAAATCTCGACAGAAGCATTCTCAGAAACTTCCTTGTGATATGTGCATTCCAGTCACAGAGTTGAATATTCCCTTTCACAGAGTAGGTTTGAAACACTCTTTTTGTAGTATCTGGAAGTGGACATTTGGAGCGCCTTGACGCCTACGGTGAAAAGGGAAATATCTTCCCATAAAAACTAGACAGAAGCAATCTCAGAATCTTCTTTGGGATATATGCACGCAGCTATTAGAGTTGAACCTTTCTATTGACAGAGCAGTTTTGAAACAGTCTTTCTGTGGAATCTGCAAGTGGATATTTGGATAGCTTGGGGGATTTCTTTGGAAACGGGATTACGTATAAAAAGTAGACAGCAGCATCCTCAGAAACTATTTTGTGATGTGTGCATTCAAGTCACAGAGTTGAACATTCCCTTTCGTACAGCAGTTTTGAAACACTCTTTCTGTAGTATCTGGAAGTGAACATTAGGACAGCTTTCAGGTCTATGGTGAGAAAGGAAATATCTTCAAATAAAAACTAGACAGAAGCATTCTCATAAACTTGTTTGTAATGTGTGAACTCAGCTAACAGAGATGGGTCTTTCTTTTGATAGAGCAGTTCTGAAAAACACTTTTTGTTGAATCTGCAAGTGGACATTTGGATAGATTTGAAGATTTCGTTGGAAACGGGAATATCTTCATATCAAATCTAGACAGAAGCATTCTCAGAGACGTCTTTGTGATGTTTGCATTCAACTCATAGAGTTGAACATTCCCTTTCAGAGAGCAGCTTTGAAGCACTCTTTTTGTAGCATGTGCAAGTGGACATTTGGAGCGCCCTGAGGCCTACGGTGAAAAAGCAAATATCTTCCCATAACCACTAGACAGAAACATTCTCAGAAACTTCTTTATGACGTATGTTCTCAACTAGCAGAGAAGAACTTTCCTTTTGACAGAGCTTTTTTGATACACTCTTTTTGTAGTATCTGCAAGTGGATATTTGGATAGCTGTGAAGATTTCGTTGGAATCGGGAATATCTTCCTATAAAGTCTGGACAGAAGCATTCTCAGAAACTGCTCTGTGATGCCTGCATTCAAGTCACAGAGTTGAACATTGCCTTTCATAGAGCAGGTTTGAAACGCTCTTTTTGTAGTATATGGAAGTGGATGTTTCGGACGGTTGGAGGCCCATGGTGATAAAGGGAATATCTTCCCCTACAAGCTAGAAAGAAGCATTCTGTGAAACTTGTTTGTGATGTGTGTACTCAACTAACAGAGTTGAACCTTTCTTTTTACAGAGCAGTTTTGAAACACTCTTTTTGTAGAATCTGCGAGGGGATATTTCGATAGATTTCAGGATTTTGTTGGAAACGGGAATATCTTCATATAAAATCTCGACGGAAGCATTCTCAGAAACTTCTTTGTGATATGCGCATTCAAGTCACAGAGTTGAATATTCCCTTTCACAGAGTAGGTTTGAAACACTCTTTTTGTAGTATCTGGAAGTGGACATTTGGAGCGCCTTGACGCCTACGGTGAAAAGGGAAATATCTTCCCATAAAAACTAGACAGAAGCAATCTCAGAATCTTCTTTGGGATATATGTACGCAGCTAACAGAGTTGAACCTTTCTATTGACAGAGCAGATTTGAAACAGTCTTTCTGTGGAATCTGCAAGTGGATATTTGGATAGCTTGGAGGATTTCGTTGGAAACGGGATTACGTATAAAAAGTAGACAGCAGCATCCTCAGAAACTTCTTTGTGATGTGTGCATTCAAGTCACAGAGTTGAACATTCGCTTTCGTACAGCAGTTTTGAAACACTCTTTCTGTAGTATCTGGAAGTGAACATTAGGACAGCTTTCAGGTCTATGGTGAGAAAGGAAATATCTTCAAATAAAAACTAGACAGATAAGCATTCTGATAAACTTGTTTGTGAAGTGTGATCTCAGCTAACAGAGGTGGATCTTTCTTTTGATAGAGCAGTTCTGAAAAACACTTTGTTGAATCTGCAAGTGGACATTTGGATAGATTTGAAGATTTCGTTGGAAACGGGAATATCTTCATATCAAATCTAGACAGAAGCATTCTCAGAAACGTATTTGTTATGTTTGCATTCAACTCATAGAATTGAACATTCCCTTTCAGAGAGCAGCTTTGAAGCACTCTTTTTGTAGTATGTGCAAGGGGATATTTTGAGCGCTCTGAGGCCTAAGGTGAAAAAGCAAATATCTTCCCATAACCACTAGACACAAACATTCTCAGAAACTCCTTTACGACGTATGTACTCAACTAACAGAGAAGAACCTTCCTTTTGACAGAGCAGTTTTGATACACTCTTTTTGTAGAATCTGCAAGTGGATATTTGGATAGCTGTGAAGATTTCGTTGGAAACGGGAATATCTTCCTATAAAATCTAGACAGAAGCATTCTCAGAAACTGCTCTGTGATGTCTGTATTCAAGTCACAGAGTTGAACATTGCCTTTCATAGAGCAGGTTTGAAGCGCTCTTTTTGTAGTATATGGAAGTGGATGTTTCGGACGGTTGGAGGCCCATGGTGATAAAGGGAATATCTTCCCCTACAAGCTAGAAAGAAGCATTCTGTGAAACTTGTTTGTGATGTGTGTACTCAACTAACAGAATTGAACTTTTCTTTTTACAGAGCAGTTTTGAAACACTCTTTTTGTAGAATCTGCGAGGGGTTATTTGGATAGATTTCAGGATTTCGTTGGAAACGGGAATTTCTTCCTATAAAATCTTGACAGAAGCATTCTCAGAAACTTCCTTGTGACATGGGCATTCAAGTCACAGAGTTGAATATTCCCTTTCACAGAGTAGGTTTGAAACACTCTTTTTGTAGTATCTGGAAGTGGACATTTGGAGCGCCTTGACGCCTACGGTGAAAAGGGAAATATCTTCCCATAAAAACTAGACAGAAGCAATCTCAGAATCTTCTTTGGGATATATGCACGCAGCTAACAGAGTTGAACCTTTCTATTGACAGAGCAGTTTTGAAACAGTCTTTCTGTGGAATCTGTAAGTGGATATTTGGATAGCTTGGAGGATTTCGTTGGAAACGGGATTACGTATAAAAAGTAGACAGCAGCATCCTCAGAAACTTCTTTCTGATGTGTGCATTCAAGTCACAGAGTTGAACATTCCCTTTCGTACAGCAGTTTTGAAACACTCTTTCTGTAGTATCTGGAAGTGAACATTAGGACAGCTTTCAGCTCTATGGTGAGAAAGGAAATATCTTCAAATAAAAACTAGACCGAAGCATTCTCATAAACTTGTTTGTGATGTGTGAACTCAGCTAACAGAGGTGGATCTTTCTTTTGATAGAGCAGTTCTGGAAAACACTTTTTGTTGAATCTGCAAGTGGACATTTGGATAGATTTGAAGATTTCGTTGGAAACGGGAATATCTTCATATCAAATCTAGACAGAAGCATTCTGAGAAACGTCTTTGTGATGTTTGCATTCAACTCATAGAGTGTAACATTCCCTTTCAGAGAGCAGCTTTGAAGCACTCTTTTTGTAGTATGTGCAAGTGGATATTTGGAGCGCTCTGAGGCCTACGGTGAAAAAGCAAATATCTTCCCATAACCACTAGACAGAAACATTCTCAGAAACTTCTTTATGACGTATGTACTCAACTAGCAGAGTAAGAACTTTCCTTTTGACAGAGCATTTCTGATACACTCTTTTTGTACTATCTGCAAGTGGATATTTGGATAGCTGTGAAGATTTCGTTGGAAACGGGAATATCTTCCTATAAAGTCTGGACAGAAGCATTCTCAGAAACTGCTCTGTGATGTCTGCATTCAAGTCACAGAGTTGAACATTGCCTTTCATAGAGCAGGTTTGAAACGCTCTTTTTGTAGTATATAAAAGTGGACGTTTCGGACGGTTTGAGGCCCATGGTGATAAAGGGAATATCTTCCCCTACAACCTAGAAAGAAGCATTCTGAGAAACTTGTTTGTGATGTGTGTACTCAACTAAGAGAAGTGAAACTTTCTTTTTACAGAGCAGTTTTGAAACACTCTTTTTCTAGAATCTGCGAGGGGATATTTGGATAGATTACAGAATTTCGTTGTAAACGGGAATATCTTCATAAAAAATCTCGACAGAAGCATTCTCAGAAACTTCTCTGTGATATGTGCATTGAAGTCACCGAGTTAAATATTCCCTTCCACACAGTAGGTTTGAAACACTCTTTTTTTTTAGTATCTGGAAGTGGAAATTTGGAGCGCTTTGATGCCTATGGTGAAAAAGGAAATATCTTCCAATAAAAACTAGTCAGAAGCAATCTCAGAATCTTCTTTGGGATATATGCACGCAGCTAACAGAGTTGAACCTTTCTATTGCCAGAGCAGTCTTGAAACAGTCTTTCTGTGGAATCTGCAAGTGGATATTTGGATAGCTTGGAGGATTTCGTTGGAAACGGGATTACGTATAAAAAGTAGACAGCAGCATCCTCAGAAACTTCTTTGTGATGTGTGCATTCAAGTCACACAGTTGAACATTCCCTTTCGTACAGCAGTTTTGAAACACTCTTTCTGTAGTATCTGGAAGTGAACATTAGGACAGCTTTCAGCTCTATGTTGAGAAAGGAAATATCTTCAAATAAAAACTAGACAGAAAGCATTCTCATAAACTTGTTTGTGATGTGTGAACTCAGCTAACAGAGGTGGATCTTTCTTTTGATAGAGCAGTTCTGAAAAACACTTTTTGTTGAATCTGCAAGTGGACATTTGGATAGATTTGAAGATTTCGTTGGTAACGGGAATATCTTCATATCAAATCTAGACAGAAGCATTCTCAGAAACGTCTTTGTGCTGTTGGCATTCAACTCATAGAGTTGAACATTCCGTTTCAGAGAGCAGCTTTGAGGCACTCTTTTTGTAGTATGTGCAAGTGGATATTTGGAGCGCTCTGAGGCCTACGGTGAAAAAGCAAATATCTTCCCATAACCACTAGACAGAAACATTCTCAGAAACTCCTTTATGACGTATGCACTCACCTAACAGAGAAGAACCTTCCTTTTGACAGAGCAGTTTTGATACACTCTTTTTGTAGAATCTCCAAGTGGATATTTGGATAGCTGTGAAGATTTCGTTGGAAACGGGAATATCTTCTTATGAAATCTAGACAGAAGCATTCTCAGAAACTGCTCTGTGATGTCTGCATTCAAGTCACAGAGTTGAACATTGCCTTTCATAGAGCAGGTTTGAAAGGCTCTTTTTGTACTATATGGAAGAGGACGTTTCGAACGGTTTGAGGACCATGGTGATAAAGGGAATATCTTCCCCTACAAGCTAGAAAGAAGCATTCTGTGAAACTTGTTTGTGATGTGTGTACTCAACTAACAGAGTTGAACCTTTGTTTTTACAGAGCAGTTTTGAAACACTCTTTTTGTAGAATCTGCGAGCGGATATTTGGATAGATTTCAGGATTTCGTTGGAAACGGGAATATCTTCATATAAAATCTCGACAGAAGCATTCTCAGAAACTTCTTTGTGATATCTGCATTCAACTCACAGAGTTGAATATTCCCTTTCACAGAGTAGGTTTGAAACACTCTTTTTGTAGTATCTGGAAGTGGACATTTGGAGCGCCTTGACGCCTACGGTGAAAAGGGAAATATCTTCCCATAAAAACTAGACAGAAGCAATCTCAGAATCTTCTTTGGGATATATGCATGCAGCTAACAGAGTTGAACCTTTGTATTGACAGAGCAGTTTTGAAACAGTCTTTCTGTGGAATCTGCAAGTGGATATTTGGATAGCTTGGAGGATTTCGTTGGAAACGGGATTACGTATAAAAAGTAGACAGCAGCATCCTCAGAAACTTCTTTGTGATGTGTGCATTCAAGTCACAGTAGTTGAACATTCTCTTTCGTACAGCAGTTTTGAAATGCTCTTTCTGTAGTATCTGGAAGTGAACATTAGGACAGCTTTCAGGTCTATGGTGAGAAAGGAAATATCTTCAAATAAAAACTAGACAGAAGCATTCTAATAAACTTGTTTGTGATGTGTGAACTCAGCTAACACAGGTGGATCTTTCTTTTGATAGAGCAGTTCTGAAAAACACTTTTTGTTGAATCTGCAAGTGGACATTTGGATAGATTTGAAGATTTCGTTGGAAACGGGAATATCGTCATATCAAATCTAGACAGAAGCATTGTCAGAAACGTCTTTGTCATGTTTGCATTCAACTCATAGAGTTGAACATTCCGTTTCAGAGAGCAGCTTTGAAGCACTCTTTTTGTAGTATGTGCAAGCGGATATTTGGAGCGCTCTGAGGCCTACGGTGAAAAAGCAAATATCTTCCCATAACCACTAGACAGAAACATTCTCAGAAACTGCTTTATGACGTATGCACTCACCTAACAGAGAAGAACCTTCCTTTTGACAGAGCAGTTTTGATACACTCTTTTTGTAGAATCTTCAAGTGGATATTGGGATAGCTGTGAAGATTTCGTTGGAAACGGGAATATCTTCCTATAAAATCTAGACAGAAGCATTCTCAGAAACTGCTCTGTGATGTCTGCATTCAAGTCACAGAGTTGAACATTGCCTTTCATAGAGCAGGTTTGAAATGCTCTTTTTGTAGTATATGGAAGTGGATGTTTCAGACGGTTGGAGGCCCATGGTGATAAAGGGAATATCTTCCCCTACAAGCTAGAAAGAAGCATTCTGTGAAACTAGTTTGTGATGTGTGTACTCAACTAACAGAGTTGAACCTTTCTTTTTACAGAGCAGTTTTGAAACACTCTTTTTGTAGAATCTGCGAGGGGTTATTTGGATACATTTCAGCATTTCGTTGGAAACGGGAATATCTTCATATAAAATCTCGACAGAAGCATTCTCAGAAACTTCCTTGTGTTATGTGCATTCAAGTCACAGAGTTGAATATTCCCTTTCACAGAGTAGGTTTGAAACACTCTTTTTGTAGTATCTGGAAGTGGACATTTGGAGCGCCTGGACGCCTACGGTGAAAAGGGAAATATCTTCCCATAAAAACTAGACAGAAGCAATCTCAGAATCTTCTTTGGGATATATGCACGCAGCTAACAGAGTTGAACCTTTCTATTGACAGAGCAGTTTTGAAACAGTCTTTCTGTGTAATCTGCAAGTGGATATTTGGTTAGATTGGAGGATTTCGTTGGAAACGGGATTACGTATAAATAGTAGACAGCAACATCCTCAGAAACTTCTTTGTGATGTGTGCATTCAAGTCACAGAGTTGAACATTCCCTTTCGTACAGCAGTTTTGAAACACTCTTTCTGTAGTATCTGGAAGTGAACATTAGGACAGCTTTCAGGTCTATGGTGAGAAAGGAAATACCTTCAAATAAAAACTAGACAGAAGCATTCTCATAAACTTGTTTGTGATGTGTGAACTCAGCTAACGGAGGTGGATCTTTCTTTTGATAGAGCAGTTCTGAAAAACACTTTTTGTTGAATCTGCAAGTGGACATTTGGATAGATTTGAAGATTTCTTTGGAAACGGGAATATCTTCATATCAAATCTAGACAGAAGCATTTTCAGAAACGTCTTTGTGATGTTTACATTCAACTCATAGAGTTGAACATTCCGTTTCAGAGAGCAGATTTGAGGCACTCTTTTTGTAGTATGTGCAAGTGGATATTTGGAGCGCTCTGAGGCCTACGGTGAAAAAGCAAATATCTTCCCATAACCACTAGACAGAAACATTCTCAGAAACTCCTTTATGACGTATGTACTCAACTAACAGAGAAGAACCTTCCTTTTGACAGAGCAGTTTTGATACACTCTTTTTGAAGAATCTGCAAGTGGATATTTGGATAGCTGTGAAGATTTCGTTGGAAACGGGAATATCTTCCTATAAAATCTAGACAGAAGCATTCTCAGAAACTGCTCTGTGATGTCTGCATTCAAGTCACAGAGTTGAACATTGCCTTTCATAGAGCAGGTTTGAAACGCTCTTTTTGTAGTATATGAAAGTGGATGTTTCGGACGGTTGGAGGCCCATGGTGATAAAGGGAATATCTTCCCCTACAAGCTAGAAAGAAGCATTCTGTGAAACTTGTTTGTGATGTGTGTACTCAACTAACAGAGTTGAACCTTTCTTTTTACAGAGCAGTTTTGAAACACTCTTTTTGTAGAATCTGCGAGGGGATATTTGGATAGATTTCACGATTTCGTTGGAAACGGGAATATCTTCATAGAAAATCTCGACAGAAGCATTCTCAGAAACTTCTTTGTGATATGTGCATTCAATTCACAGAGTTGAATATTCCCTTTCACAGAGTAGGTTTGAAACACTCTTTTTGTAGTATCTGGAAGTGGACATTTGGAGCGCCTTGACACCTACGGTGAAAAGGGAAATATCTTCCCATAAAAACTAGACAGAAGCAATCTCAGAATCTTCTTTGGGATATATGCACGCAGCTAACAGAGTTGAACCTTTCTATTGACAGAGCAGTTTTGAAACACTCTTTCTGTGGAATCTGCAAGTGGATATTTGCATAGATTGGAGGATTTCGTTGGAAACGGGATTACGTATAAAAAGTAGACAGCAGCATCCTCAGAAACTTCTTTGTGATGTGTGCATTCAAGTCACAGAGTTGAACATTCCCTTTCGTACAGCAGTTTTGAAACACTCTTTCTGTAGTATCTGGAAGTGAACATTAGGACAGCTTTCAGGTCTATGGTGAGAAAGCAAATATCTTCAAATAAAAACTAGACAGAAGCATTCTCATAAACTTGTTTGTGATGTGTGAACTCAGCTTACAGAGGTGGATCTTTCTTTTGATAGAGCAGTTCGGAAAAACACTTTTTGTTGAATCTGCAAGTGGACATTTGGATAGATTTGAAGATTTCTTTGGAAACGGGAATATCTTCATATCAAATCTAGAGAGAAGCATTCTCAGAAACGTCTTTGTGATGTTTGCATTCAACTCATAGAGTTGAACATTCCCTTTCAGAGAGCAGCTTGGAAACACTCTTTTTGTAGTATGTGCAAGTGGATATTTGGAGCGCTCTGAGGCCTACGGTGAAAAAGCAAATATCTTCCCATAAACACTAGACAGAAACATTCTCAGAAACTTCTTTATGACGTATGTACTCAACTAGCAGAGAAGAACTTTCCTTTTGACAGAGCATTTTTCATACACTCTTTTGTAGTATCTGCAAGTGGATATTTCGATAGCTGTGAAGATTTCGTTGGAAACGGGAATATCTTCCTATAAAGTCTGGACAGAAGCATTCTCAGAAACTGCTCTGTGATGTCTGCATTCAAGTCACAGAGTTGAACATTGCCTTTCATAGAGCAGGTTTGAAACGCTCTTTTTGTAGTATATGGAAGTGGACTTATCGGACGGTTTGAGGCCCATGGTGATAAAGGGAATATCTTCCTCTACAAGCTAGAAAGAAGCATTCTGTGAAACTTGTTTGTGATGTGTGTACTCAGCTAACAGAGTTGAACCTTTCTTTTTACAGAGCGGTTTTGAAACACTCTTTTTGTAGAATCTGCAAGGGGATATTTGGATAGATTTCAGGATTTCGTTGGAAACGGGAATATCTTCATATAAAATCTCGACAGAAGCATTCTCAGAAACTTCTTTGTAATATGTGCATTCTAGTCACAGAGTTGAATATTCCCTTTCACAGAGTAGGTTTGAAACACTCTTTTTGTAGTATCTGGAAGTGGACATTTGGAGCGCCTTGACACCTACGGTGAAAAGGGAAATATCTTCCCATAAAAACTAGACAGAGGCAATCTCAGAATCTTCTTTGGGATATATGCACGCAGCTAACAGAGTTGAACCTTTCTATTGACAGAGCAGTTTTGAAACAGTCTTTCTGTGGAATCTGCAAGTGGATATTTGGATAGCTTGGAGGATTTCGTTGGAAACGGGATTACGTATAAAAAGTAGACAGCAGCATCCTCAGAAACTTCTTTGTGATGTGTGCATTCAAGTCACAGAGTTGAACATTCCCTTTCGTACGGCAGTTTTGAAACACTCCTTCTGTAGTATCTGGAAGTGAACATTAGGACAGCTTTCAGGTCTATGGTGAGAAAGGAAATATCTTCAAATAAAAACTAGACAGAAAGCATTCTCATAAACTTGTTTGTGATGTGTGAACTCAGCTAACAGAGGTGGATCTTTCTTTTGATAGAGCAGTTCTGAAAAACACATTTTGTTGAATCTGCAAGTGGACATTTGGATAGATTTGAAGATTTCGTTGGAAACGGGAATATCTTCATATCAAATCTAGACAGAAGCATTCTCAGAAACGTCTTTGTGATGTTTGCATTCAACTCATAGAGTTGAACATTCGGTTTCAGAGAGCAGCTTTGAGGCACTCTTTTTGTAGTATGTGCAAGTGGATATTTGGAGCGCTCTGAGGCCTAGGGTGAAAAAGCAAATATCTTCCCATAACCACTAGACAGAAACATTCTCAGAAACTCCTTTATGACGTATGCACTCACCTAACAGAGAAGAACCTTCCTTTTGACAGAGCAGTTTTGATACACTCTTTTTGTGGAATCTGCAAGTGGATATTTGGATAGCTGTGAAGATTTCGTTGGAAACGGGAATATCTTCCTATAAAATCTAGACAGAAGCATTCTCAGAAACTGCTCTGTGATGTCTGCATTCAAGTCACAGAGTTGAACATTGCCTTTCATAGAGGAGGTTTGAAACGCTCTTTTTGTAGTATATGGAACTGGATGTTTCGGACGGTTGGAGGCCCATGGTGATAAAGGGAATATCTTCCCCTACAAGCTAGAAAGAAGCATTCTGTGAAACTTGTTTGTGATGTGTGTACTCAACTAACAGAGTTGAACCTTTCTTTTTACAGAGCAGTTTTGAAACACTCTTTTTGTAGAATCTGCGAGGGGATATTTGGATACATTTCAGCATTTCGTTGGAAACGGGAATATCTTCATATAAAATTTCGACAGAAGCATTCTCAGAAACTTCTTTGTGATATCTGCATTCAAGTCACAGAGTTGAATATTCCCTTTCACAGAGTAGGTTTGAAACACTCTTTTTGTAGTATCTGGAAGTGGACATTTGGAGCGCCTTGACACCTACGGTGAAAAGGGAAATATCTTCCCATAAAAAATAGACAGAAGCAATCTCAGAATCTTCTTTGGGATATATGCACGCAGCTAACAGAGTTGAACCTTTCTATTGACAGAGCAGTTTTGAAACAGTCTTTCTGTGGAATCTGCAAGTGGATATTTGGATAGCTTGGAGGATTTCGTTGGAAACGGGATTAAGTATAAAAAGTAGAGAGCAGCATCCTCAGAAACTTCTTTGTGATGTGTGCATTCAAGTCACAGAGTTGAACATTCCCTTTCGTACAGCAGTTTTGAAACACTCTTTCTGTTGTATCTGGAAGTGAACATTAGGACAGCTTTCAGGTCTATGGTGAGAAAGGAAATATCTTCAAATAAAAACTAGACAGATGCATTCTCATAAACTTGTTTGTGATGTCTGAACTCAGCTAACAGAGGTGGATCTTTCTTTTGATAGAGCAGTTCTGAAAAACACTTTTTGTTGAATCTGCAAGTGGACATTTGGATAGATTTGAAGATTTCGTTGGAAACGGGAATATCTTCATATCAAATCTAGACAGAAGCATTCTCAGAAACGTCTTTGTGATGTTTGCATTCAACTCATAGAGTTGAACATTCCGTTTCAGAGAGCAGCTTTGAAGCACTCTTTTTGTAATATGTGCAAGTGGATATTTGGAGCGCTCTGAGGCCTACGGGGAAAAAGCAAATATCTTCCCATAACCACTAGACAGAAACATTCTGAGAAACTCCTTTATGACGTATGCACTCACCTAACAGAGAAGAACCTTCCTTTTGCCAGAGCATTTTTGATACACTCTTTTTGTAGAATCTGAAAGTGGATATTTGGATAGCTGTGAAGATTTCGTTGGAAACGGGAATATCTTCCTATAAAATCTAGACAGAAGCATTCTCAGAAACTGCTCTGTGATGTCTACATTCAAGTCACAGAGTTGAACATTGCCTTTCATAGAGCAGGTTTGAAACGCTCTTTTTGTAGTATATGGAAGTGGACGTATCGGACGGTTTGAGGCCCATGGTGATAAAGGGAATATCTTCCCCTACAAGCTAGAAAGAAGCATTGTGTGAAACTTGTTTGTGATGTGTGTACTCAACTAACAGAGTTGAACCTTTCTTTTCACAGAGCAGTTTTGAAACACTCTTTTTGTAGAATCTGCGAGCGGATATTTGGATAGATTTCAGGATTTCGATGGAAACGGGAATATCTTCATATAAAATCTCGACAGAAGCATTCTCAGAAACTTCTTTGTGATATGTGCATTCAAGTCACAGAGTTGAATATTCCCTTTCACAGAGTAGGTTTGAAACACTCTTTTTGTAGTATCTGGAAGTGGACATTTGGAGCGCCTTGACACCTACTGTGAAAAGGGAAATATCTTCCCATAAAAACTAGACAGAAACAATCTCAGAATCTTCTTTGGGATATATGCACGCAGCTAACAGAGTTGAACCTTTCTATTGACAGAGCAGTTTTGAAACAGTCTTTCTGTGGAATCTGCAAGTGTATATTTGGATAGCTTGGAGGATTTCGTTGGAAACGGGATTACGTATAAAAAGTAGACAGCAGCATCCTCAGAAACTTCTTTGTGATGTGTGCATTCAAGTCACAGAGTTGAACATTCCCTTTCGTACAGCAGTTTTGAACCACTCTTTCTGTAGTAACTGGAAGTGAACATTAGGACAGCTTTCAGGTCTATGGTGAGAAAGGAAATATCTTCAAATAAAAACTAGACAGAAAGCATTCTCATAAACTTGTTTGTGATGTGTGAACTCAGCTAACAGAGGTGGATCTTTCTTTTGATAGAGCAGTTCTGAAAAACACTTTCTGTTGAATCTGCAAGTGGACATTTGGATAGATTTGAAGATTTCGTTGGAAACGGGAATATCTTCATATCAAATCTAGACAGAGCATTCTCAGAAACGTCTTTGTGATGTTTGCATTGAACTCATAGAGTTGAACATTCCCTTTCAGAGAGCAGCTTTGAAGCACTCTTTTTGTAGTATGTTCAAGTGGACATTTGGAGCGCTCTGAGGCCTATGGGGAAAAAGCAAATATCTTCCCATAACAACTAGACAGAAACATTCTCAGAAACTTCTTTATGACGTATGTACTCAACTAGCAGAAAAGAACTTTCCTTTTGACAGAGCTTTTTTGATACACTCTTTTTGTAGTATCTGCAAGTGGATATTTGGATAGATGTGAAGATTTCGTTGGAATCGGGAATATCTTCCTATAAAGTCTGGACAGAAGCATTCTCAGAAACTGCTCTGTGATGTCTGCATTCAAGTCACAGAGTTGAACATTGCCTTTCATAGAGCAGGTTTGAAACGCTCTTTTTGTAGTATATGGAAGTGGACTTATCGGACGGTTTGAGGCCCATGGTGATAAAGGGAATATCTTCCCCTACAACCTAGAAAGAAGCATTCTGTGAAACTTGTTTGTGATGTATGTACTCAACTAACAGAGTTGAACCTTTCTTTTTACAGAGCAGTTTTGAAACACTCTTTTTGTAGAATCTGCGAGGGGATATTTGGATACATTTCAGGATTTCGTTGGAAACGGGAATATCTTCATATAAAATCTCGACAGAAGCATTCTCAGAAACTTCTTTGTGATATCTGCATTCAAGTCACAGAGTTGAATATTCCCTTTCACTGAGTAGGTTTGAAACACTCTTTTTGTAGTATCTGGAAGTGGACATTTGGAGCGCCTTGACGCCTACGGTGAAAAGGGAAATATCTTCCCATAAAAACTAGGCAGAAGAAATCTCCGAATCTTCTTTGGGATATATGCACGCAGCTAACAGAGTTGAACCTTTCTATTGACAGAGCAGTTTTGAAACAGTCTTTCTGTGGAATCTGCAAGTGGATATTTGGATAGCTTGGAGGATTTCGTTGGAAAAGGGATTATGTATAAAAATTAGACAGCAGCATCCTCAGAAACTTCTTTGTGATGTGTGCATTCAAGTCACAGAGTTGAACATTCCCTTTCATACAGCAGTTTTGAAACGCTCTTTCTGTAGTATCTGGAAGTGAACTTTAGGACAGCTTTCAGGTCTATGGTGAGAAAGGAAATATCTTCAAATAAAAACTAGACAGAAGCATTCTCATAAACTTGTTTGTGATGTCTGAACTCAGCTAACAGGAGGTGGATCTTTCTTTTGATAGAGCAGTTCTGAAAAACACTTTTTTTTGAATCTGCAAGTGGACATTTGGATAGATTTGAAGATTTCGTTGGAAACGGGAATATCTTCATATCAAATCTAGACAGAAGCATTCTCAGAAACGTCTTTGTGATGTTTGCATTCAACTCATAGAGTTGAACATTCCCTTTCAGAGAGCAGCTTTGGAGCACTCTTTTTGTAGCATGTGCAAGTGGACATTTGGAGCGCCCTGAGGCCTACGGGGAAAAAGCAAATATCTTCCCATAACCACTAGACAGAAACAATCTCAGAAACTTCTTTATGGCGTATGTACTCAACTAGCAGAGAAGAACTTTCCTTTTGACAGAGCACTTTTGATACACTCTTTTTGTAGTATCTGCAAGTGGATATTTGGATAGCTGTGAAGATTTCGTTGGAATCGGGAATATATTCCTATAAAGTCCGGACAGAAGCATTCTCAGAAACTGCTCTGTGATGTCTGCATTCAAGTCACAGAGTTGAACATTGCCTTTCATACAGCAGGTTTGAAACGCTCTTTTTGTAGTATATGGAAGTGGATGTTTCCGACGGTTGGAGGCCCATGGTGATAAAGGGAATATCTTCCCCTACAAGCTAGAAAGAAGCATTCTGTGAAACTTGTTTGTGATGTGTGTACTCAACTAACAGAGTTGAACCTTTCTTTTCACAGAGCAGTTTTGAAACACTCTTTTTGTAGAATCTGCGAGGGGATATTTGGATAGATTTCAGGATTTCGTTGGAAACGGGAATATCTTCATTTAAAATCTCGACAGAAGCATTCTCAGAAACGTCTTTGTGATATGTGCATTCAAGTCACAGAGTTGAATATTCCCTTTCACAGAGTAGGTTTGAAACACTCTTTTTGTAGTATCTGGAAGTGGACATTTGGAGCGCCTTGACGCCTACGGTGAAAAGGGAAATATCTTCCCATAAAAACTAGACAGAAGCAATCTCAGAATCTTCTTTGGGATATATGCACGCAGCTAACAGAGTTGAACCTTTCTATTGACAGAGCAGTTTTGAAACAGTCTTTCTGTGGAATCTGCAAGTGGATATTTGGATAGCTTGGAGGATTTCGTTGGAAACGGGATTACGCATAAAAAGTAGACGGCACCATCCTCAGAAACTTCTTTGTGATGTGTGCATTCAAGTCACAGAGTTGAACATTCCCTTTCGTACAGCTGTTTTGAAACACTCTTTCTGTAGTAACTGGAAGTGAACATTAGGACAGCTTTCAGGTCTATGGTGAGAAAGGAAATATCTTCAAATAAAAACTAGACAGAAGCATTCTCATAAACTTGTTTGTGATGTGTGAACTCAGCTAACAGAGGTGGATCTTTCTTTTGATAGAGCAGTTCTGAAAAACACTTTTTGTTGAATCTGCAAGTGGACATTTGGATAGATTTGAAGATTTCGTTGGAAACGGGAATATCTTCATATTAAGTCTAGACAGAAGCATTCTCGGAAACGTCTTTGTGATGTTTGCATTCAACTCATAGAGTTGAACATTCCGTTTCAGAGAGCAGCTTTGAAGCACTCTTTTTGTAGTATGTGCAAGGGGATATTTGGAGCGCTCTGAGGCCTAAGGTGAAAAAGCAAATATCTTCCCATAACCACTAGACAGAAACATTCTCAGAAACTCCTTTATGACGGTATGCACTCACCTAACAGAAAATAACCTTCCTTTTGACAGAGCAGTTTAGATACACTCTTTTTGTAGAATCTGCAAGTGGATATTTGGATAGCTGTGAAGATTTCGTTGGAAACGGGAATATCTTCCTATAAAATCTAGACAGAAGCATTCTCAGAAACTGCTCTGTGATGTCTGCATTCAAGTCACAGAGTTGAACATTGCCTTTCATAGAGCAGGTTTGAAACGCTCTTTTTGTAGTATATAGAAGTGGACTTATCGGACGGTTTGAGGCCCATGGTGATAAAGGGAATATCTTCCCCTACAAGCTAGAAAGAAGCATTGTGTGAAACTTGTTTGTGATGTGTGTACTCAACTAACAGAGTTGAACTTTTCTTTTTACAGAGCAGTTTTGAAACACTCTTTTTGTAGAATCTGCGAGGGGATATTTGGATAGATTTCAGGATTTCGTTGGAAACGGGAATATCTTCATATAAAATCTCGACAGAAGCATTCTCAGAAACTTCTTTGTGATATGTGCATTCAAGTCACAGAGTTGAATATTCCCTTTCACAGAGTAGGTTTGAAACACTCTTTTTGTTGTATCTGGAAGTGGACATTTGGAGCGCCTTGACACCTACGGTGAAAAGGGAAATATCTTCTCATAAAAAGTAGACAGAAGTAATCTCAGAAACTTCTTTGGGATATATGCACGCAGCTAACAGAGTTGAACCTTTCTATTGACAGAGCAGTTTTGAAACAGTCTTTCTGTGGAATCTGCAAGTGAATATTTGGATAGCTTGGAGGATTTCGTTGGAAACGGGATTACGTATAAAAAGTAGACAGCAGCATCCTCAGAAACTTCTTTGTGATGTGTGCATTCAAGTCACAGAGTTGAACATTCCCTTTCGTACAGCAGTTTTGAAACACTCTTTCTGTAGTATCTGGAAGTGAACATTAGGACAGATTTCAGGTCTATGGTGAGAAAGGAAATATCTTCAAATAAAAACTAGACAGAAGCATTCTGATAAACTTGTTTGTGAAGTGTGATCTCAGCTAACAGAGGTGGATCTTTCTTTTTATAGAGCAGTTCTGAAAAACACTTTGTTGAATCTGCAAGTGGACATTTGGATAGATTTGAAGATTTCGTTGGAAACGGGAATATCTTCATATCAAATCTAGACAGAAGCATTCTCAGAAACGTCTTTGTGATGTTTGCATTCAACTCATAGAGTTGAACATTCCGCTTCAGAGAGCAGCTTTGAAGCACTCTTTTTGTAGCATGTGCAAGTTGACATTTGGAGCGCTCAGAGGCCTACGGGGAAAAAGCAAGTATCTTCCCATAACCACTAGACAGAAACATTCTCAGAAACTCCATTATGACGTATGCACTCAACTAACAGAGAACAACCTTCCTTTTGACAGAGCAGTTTTGATACACTCTTTTTGTAGAATCTGCAAGTGGATATTTGGATAGCTGTGAAGATTTCGTTGGAAACGGGAATATCTTCCTATAAAATCTAGACAGGCAGCATCCTCAGAAACTGCTTTGTGATATCTGCATTCAAGTCACAGAGTTGAACATTCCCTTTCATGGAGCAGGTTTGAAATGCTCTTTTTGTTACATGTGGAAGTGGACGTTTCGAACGGTTTGAGACCCATGGTGATAAAGGAAATATCTTCCCCCACAAGCTAAGAAGAGCATTCTGTGAAACTTGTTTGTGATATGTGTACTCAACTAACATAGTTGAACCTTTCTTTTTACAGAGCAGTTTTGAAACACTCTTTTTGTAGAATCTGCGAGGGGATATTTGGATAGATTTCAGGATTTCGTTGGAAACGGGAATATCTTCATATAAAATCTCGAAAGAAGCATTCTCAGAAACTTCTTTGTGATATGTGCATTCAAGTCACAGAGTTGAATATTCCCTTTCACAGAGTAGGTTTGAAACACTCTTTTTGTAGTATCTGGAAGTGGATATTTGGAGCGCCTTGACACCTACGGTGAAAAGGGAAGTATCTTCCCATCAAAACTAGACAGAAGCAATCTCAGAATCTCCTTTGGGATATATGCACGCAGCTAACAGAGTTGAACCTTTCTATTGACAGAGCAGTTTTGAAACAGTCTTTCTGTGGAATCTGCAAGTGGATATTTGGATAGCTTGGAGGATTTCGTTGGAAACGGGATTACGTATAAAAACTAGACAGCAGCATCCTCAGAAACTTCTTTGTGATGTGTGCATTCAAGTCACAGAGTTGAACATTCCCTTTCGTACAGCAGTTTTGAAACACTCTTTCTGTAGTATCTGGAAGTGAACATTAGGACAGCTTTCAGGTCTATGGTGATAAAGGAAATATCTTCAAATAAAAACTAGACAGAAGCATTCTCATAAACTTGTTTCTGATGTGTGAACTCAGCTAACAGAGGTGGATCTTTCTTTTGATAGAGCAGTTCTGAAAAACACTTTTTGTTGAATCTGCAAGTGGATATTTGGATAGATTTGAAGATTTCGTTGGAAACGGGCATATCTTCATATCAAATCTAGACAGAAGCATTCTCAGAAACGTCTTTGTGATGTTTGCATTCAACTCATAGAGTTGAACATTCCGTTTCAGAGAGCAGCTTTGAGGCACTCTTTTTGTAGTATGTGCAAGTGGATATTTGGAGCGCTCTGAGGCCTACGGTGAAAAAGCAAATATCTTCCCATAACCACTAGTCAGAAACATTCTCAGAAACTCCTTTATGACGTATGTACTCAACTAGCAGAGAAGAACTTTCCTTTTGACAGAGCATTTTTGATACACTCTTTTTGTACTATCTGCAAGTGGATATTTGGATAGCTGTGAAGATTTCGTTGGAAACGGGAATATCTTCCTATAAAGTCTGGACAGAAGCATTCTCAGAAACTGCTCTGTGATGTCTGCATTCAAGTCACAGAGTTGAACATTGCCTTTCATACAGCAGGTTTGAAACGCTCTTTTTGTAGTATAGGGAAGTGGACTTTTCGGACGGTTTGAGGACCACGATGATAAAGGGGAATCTTCCCCTACAAGCTAGAAAGAAGCATTCTGTGAAACTTGTTTGTGATGTGTGTACTCAACTAACAGAGTTGAACCTTTCTTTTTACAGAGCAGTTTTGAAACACTCTTTCTGTAGAATCTGTGAGGGGATATTTGGATAGATTTCAGGATTTCGGTGGAAACGGGAATATCTTCATATAAAATCTCGACAGAAGCATTCTCAGAAACTTCTTTGTGATATGTGCATTCAAATCACTGAGTTGAATATTCCCTTTCACAGAGTAGGTTTGAAACACTCTTTTTGTAGTATCTGGAAGTGGACATTTGGAGCGCCTTGACGCCTACGGTGAAAAGGGAAATATCTTCCCATAAAAACTAGACAGAAGCAATCTCAGAATCTTCTTTGGGATATATGCACGCAGCTAACAGAGTTGAACCTTTCTATTGACAGAGCAGTTTTGAAACAGTCTTTCTGTGGAATCTGCAAGTGGATATTTGGATAGCTTGGAGGATTTCGTTGGAAACGGGATTAAGTATAAAAAGTACACAGCAGCATCATCAGAAACTTCTTTGTGATGTGTGCATTCAAGTCACAGAGTTGAACATTCCCTTTCGTACAGCAGTTTTGAAACACTCTTTCTGTAGTATCTGGAAGTGAACATTAGGACAGCTTTCAGCTCTATGGTGAGAAAGGAAATATCTTCAAATAAAAACTAGACAGAAGCATTCTCATAAACTTGTTTGTGATGTGTGAACTCAGCTAACAGACGTGGATCTTTCTTTTGATACAGCAGTTTTGAAAAACACTTTTTGTTGAATCTGCAAGTGGACATTTGGATAGATATGAAGATTTCGTTGGAAACGGGAATATCTTCATATCAAATACTAGACAGAAGCATTCTCAGAAACGTCTTTGCGATGTTTGCATTCAACTCATAGAGTTGAACATTCCGTTTCAGAGAGCAGCTTTGAGGCACTCTTTTTGTAGTATGGGCAAGTGGATATTTGGAGCGCTCTGAGGCCTACGGTGAAAGAGCAAATATCTTCCCATAACCACTAGACAGAAACATTCTCAGAAACTCCTTTATGACGTATGCACTCACCTAACAGAGAAGAACCTTCCTTTTGACAGAGCAGTTTTGATACACTCTTTTTGTAGAATCTGCAAGTGGATATTCGGATAGCTGTGAAGATTTCGTTGGAAACGGGAATATCTTCCTATAAAATCTAGACAGAAGCATTCTCAGAAACTGCTCTGTGATGTCTGCATTCAAGTCACAGAGTTGAACATTGCCTTTCATAGAGCAGGTTTGAAACGCTCTTTTTGTAGTATATTGAAGTGGACGTTTCGGACGGTTTGAGGCCCATGGTGATAAAGGGAATATCTTCCCCTACAAGCTAGAAAGAAGCATTCTGTGAAACTTGTTTGAGATGTGTGTACTCAACTAACAGAGTTGAACCTTTCTTTTTACAGAGCAGTTTTGAAACACTCTTTTTGTAGAATCTGCGAGGGGATATTTGGATAGATTTCAGGATTTCGTTGGAAACGGGAATATCTTCATATAAAATCTCGACAGAAGCATTCTCAGAAACTTCTTTGTGATATGTGCATTCAAGTCACAGAGTTGAATATTCCCTTTCACAGAGTAGGTTTGAAACACTCTTTTTGTAGTATCTGGAAGTGGACATTTGGAGCGCCTTGACACCTACGGTGAAAAGCGAAATATCTTCCCATAAAAACTAGACAGAAGCAATCTCAGAATCTTCTTTGGGATATATGCACGCAGCTAACAGAAGTTGAACCTTTCTATTGACAGAGCAGTTTTGAAACAGTCTTTCTGTGGAATCTGCAAGTGGATATTTGGATAGCTTGGAGGATTTCGTTGGAAACGGGATTACGTATAAAAAGTAGACAGCAGCATCCTCAGAAACTTCTTTGTGATGTGTGCATTCAAGTCACAGAGTTGAACATTCCCTTTCGTACAGCAGTTTTGAATCACTCTTTCTGTAGTAACTGGAAGTGAACATTAGGACAGCTTTCAGGTCTATGGTGAGAAAGGAAATATCTTCAAATAAAAACTAGACAGAAGCATTCTCATAAACTTGTTTGTGATGTGTGAACTCAGCTAACAGAGGTGGATCTTTCTTTTGATAGAACAGTTCTGAAAAACACTTTTTGTTGAATCTGCAAGTGGACATTTGGATAGATTAGAAGATTTCGTTGGAAACGGGAATATCTTCATATCAAATCTACACAGAAGCATTCTCAGAAAGGTCTTTGTGATGTTTGCATTCAACTCATAGAGTTGAACATTCCCTTTCAGAGAGCAGCTTTGAAGCACTCTTTTTGTAGTATGTGCAAGGGGATATTTGGAGCGCTCTGAGGCCTAAGGTGAAAAAGCAAATATCTTCCCATAACCACTAGACAGAAACATTCTCAGAAACTCCTTTATGACGTGTGCACTCACCTAACAGAGAAGAACCTTCCTTTTGACAGAGCATTTTTGATACACTCTTTTTGTAGAATCTGCAAGTGGATATTTGGATAGCTGTGAAGATTTCGTTGGAAACGGGAATACCTTCCAATAAAATCTAGACAGAAGCATTCTCAGAAACTGCTCTGTGATGTCTGCATTGAAGTCACAGAGTTGAACATTGCCTTTCATAGAGCAGGTTTGAAACGCTCTTTTTGTAGTATATGGAAGTGGACGTTTCGGACGGTTTGAGGCCCATGGTGATAAAGGGAATATCTTCCCCTACAAGCTAGAAAGAAGCATTCTGTGAAACTTGTTTGTGATGTGTGTACTCAGCTAACAGAGTTGAACCTTTCTTTTTACAGAGCAGTTTTGAAACACTCTTTTTGTAGAATCTGCGAGGGGATATTTGGATAGATTTCAGGATTTTGTTGGAAACGGGAATATCTTCATATAAAATCTCGACAGAAGCATTCTTAGAAACTTCTTTGTGATATCTGCATTCAAGTCACAGAGTTGAATATTCCCTTTCACAGAGTAGGTTTGAAACACTCTTTTTGTAGTATCTGGAAGTGGACATTTGGAGCGCCTTGACGCCTACGGTGAAAAGGGAAATATCTTCCCATAAAAACTAGACAGAAGCAATATCAGAATCTTCTTTGGGATATATGCACGCAGCTAACAGAGTTGAACCTTTCTATTGACAGAGCCGTTTTGAAACAGTCTTTCTGTGGAATCTGCAAGTGGATATTTGGATAGCTTGGAGGATTTCGTTGGAAACGGGATTACGTATAAAAAGTAGACAGCAGCATCCTCAGAAACTTCTTTGTGATGTGTGCATTCAAGTCACAGAGTTGAACATTCCCTTTCGTACAGCAGTTTTGAAACACTCTTTCTGTAGTATCTGGAACTGAACATTAGGACAGCTTTCAGGTCTATGGTGAGAAAGGAAATATCTTCAAATAAAAACTAGACAGAAAGCATTCTCATAAACTTGTTTGTGATGTGTGAACTCAGCTAACACACGTGGATCTTTCTTTTGATAGAGCAGTTCTGAAAAACACTTTTTGTTGAATCTGCAAGTGGACATTTGGATAGATTTGAAGATTTCGTTGGAAACGGGAATATCTTCATATCAAATCTAGACAGAAGCATTCTCAGAAACGTCTTTGTGATGTTAGCATTCAACTCATAGAGTTGAACATTCCCTTTCAGAGAGCAGCTTTGAAGCACTCTTTTTGTAGTATGTGCAAGTGGATATTTGGAGCGCTCTGAGGCCTATGGTGAAAAAGCAAATATCTTCCCATTACCACTAGACAGAAACATTCTCACAAACTCCTTTATGACGTATGCACTCACCTAACAGAGAAGAACCTTCCTTTTGACAGAGCACTTTTGATACACTCTTTTTGTAGAATCTGAAAGTGGATATTTGGATAGCTGTGAAGTTTTCGTTGGAAACGGGAATATCTTCCTATAAATTCTAGACAGAAGCATTCTCAGAAACTGCTCTGTGATGTCTGCATTCAAGTCACAGAGTTGAACATTGCCTTTCATAGAGCAGGTTTGAAACGCTCTTTTTGTAGTATATGGAAGTAGACGTTTCGGACGGTTTGAGGCCCATGGTGATAAAGGGAATATCTTCCCCTGCAAGATAGAAAGAAGCATTCTGTGAAACTTGTTTGTGATGTGTGTACTCAACTAACAGAGTTGAACCTTTCTTTTTACAGAGCAGTTTTGAAACACTCTTTTTGTAGAACCTGCGAGCGGATATTTGGATAGATTTCAGGATTTCGTTGGAAACGGGAATACCTTCATATAAAATCTCGACAGAAGCATTCTCAGCAAACTTCTTTGTGATATGTGTATTCAAGTCACAGAGTTGAATACTCCCTTTCACAGAGTAGGTTTGAAACACTCTTTTTGTAGTATCTGGAAGTGGACATTTGGAGCGCCTTGACGCCTACGGTGAAAAGGGAAATATCTTCCCATAAAAACTAGACAGAAGTAATCGCAGAATCTTCTTTGGGATATATGCACGCAGCTAACAGAGTTGAACCTTTCTATTGACAGAGCAGTTTTGAAACAGTCTTTCTGTGGAATCTGCAATTGGATATTTGGATAGCTTGGAGGATTTCGTTGGAAACGGGATTACGTATAAAAAGTAGACAGCAGCATCCTCAGAAACTTCTTTGTGATGTGTGCTTTCAAGTCACAGAGTTGAACATTCCCTTTCGTACAGCAGTTTTGAAAAACTCTTTCTGTAGTATCTGGAAGTGAACATTAGGACAGCTTTCAGCTCTATGGTGAGAAAGGAAATATCTTCAAATAAAAACTAGACAGAAGCATTCTCATAAACTTGTTTGTGATGTGTGAACTCAGCTAACAGAGGTGGATCTTTCTTTTGATATAGCAGTTTTGAAAAACACTTTTTGTTGAATCTGCAAGTGGACATTTGGATAGATTTGAAGATTTCGTTGGAAACGGGAATATCTTCATATCAAATCTAGACAGAAGCATTCTCAGAAACATCTTTGTGATGTTTGCATTCAACTCATAGAGTTGAACATTCCGTTTCAGAGAGCAGCTTTGAAGCACTCTTTTTGTAGCATGCGCAAGTGGACATTTGGAGCGCTCTGAGGCCTACGGGGAAAAAGCAAATATCTTCCCATAACCACTAGACAGAAACATTCTCAGAAACTCCTTTATGACGTATGCACTCACCTAACAGAGAAGAACCTTCCTTTTGACAGAGCAGTTTTGATACACTCTTTTTGTAGCATCTGCAAGTGGATATTTGGATAGCTGTGAAGATTTCGTTGGAAACGGGAATATCTTCCTATAAAATCTAGACAGAAGCATTCTCAGAAACTGCTCTCTGATGTCTGCATTCAAGTCACAGAGTTGAACATTGCCTTTCATAGAGCAGGTTTGAAATGCTCTTTTTGTAGTATATGGAAGTGGACGTTTCAGACGGTTTGAGTCCCATGGTGATAAAGGGAATATCTTCCCCTACAAGCTAGAAAGAAGCATTCTGTGAAACTTGTTTGTGATGTGTGTACTCAACTAACAGAGTTGAACCTTTCTTTTCACAGAGCAGTTTTGAAACACTCTTTTTGTAGAATCTGCGAGGGGATATTTGGGATAGATTTCAGCATTTCGTTGGAAACGGGAATATCTTCATATAAAATCTCGACAGAAGCATTCTCAGAAACTTCCTTGTGATATGTGCATTCAAGTCACAGAGTTGAATATTCCCTTTCGCAGAGTAGGTTTGAAACACTCTTTTTGTAGTATCTGGAAGTGGACATTTGGAGCGCCTTGACGCCCACGGTGAAAAGGGAAATATCTTCCCATCAAAACTAGACAGAAGCAATCTCAGAATCTTCTTTGGGATATATGCACGCAGCTAACAGAGTTGAACCTTTCTATTGACAGAGCATTTTTGAAACAGTCTTTCTGTGGAATCTGCAAGTGGATATTTGGATAGCTTGGAGGATTTCGTTGGAAACGGGATTACGTATAAAAAGTAGACAGCAGCATCCTCAGAAACTTCTTTGTGATGTGTGCATTCAAGTCACAGATTTGAACATTCCCTTTCGTACAGCAGTTTTGAAACACTCTTTCTGTAGTATCTGGAAGTGAACATTAGGACAGCTTTCAGGTCTATGGTGAGAAAGGAAATATCTTCAAATAAAAACTAGACAGAAGCATTCTCATAAACTTGTTTGTGATGTGTGAACTCAGCTAAGAGAGGTGGATCTTTCTTTTGATACAGCAGTTTTGAAAAACACTTTTTGTTGAATCTGCAAGTGGACATTTGGATAGATTTGAAGATTTCGTTGGAAACGGGAATATCTTCATATCAAATCTAGACAGAAGCATTCTCAGAAACGTCTTTTTGATGTTTGCATTCAACTCATAGAGTTGAACATTCCCTTTCAGAGAGCAGCTTTGAAGCACTCTTTTTGTAGCATGTGCAAGTGGACATTTGGAGCGCCCTGAGGCCTACGGGGAAAAAGCAAATATCTTCCCATAACCACTAGACAGAAACATTCTCAGAAACTTCTTTATGACGTATGTACTCAACTAGCAGAGAAGAACTTTCCTTTTGACAGAGCTTTTTTGATACACTCTTTTTGTAGTATCTGCAAGTGGATATTTGGATAGCTGTAAAGATTTCGTTGGAATCGGGAATATCTTCCTATAAAGTCAGGACAGAAGCATTCTCAGAAACTGCTCTGTGATGTCTGCATTCAAGTCACAGAGTTGAACATTGCCTTTCATAGAGCAGGTTTCAGACACTCTTTTGTTAGTATATGGAAGTGGACGTTTCGGACGGTTTGAGGCCCATGGTGATAAAGGAAATTTCTTCCCCTACAAGCTAGAAAGAAGCATTCTGTGAAACTTGTTTGTGATGTGTGTACTCAACTAACAGAGTTGAACCTTTCTTTTTACAGAGCAGTTTTGAAACACTCTTTTTGTAGAATCTGCGAGGGGATATTTGGATAGATTTCAGGATTTCGTTGGAAACGGGAATATATTCATATAAAATCTCGACAGAAGAATTCTCAGAAACTTCTTTGTGATATGTGCATTCAAGTCACAGAGTTGAATGTTCCCTTTCACAGAGTAGGTTTGAAACACTCTTTTTGTAGTATCTGGAAGTGGACATTTGGAGCGCCTTGACACCTACGGTGAAAAGGGAAATATCTTCTCATAAAAAGTAGACAGACGCAATCTCAGAATCTTCTTTGGGATATATGCACGCAGCTAACAGAGTTGAACCTTTCTATTGACAGAGCAGTTTTGAAACAGTCTTTCTGTGGAATCTGCAAGTGGATATTTGGATAGCTTGGAGGATTTCGTTGGAAACGGGATTACGTATAAAAAATAGACTGCAGCATCCTCAGAAACTTCTTTGTGATGTGTGCATTCAAGTCACAGAGTTGAACATTCCCTTTCGTACAGCAGTTTTGAAACACTCTTTCTGTAGTAACTGGAAGTGAACATTAGGACAGCTTTCAGCTCTATGGTGAGAAAGGAAATATCTTCAAATAAAAACTAGACAAAAGCATTCTCATAAACTTGTTTTTGATATGTGAACTCAGCTAACAGAGGTGGATCTTTCTTTTGATAGAGCAGTTCTGAAAAACACTTTTTGTTGAATCTGCAAGTGGACATTTGGATAGATTTGAAGATTTCGTTGGAAACGGGAATATCTTCATATCAAATCTAGACACAAGCATTCTCAGAAACGTCTTTGTGATGTTTGCATTCAACTCATAGAGCTGAACATTCCGTTTCAGAGAGCAGCTTTGAAGCACTCTTTTTGTAGTATGTGCAAGTGGATATTTGGAGCGCTCTGAGGCCTACGGTGAAAAAGCAAATATCTTCCCATAACCACTAGACAGAAACATTCTCAGAAACTTCTTTATGACGTATGTACTCAACTAGCAGAGAAGAACTTTCCTTTTGACAGAGCTTTTTTGATACACTCTTTTTGTAGTATCTGCAAGTGGATATTGGGATAGCTGTGAAGATTTCGTTGGAATCGGGAATATCTTCCTATAAAGTCTGGACAGAAAGCATTCTCAGAAACTGCTCTGTGATGTCTGCATTCAAGTCACAGAGTTGAACGTTGCCTTTCATAGAGCAGGTTTGAAACGCTCTTTTTGTAGTATATGGAAGTGGACTTATCGGACGGTTTGAGGCCCATGGTGATAAAGGGAATATCTTCCCCTACAAGCTAGAAAGAAGCATTCTGTGAAACTTGTTTGTGATGTGTGTACTCAACTAACAGAGTTGAACCTTTCTTTTCACAGAGCAGTTTTGAAACACTCTTTTTGTAGAATCTGCGAGGGGATATTTGGATAGATTTCAGGATTTCGTTGGAAACGGGATTATCTTCATATAAAATCTCGACAGAAGAATTCTCAGAAACTTCCTTGTGATATGTGCATTCAAGTCACAGAGTTGAATATTCCCTTTCACAGAGTAGGTTTGAAACACTGTTTTTGTAGTATCTGGAAGTGGACATTTGGAGCGCCTTGACGCCTACGGTGAAAAGGGAAATATCTTCCCATAAAAACTAGACAGAAGCAATCTCAGAATCTTCTTTGGGATATATGCACGCAGCTAACAGAGTTGAACCTTTCTATTGACAGAGCAGTTTTGAAACAGTCTTTCTGTGGAATCTGAAAGTGGATATTTGGATAGCTTGGAGGATTTCGTTGGAAACGGGATTACGTATAAAAAGTAGACAGCCAGCATCCTCAGAAACTTCTTTGTGATGTGTGCATTCAAGTCACAGAGTTGAACATTCCCTTTCGTACAGCAGTTTTGAAACACTCTTTCTGTAGTAACTGGAAGTGAACATTAGGACAGCTTTCAGGTCTATGGTGAGAAAGGAAATATCTTCAAATAAAAACTAGACAGAGCATTCTCATAAACTTGTTTGTGATGTGTGAACTCATCTAACAGACGTGGATCTTTCTTTTGATACAGCAGTTTTGAAAAACACTTTTTGTTGAATCTGCAAGTGGACATTTGGATAGATATGAAGATTTCGTTGGAAACGGGAATATCTTCATATCAAATCTAGACAGAAGCATTCTCAGAAACGTCTTTGCGATGTTTGCATTCAACTCATAGAGTTGAACATTCCGTTTCAGAGAGCAGCTTTGAGGCACTCTTTTTGTAGTATGTGCAAGTGGATATTTGGAGCGCTCTGAGGCCTACGGTGAAAAAGCAAATATCTTCCCATAACAACTAGATAGAAACATTCTCAGAAACTCCTTTATGACGTATGCACTCACCTAACAGAAAAGAACCTTCCTTTTGACAGAGCAGTTTTGATACACTCTTTTTGTAGAATCTGCAAGTGGATATTTGGATAGCTATGAAGATTTGGTTGGAAACGGGAATATCTTCCTATAAAATCTAGACAGAAGCATTCTCAGAAACTGCTCTGTGATGTCTGCATTCAAGTCACAGAGTTGAACATTGCCTTTCATAGAGCAGGTTTGAAACTCTCTTTTTGTAGTATATGGAAGTGGACTTATCGGACGGTTTGAGGCCCATGGTGATAAAGGGAATATCTTCCCCTACAAGCTAGAAAGAAGCATTCTGTGAAACTTGTTTGTGATGTGTGTACTCAACTAACAGAGTTGAACCTTTCTTTTTACAGAGCAGTTTTGAAACACTCTTTTGTAGAATCTGTGAGGGGATATTTGGATAGATTTCAGGATTTCGTTTTAAACGAGAATATCTTCATATAAAATCTCGACAGAAGCATTCTCAGAAACTTCTTTGTGATATCTGCATTCAAGTCACAGAGTTGAATATTCCCTTTCACAGAGTAGGTTTGAAACACTCTTTTTGTAGCATCTGCAAGTGGACATTTGGAGCACCTTGACACCTATGGTGAAAAGGGAAATATCTTCCGATAAAAACTAGACAGAAGCAATCTCAGAATCTTCTTTGGGATATATGCACGCAGCTAACAGAGTTGAACCTTTCTATTGAGAGAGCAGTTTTGAAACAGTCTTTCTGTGGAATCTGCAAGTGGATATTTGGATAGCTTGGAGGATTTCCTTGGAAACGGGATTACGTATAAAAAGTAGACAGCAGCATCCTCAGAAACTTCTTTGTGATGTGTGCATTCAAGTCACAGAGTTGAACATTCCCTTTCGTACAGCAGTTTTGAAACACTCTTTCTGTAGTATCTGGAAGTGAACATTAGGACAGCTTCCAGGTCTATGGTGAGAAAGGAAATATCTTCAAATAAAAACTAGACAGAAGCATTCTCATAAACTTGTTTGTGATGTGTGTACTCAGCTAACAGAGGTGGATCTTTCTTTTGATAGAGCAGTTTTGAAAAACACTTTTTGTTGAATCTGCAAGTGGACATTTGGATAGATTTAAAGATTTCGTTGGAAACGGGAATATCTTCATATCAAATCTAGACAGAAGCATTCTCAGAAACGTCTTTGTGATGTTTCCATTCAACTCATAGAGTTGAACATTCACTTTCAGAGAGCAGCTTTGAAGCACTCTTTTTGTAGTATGTGCAAGTGGATATTTTGATCGCTCTCTGGCCTACGGTGAAAAAGCAAATATCTTCCCATAACCACTAGACAGAAACATTCTCAGAAACTCCTTTATGACGTATGCACTCACCTAACAGAAAAGAACCTTCCTTTTGACAGAGCAGTTTTGATACACTCTTTTTGTAGAATCTGCAAGTGGATATTTGGATAGCTATGAAGATTTGGTTGGAAACGGGAATATCTTCCTATAAAATACTAGACAGAAGAATTCTCAGAAACTGCTCTGTGATGTCTGCATTCAAGTCACAGAGTTGAACATTGCCTTTCATAGAGCAGGTTTGAAACGCTCTTTTTGTAGTATATGGAAGTGGATGTTTCGGACGGTTGGAGGCCCATGGTGATAAAGGGAATATCTTCCCCTACAAGCTAGAAAGAAGCATTCTGTGAAACTTGTTTGTGATGTGTGTACTCAACTAACAGAGTTGAACCTTTCTTTTTACAGAGCAGTTTTGAAACACTCTTTTTGTAGAATCTGCGAGGGGATATTTGGATAGATTTCAGGATTTCGTTGGAAACGGGAATATCTTCATATAAACTCTCGACAGAAGCATTCTCAGAAACTTCTTTGTGATATCTGCATTCAACTCACAGAGTTGAATATTCCCTTTCGCAGAGTAGGTTTGAAACACTCTTTTTGTAGTATCTGGAAGTGGACATTTGGAGCGCCTTGACGCCTACGGTGAAAAGGGAAATATCTTCCCATAAAAACTAGACAGAAGCAATCTCAGAATCTTCTTTGGGATATATGCACGCAGCTAACAGAGTTGAACATTTCTATTGACAGAGCAGTTTTGAAACAATCTTTCTGTGGAATCTGCAAGTGGATATTTGGATAGCTTGGAGGATTTCGTTGGAAACGGGATTACGTATAAAAAGTAGACAGCAGCATCCTCAGAAACTACTTTGTGATGTGTGCATTCAAGTCACAGAGTTGAACATTCCCTTTCGTACAGCAGTTTTGAAACACTCTTTCTGTAGTATCTGGAAGTGAACATTAGGACAGCTTTCAGGTCTATAGTGAGAAAGGATATATCTTCAAATAAAAACTAGAGAGAAGCACTTTTAAAAACTTGTTTGTGATGTGTGAACTCAACTAACAGAGGTGGATCTTTCTTTCGATACAGCAGTTTTGAAAAACACTTTTTGTTGAATCTGCAAGTGGACATTTGGATAGATTGGAAGATTTCTTTGGAAACGGGAATATCTTCATATCAAATCTAGACAGAAGCATTCTCAGAAACGTCTTTGCGATGTTTGCATTCAACTCATAGAGTTGAACATTCCGTTTCAGAGAGCAGCTTTGAGGCACTCTTTTTGTAGTATGTGCAAGTGGATATTTGGAGCGCTCTGAGGCCTACGGTGAAAAAACAAATATCTTCCCATAACCACTAGACAGAAACATTCTCAGAAACTCCTTTATGACGTTTGTACTCAACTAACAGAGAAGAACCTTCCTTTTGACAGAGCAGTTTTGATACACTCTTTTTGTAGAATCTGCAAGTGGATATTTGGATAGCTGTGAAGATTTCGTTGGAAACGGGAATATCTTCCTATAAAGTCTGGACAGAAGCATTCTCAGAAACTGCTCTGTGATGTCTGCATTCAAGTCACAGAGTTGAACATTGCCTTTCATGGAGCAGGTTTGAAACGCTCTTTTTGTAGTATATGGAAGTGGACTTATCGGACGGTTTGAGGCCCACGGTGATAAAGGGAATATCTTCCCCTACAAGCTAGAAAGAAGCATTCTGTGAAACTTGTTTGTGATGTGTGTACTCAACTAACAGAGTTGAACCTTTCTTTTTACAGAGCAGTTTTGAAACACTCTTTTTGTAGAATCTGCGAGGGGATATTTGGATAGATTTCAGGATTTCGTTGGAAACGCGAATATCTTCATATAAAATCTCGACAGAAGCATTCTCAGAAACTTCTTTGTGATATCTGCCTTCAAGTCACAGAGTTGAATATTCCCTTTCACAGAGTAGGTTTGAAACACTCTTTTTGTAGTATCTGGAAGTGGACATTTGGAGTGCCTTGACGCCTACGGTGAAAAGGGAAATATCTTCCCATAAAGCTAGACAGAAGCAATCTCAGAATCTTCTTTGGGATATATGCACGCAGCTAACAGAGTTGAACCTTTCTATTGACAGAGCAGTTTTGAAACAGTGTTTCTGTGGAATCTGCAAGTGGATATTTGGATAGCTTGGAGGATTTCGTTGGAAACGGGATTAAGTATAAAAAGTAGACAGCAGCATCCTCAGAAACTTCTTTGTGATGTGTGCATTCAAGTCACAGAGTTGAACATTCCCTTTCGTACAGCAGTTTTGAAACACTCTTTCTGTAGTAACTGGAAGTGAACATTAGGACAGCTTTCAGGTCTATGGTGAGAAAGGAAATATGCTTCAAATAAAAACTAGACAGAAGCATTCTCATAAACTTGTTTGTGATGTGTGAACTCAGGTAACAGACGTGGATCTTTCTTTTGATAGAGCAGTTTTGAAAAACACTTTTTGTTGAATCTGCAAGTGGACATTTGGATAGATTTGAAGATTTCGTTGGAAACGGGAATATCTTCATATCAAATCTAGACAGAAGCATTCTCGGAAACGTCTTTGTCATGTTTGCATTCACCTCATAGAGTTGAACATTCCGTTTCAGAGAGCAGCTTTGAAGCACTCTTTTTGTAGTATGTGCAAGGGGATATTTGGAGCGCTCTGAGGCCTAAGGTGAAAAAGCAAATATCTTCCCATAACCACTAGACAGAAACATTCTCAGAAACTCCTTTATGACGTATGTACTCAACTAACAGAGAAGAACCTTCCTTTTGACAGAGCAGTTTTGATACACTCTTTTTGTAGAATCTGCAAGTGGATATTTGGATACCTGTGAAGATTTCGTTGGAAACGGGAATATCTTCCTATAAAATCTAGACAGAAGCATTCTCAGAAACTGCTCTGTGATGTCTGCATTCAAGTCACAGAGTTGAACATTGCCTTTCATAGAGCAGGTTTGAAATGCTCTTTTTGTAGTATATGGAAGTGGACGTTTCAGACGGTTTGAGGTCCATGGTGATAAAGGGAATATCTTCCCCTACAAGCTAGAAAGAAGCATTCTGTGAAACTTGTTTGTGATGTGTGTAGTCAACTAACAGAGTTGAACCTTTCTTTTTACAGAGCAGTTTTGAAACACTCTTTTTGTAGAATCTGCGAGGGGATATTTGGATAGATTTCAGGATTTCATTGGAAAGGGGAATATCTTCATATAAAATCTCGACAGAAGCATTCTCAGAAACTTCCTTGTGATATGTGCATTCAAGTCACAGAGTTGAATATTCCCTTTCACAGAGTAGGTTTGAAACACTCTTTTTGTAGTATCTGGAAGTGGACATTTGGAGCGCCTGGATGCCTACGGTGAAAAGGGAAATATCTTCCCATAAAAACTAGACAGAAGCAATCTCAGAATCTTCTTTGGGATATATGCACGCAGCTAACTGAGTTGAACCTTTCTATTGACAGAGCAGTTTTGAAACATTCTTTCTGTGGAATCTGCAAGTGGATATTTGGATAGCTTGGAGGATTTCGTTGGAAACAGGATTACGTATAAAAAGTAGACAGCAGCATCCTCAGAAACTTCTTTGTGATGTGTGCATTCAAGTCACAGAGTTGAACATTTCCTTTCGTACAGCAGTTTTGAAACACTCTTTCTGTAGTATCTGGAAGTGAACATTAGGACAGCTTTCAGCTCTATGGTGAGAAAGGAAATATCTTCAAATAAAAACTAGACAGAAAGCATTCTCATAAACTTGTTTGTGATGTGTGAACTCAGCTAACAACGGTGGATCTTTCTTTTGATAGAGCAGTTCTGAAAAACACTTTTTGTTGAATCTGCAAGTGGACATTTGGATAGTTTTGAAGATTTCCTTGGAAAAGGGAATATCTTCATATCAAATCTAGACAGAAGCATTCTCAGAAACGTCTTTGTGATGTTAGCATTCAACTCATAGAGTTGAACATTCCATTTCAGAGAGCAGCTTTGAGGCACTCTTTTTGTAGTATGTGCAAGTGGATATTTGGAGCGCTCTGAGGCCTACGGTGAAAAAGCAAATATCTTCCCATAACCACTAGACAGAAACATTCTCAGAAACTCCTTTATGACGTATGTACTCAACTAACAGAGAAGAACCTTCCTTTTGACAGAGAAGTTTTGATACACTCTTTTTGTAGAATCTGCAAGTGGATATTTGGATAGCTGTGAAGATTTCGTTGGAAACGGGAATATCTTCCTATAAAATCTAGACAGAAGCATTCTCAGAAACTGCTCTGTGATGTCTGCATTCATGTCACAGAGTTGAACATTGCCTTTCATAGAGCAGGTTTCAAACACTCTTTTTTTAGTATATGGAAGTGGACGTTTCGGACGGTTTGAGGCCCAAGGTGATACAGGGAATATCTTCCCCTACAAGCTAGAAAGAATCATTCTGTGAAACTTGTTTGTGATGTGTGTACTCAACTAACAGAGTTGAACCTTTCTTTTTACAGAGCAGTATTGAAACACTCTTTTTGAAGAATCTGCGAGGGGATATTTGAATAGATTTCAGGATTTCGTTGGAAACGGGAATATCTTCATATAAAATCTCGACAGAAGCATTCTCAGAAACTTCATTGTGATATCTGCATTCAAGTCACAGAGTTGAATATTCCCTTTCACAGAGTAGGTTTGAAACACTCTTTTTGTAGTATCTGTAAGTGGACATTTGGAGCGCCTTTACACCTACGGTGAAAAGGGAAATATCTTCCCATAAAAACTAGACAGAAGCAATCTCAGAATCTTCTTTGTGATATATGCACGCAGCTAACAGAGTTGAACCTTTCTATTGACAGAGCAGTTTTGAAACACTCTTTCTGTGGAATCTGCAAGTGGATATTTGCATAGATTGGAGGATTTCGTTGGAAACGGGATTACGTATAAAAAGTAGACAGCAGCATCCTCAGAAACTTCTTTGTGATGTGTGCATTCAAGTCACAGAGTTGAACATTCCCTTTCGTACAGCAGTTTTGAAACACTCTTTGTGTAGTATCTGGAAGTGAACATTAGGACAGCTTTCAGGTCTATGGTGAGAAAGGAAATATCTTCAAATAAAAACTAGACAGAAGCATTCTCATAAACTTGTTTGTGATGTGTGAACTCAGCTAACAGAGGTGGATCTTTCTTTTGATAGAGCAGTTCTGAAAAACACTTTTTGTTGAATCTGCAAGAGGACATTTGGATAGATTTGAAGATTTCGTTGGAAACGGGAATATCTTCATATCAAATCTAGACAGAAGCATTCTCAGAAACGTCTTTGTGATGTTTGCATTCAACACATAGAGTTGAACATTCCCTTTCAGAGAGCAGCTTTGAAGCACTCTTTTTGTAGCATGTGCAAGTGGACATTTGGAGCGCCCTGAGGCCTACGGGGAAAAAGCAAATATCTTCCCATAACCACTAGACAGAAACATTCTCAGAAACTCCTTTATGACGTATGCACTCACCTAACAGAAAAGAACCTTCCTTTTGACAGAGCTGTTTTGATACACTCTTTTTGTAGAATCTGCAAGTGGATATTTGGATAGCTGTGAAGATTTCGTTGGAAACGGGAATATCTTCCTATAAAATCTAGACAGAAGCATTCTCAGAAACTGCTCTGTGATGTCTGCATTCAAGTCACAGAGTTGAACATTGCTTTTCCTAGAGCAGGTTTGAAACGCTCTTTTTGTAGTATATGGAAGTGGACGTTTCGGACGGTTTGAGGCCCATGGTGATAAAGGGAATATCTTTCCCTACAAGCTAGAAAGAACCATTCTGTGAAACTTGTTTGTGATGTGTGTACTCAACTAACAGAGTTGAACCTTTCTTTTTACAGAGCAGTTTTGAAACACTCTTTTTGTAGAATCTGCGAGGGGATATTTGGATACATTTCAGGATTTCGTTGGAAACGGGAATATCTTCAGTATCAAAATCTCGATCAGAAGCATTCTCAGAAACTTCCTTGTGATATGTGCATTCAAGTCACAGTAGTTGAATATTCCCTTTCACAGAGTAGGTTTGAAACACTCTTTTTGTAGTATCTGGAAGTGGACATTTGGAGCGCCTTGACGCCTACGGTGAAAAGGGAAATATCTTCCCATAAAAACTAGACAGAAGCAATCTCAGAATCCTCTTTAGGATATATGCACGCAGCTAACAGAGTTGAACCTTTCTATTGACAGAGCAGTTTTGAAACAGTCTTTCTGTGGAATCTGCAAGTGGATATTTGGATAGCTTGGAGGATTTCGTTGGAAACGGGATTACGTATAAAAAGTAGACAGCAGCATCCTCAGAAACTACTTTGTGATGTGTGCATTCAAGTCACAGAGTTGAACATTCCCTTTCGTACAGCAGTTTTGAAACACTCTTTCTGTAGTATCTGGAAGTGAACATTAGGACAGCTTTCAGCTCTATGGTGAGAAAGGAAATATCTTCAAATAAAAACTAGACAGAAGCATTCTCATAAACTTGTTTGTGATGTGTGAACTCAGCTAACAGAGGTGAATCTTTCTTTTGATAGAGCAGTTCTGAAAAACACTTTTTGTTGAATCTGCAAGTGGACATTTGGATAGATTTGAAGATTTCGTTGGAAACGGGAATATCTTCATATCAAATACTAGACAGAAGCATTCTCAGAAACGTCTTTGTGATGTTTGCATTCAACTCATAGAGTTGAACATTCCGTTTCAGAGAGCAGCTTTGAGGCACCCTTTTTGTAGTATGTGCAAGTGGATATTTGGAGCGCTCTGAGGCCTACGGTGAAAAAGCAAATATCTTCCCATAACCACTAGACAGAAACATTCTCAGAAACTCCTTTATGACGTATGCACTCACCTAACAGAGGAGAACCTTCCTTTTGACAGAGCAGTTTTGATACACTCTTTTTGTAGAATCTGCAAGTGGATATTTGGATAGCTGTGAAGATTTCGTTGGAAACGGGAATATCTTCCTATAAAATCTAGACAGGAAGCATTCTCAGAAACTGCTCTGTGATGTCTGCATTCAGGTCACAGAGTTGAACATTGCCTTTCATAGAGCAGGTTTCAAACACTCTTTTTTTAGTATATGGAAGTGGACGATTCGGACGGTTTGAGGACCATGGTGATAAAGGAAATATCTTCCCCTACAAGCTAGAAAGAAGCATTCTGTGAAACTTGTTTGTGATGTGTGTACTCAACTAACAGAGTTGAACCTTTCTTTTTACAGAGCAGTTTCGAAACACTCTTTTTGTAGAATCTGCGAGGGGATATTTGGATAGATTTCAGGATTTCGTTGGAAACGGGAGTATCTTCATATAAAATCTCGACAGAAGCATTCTCAGAAGCTTCTTTGTGATATGTGCATTCAAGTCACAGAGTTGAATCTTCCCTTTCACAGAGTAGGTTTGAAACACTCTTTTTGTAGTATCTGGAAGTGGACATTTGGAGCGCCTTGACGCCTACGGTGAAAAGGGAAATATCTTCTCATAAAAAGTAGACACAAGCAATCTCAGAATCTTCTTTGGGATATATGCACGCAGCTAACAGAGTTGAACCTTTCTATTGACAGAGCAGTTTTGAAACAGTCTTTCTGTGGAATCTGCAAGTGGATACTTGGATAGCTTGGAGGATTTCGTTGGAAACGGGATTACGTATAAAAAGAAGACAGCAGCATCCTCAGAAACTTCTTTGTGATGTGTGCATTCAAGTCACAGAGTTGAACATTCCCTTTCGTACAGCAGTTTTGAAACACTCCTTCTGTAGTATCTGGAAGTGAACATTAGGACAGCTTTCAGGTCTATGGTGAGAAAGGAAATATCTTCAAATAAAAACTAGACAGAAGCATTCTCATAAACTTGTTTCTGATGTGTGAACTAAGCTAACAGAGGTGGATCTTTCTTTTGATAGAGCAGTTCTGAAAAACACTTTTTGTTGAATCTGCAAGTGGACATTTGGATAGATTTGAAGATTTCGTTGGAAACGGGAATATCTTCATATCAAATCTAGACAGAAGCATTCTCAGAAACGTCTTTGTGATGTTTGCATTCAACTCATAGAGTTGCACATTCCGTTTCAGAGAGCAGCTTTGAGGCACTCTTTTTGTAGTATGTGCAAGTGGATATTTGGAGCGCTCTGAGGCCTACGGTGAAAAAGCAAATATCTTCCCATAACCACTAGACTGAAACATTCTCAGAAACTCCTTTATGACGTATGTACTCAACTAACAGAGGAGAACATTCCTTTTGACAGAGCAGTTTTGATACACTCTTTTTGTAGAATCTGCAAGTGGATATTTGGATAGCTTGGAAGATTTCGTTGGAAAAGGGAATATCTTCCTATAAAACCTAGACAGAAGCATTCTCAGAAACTGCTCTGTGATGTCTGCATTCAAGTCACAGAGTTGAACATTGCCTTTCATAGAGCAGGTTTGAAACGCTCTTTTTGTAGTATATGGAAGTGGACGTTTCAGACGGTTTGAGGCCCATGGTGTTAAAGGGAATATCTTGCCCTACAAGCTAGAAAGAAGCATTCTGTGAAACTTGTTTGTGATGTGTGTACTCAACTAACAGAGTTGAACCTTTCTTTTTACAGAGCAGTTTTGAAACAATCTTTTTGTAGAATCTGCGAGGGGATATTTGGATAGATTTCAGGATTTCGTTGGAAAGGGGAATATCTTCATATAAAATCTCGACAGAAGCATTCTCAGAAACTTCCTTGTGATATGTGCATTCAAGTCACAGAGTTGAATATTCCCTTTCACAGAGTAGGTTTGAAACACTCTTTTTGTAGTATCTGGAAGTGGACATTTGGAGCGCCTTGACGCCTACGGTGAAAAGGGAAATATCTTCCCTTAAAAACTACACAGAAGCAATCTCAGAATCTTCTTTGGGATATATGCACGCAGCTAAGAGAGTTGAACCTTTCTATTGACAGTGCAGTTTTGAAATAGTCTTTCTGTGGAATCTGCAAGTAGATATTTGGATAGCTTGGAGGATTTCGTTGGAAACGGGATTACGTATAAAAAGTAGACAGCAGCATCCTCAGAAAACTTCTTTGTGATGTGTGCATTCAAGTCACAGAGTTGAACATTCCCTTTCGTACAGCAGTTTTGAAACACTCTTTCTGTAGTATCTGGAAGTGAACATTAGGACAGCTTTCAGGTCTATGGTGAGAAGGGAAATATCTTCAAATAAAAACTAGACAGAAGCATTCTCATAAACTTGCTTGTGATGTGTGAACTCAGCTAACAGAGGTGGATCTTTCTTTTGATAGAGCAGTTCTGAAAAACACTTTTTGTTGAATCTGCAAGTGGACATTTGGATAGATTTGAAGATTTCGTTGGAAACGGGAATATCTTCATATCAAATCTAGACAGAAGCATTCTCAGAAACGTCTTTGCGATGTTTGCATTCAACTCATAGAGTTGAACATTCCGTTTCAGAGAGCAGCTGTGAGGCACTCTTTTTGTAGTATGTGCAAGTGGATATTTGGAGCGCTCTGAGGCCTACGGTGAAAAGGCAAATATCTTCCCATAACCACTAGACAGAAACATTCTCAGAAACTCCTTTATGACGTATGCACTCACCTAAAAGAGAAGAACCTTCCTTTTGACAGAGCAGTTTTGATACACTCTTTTTGTAGAATCTGCAAGTGGATATTTGGATAGCTGTGAAGATTTTGCTGGAAACGGGAATATCTTCTTATAAAATCTAGACAGCAGCATTCTCAGAAACTGCTCTGTGATGTCTGCATTCAAGTCACAGAGTTGAACATTGCCTTTCATAGAGCAGGTTTGAAATGCTCTTTTTTTAGTATATGGAAGTGGACTTTTCGGACGGTTTGAGGCCCATGGTGATAAAGGGAATATCTTCCCCTACAAGCTAGAAAGAAGCATTCTGTGAAACTTGTTTGTGATGTGTGTACTCAACTAACAGAGTTGAACCTTTCTTTTTACAGAGCAGTTTTGCAACACTCTTTTTGTAGAATCTGCGAGGGGATATTTGGATAGATTTCAGGATTTCGTTGGAAACGGGAATATCTTCATATAAAATCTCGACAGAAGCATTCTCAGAATCTTCTTTGTGATATGTGCATTCAAGTCACAGAGTTGAATATTCCCTTTCACAGAGTAGGTTTGAAACACTCTTTTTGTAGTATCTGGAAGTGGACATTTGGAGCGCCTTGACACCTACGGTGAAAAGCAAAATATCTTCCCATAAAAACTAGACAGAAGCAATCTCAGAATCTTCTTTGGGATATATGCACGCAGCTAACAGAGTTGAACCTTTCTATTGACAGAGCAGTTTTGAAACAGTCTTTCTGTGGAATCTGCAAGTGGATACTTGGATAGCTTGGAGGATTTCGTTGGAAACGGGATTAAGTATAAAAAGTAGACAGCAGCATCCTCAGAAACTTCTTTGTGATGTCTGCATTCAAGTCACAGAGTTGAACATTCCCTTTCGTACAGCAGTTTTGAAACACTCTTTCTGTAGTATCTGCAAGTGAACATTAGGACAGTTTTCAGGTCTATGGTGAGAAAGGAAATATCTTCAAATAAAAACTAGACAGAAGCATTCTGATAAACTTGTTTGTGAAGTGTGAACTCAGCTAACAGAGGTGGATCTTTCTTTTGATAGAGCAGTTCTGAAAAACACTTTTTGTTGAATCTGCAAGTGGACATTTGGATAGATTTGAAGATTTCGTTAGAAACGGGAATATCTTCATATCAAATCTAGACAGAAGCATTCTCAGAAACGTCTTTGTGATGTTTGCATTCAACTCATAGAGTTGAACATTCCCTTTCAGAGAGCAGCTTTGAAGCACTCTTTTTGTAGTATGTTCAAGTGGACATTTGGAGCGCTTTGAGGCCTACGGGGAAAAAGCAAATATCTTCCCATAACCACTAGACAGAAACATTCTCAGAAACTCCTTTATGACGTATGCACTCACCTAACAGAAAAGAACCTTCCTTTTGACAGAGCAGTTTTGATACACTCTTTTTGTAGAATCTGCAAGTGGATATTTGGGATAGCTGTGAAGATTTCGTTGGAAACGGGAATATCTTCCTATAAAATCTAGACAGAAGCATTCTCAGAAACTGCTCTGTGATGTCTGCATTCAAGTCACAGAGTTGAACATTCCCTTTCATACAGCAGTTTTGAAACACTCTTTCTGTAGTATCTGGAAGTGAACATTAGGACAGCTTTCAGGTCTATGGCGAGAAAGGAAATATCTTCAAATAAAAACTAGACAGAAGCATTCTGTGAAACTTGTTTGTGATGTGTGTACTCAACTAACAGAGTTGAACCTTTCTTTTCACAGAGCAGTTTTGAAACACTCTTTTTGTAGAATCTGCGAGGGGATATTTGGATAGATTTCAGGATTTCGTTGGAAACAGGAATATCTTCATATAAAATCTCGACAGAAGCATTCTCAGAAACTTCTTTGTGATATGTGCATTCAAGTCACAGAGTTGAATATTCCCTTTCACAGAGTAGGTTTGAAACACTCTTTTTGTAGTATCTGGAAGTGGACATTTGGAGCGCCTTGACGCCTACGGTGAAAAGGGAAATATCTTCCCATAAAAAGTAGACAGAAGCAATCTCAGAATCTTCTTTGTGATATATGCACGCAGCTAACAGAGTTGAACCTTTCTATTGACAGAGCAGTTTTGTAACAGTCTTTCTGTGGAATCTACAAGTGGATATTTGGATAGCTTGGAGGATTTCGTTGGAAACGGGATTAGGTATAAAAAGTAGACAGCAGCATCCTCAGAAACTGCTTTGTGATGTGTGCATTCAAGTCACAGAGTTGAACATTCCCTTTCATACAGCAGTTTTGAAACACTCTTTCTGTAGTATCTGGAAGTGAACTTTAGGAGAGCTTTCAGGTCTATAGTGAGAAAGGATATATCTTCAAATAAAACTAGACAGAAGCATTCTCATAAACTTGTTTCTGATGTGTGAACTCAGCTAACAGAGGTGGATCTTTCTTTTGATAGAGAAGTTCTGAAAAACACTTTTTGTTGAATCTGCAAGTGGACATTTGGATAGATTTGAAGATTTCGTTGGAAACGGGAATATCTTCATATCAAATCTAGACAGAAGCATTCTCAGAGACGTCTTTGTGATGTTTGCATTCAACTCATAGAGTTGAACATTCCGTTTCAGAGAGCAGCTTTGAGGCACTCTTTTTGTAGTATGTGCAAGTGGATATTTGGACCGCTCTGTGGCCTACGGTGAAAAAGCAAATATCTTCCCATAACCACTAGACAGAAACATTCTCAGAAACTCCTTTATGACGTGTGCACTCACCTAACAGAGAAGAACCTTCCTTTTGACAGAGCAGTTTTGATACACTCTTTTTGTAGAATCCGCAAGTGGATATTTGGATAGCTGTGAAGATTTCGTTGGAAACGGGAATATCTTCCTATAAAATCTAGACAGAAAGCATTCTCAGAAACTGCTCTGTGATGTCTGCATTCAAGTCACAGAGTTGAACATTGCCTTTCATAGAGCAGGTTTGAAACGCTCTTTTTGTAGTATATGGAAGTGGACTTTTCGGAAGGTTTGAGGCCCATGGTGATAAAGGGAATATCTTCCCCTACAAGCTAGAAAGAAGCATTCTGTGAAACTTGTTTGTGATGTGTGTACTCAACTAACAGAGTTGAACCTTTCTTTTCACAGAGCAGTTTTGAAACACTCTTTTTGTAGAATCTGCGAGCGGATATTTGGATAGATTTCAGGATTTCGATGGAAACGGGAATATCTTCATATAAAATCTCGACAGAAGCATTCTCAGAAACTTCTTTGTGATATGTGCATTCAAGTCACAGAGTTGAATATTCCCTTTCACAGAGTAGGTTTGAAACACTCTTTTTGTAGTATCTGGAAGTGGACATTTGGAGCGCCTTGATGCCTACGGTGAAAAGGGAAATATCTTCCCATAAAAACTAGACAGAAGCAATCTCAGAATCTTCCTTGGGATATATGCACGCAGCTAACAGAGTTGAACCTTTCTATTGACAGAGCAGTTTTGAAACAGTCTTTCTGTGGAATCTGCAAGTGGACATTTGGATAGCTTGGAGGATTTCGTTGGAAACGGGATTACGTATAAAAAGTAGACAGCAGCATCGTCAGAAACTTCTTTGTGATGTGTGCATTCAAGTCACAGAGTTGAACATTCCCTTTCGTACAGCAGTTTTGAAACACTTTTTCTGTAGCATCTGGAAGAGAACATTAGGACAGCTTTCAGGTCTAGGGTGAGAAAGGCAATATCTTCAAATAAAAACTAGACAGAAGCATTCTCATAAACTTTTTTGTGATGTGTGAACTCAGCTAACAGAGGTGGATCTTTCTTTTGATAGAGCAGTTCTGAAAAACACTTTTTGTTGAATCTGCAAGTGGACATTTGGATAGATTTGAAGATTTCGTTGGAAACGGGAATATCTTCATAACAAATCTAGACAGAAGCATTCTCAGAAACGTCTTTGTGATGTTTGCATTCAACTCATAGAGTTGAACATTCCCTTTCAGAGAGCAGCTTTGAAGCACTCTTTTTGTAGTATGTGCAAGTGGATATTTGGAGCGCTACTGAGGCCTACGGTGAAAAAGCAAATATCTTCCCATAACCACTAGGCAGAATCATTCTCAGAAACTCCTTTATGACGTATGTACTCAACTAACAGAGAAGAACCTTCCTTTTGACAGAGCAGTTTTGATACACTCTTTTTGTAGAATCTGCAAGTGGATATTTGGATAGCTGTGAAGATTTCGTTGGAAACGGGAATATCTTCCTATAAAATCTAGACAGAAGCATTCTCAGAAACTGCTCTGTGATGTCTGTATTCAAGTCACAGAGTTGAACATTGCATTTCATAGAGCAGGTTTGAAACGCTCTTTTTGTAGTATATGGAAGTGGATGTTTCGGACGGTTGGAGGCCCATGGTGATAAAGGGAATATCTTCCCCTACAAGCTAGAAAGAAGCATTCTGTGAAACTTGTTTGTGATGTGTGTACTCAACTAAGAGAGTTGAACCTTTCTTTTCACAGAGCAGTTTTGAAACACTGTTTTTGTAGAATCTGCGAGGGGATATTTGGATAGATTTCAGGATTTCGTTGGAAACGGGAATATCTTCATACAAAATCTCGACAGGAGCATTCTCAGAAACTTCTTTGTGATATGTGCATTCAAGTCACAGAGTTGAATATTCCCTTTCACAGAGTAGGTTTGAAACACTCTTTTTGTAGTATCTGGAAGTGGACATTTGGAGCGCCTTGACACCTACGGTGAAAAGGGAAATATCTTCCAATAAAAACTAGACAGAAGCAATCTCAGAATCTTCTTAGGGATATATGTACGCAGCTAATAGAGTTGAACCTTTCTATTGACAGAGCAGTTTTGAAACAGTCTTTCTGTGGAATCTGCAAGTGGATATTTGGATAGCTTGGAGGATTTCGTTGGAAACGGGATTACGTATAAAAAGTAGACAGCAGCATCCTCAGAAACTTCTTTGTGATGTGTGCATTCAAGTCACAGAGTTGAACATTCCCTTTCATACAGCAGTTTTGAAACACTGTTTCTGTAGTATCTGGAAGTGAACATTAGGACAGCTTTCAGGTCTATGGTGAGAAAGGCAATATCTTCAAATAAAAACTAGACAGAAAGAATTCTCATCAACTTGTTTGTGATGTGTGAACTCAGCTAACACACGTGGATCTTTCTTTTGATAGAGCAGTTCTGAAAAACACTTTGTTGAATCTGCAAGTGGACATTTGGATAGATTTCAAGATTTCGTTGGAAACGGGAATATCTTCATATCAAATCTAGACAGAAGCATTCTCAGAAACGTCTTTGTGATGTTTGCATTCAACTCATAGAGTTGAACATTCCGTTTCAGAGAGCAGCTTTGAAGGACTCTTTTTGTAGTATGTGCAAGTGGATATTTGGAGCGCTCTGAGGCCTACGGTGAAAAAGCAAATATCTTCCCATAACCACTAGACAGAAACATTCTCAGAAACTTCTTTATGACGTATGTACTCAACTAACACAGAAGAACCTTCCTTTTGACAGAGCAGTTTTGATAAACTCTTTTTGTAGAATCTGCAAGTGGATATTTGGATATCTGTGAAGAATTCGTTGGAAACGGGAATATCTTCCTATAAAATCTAAACAAAAGCATTCTCAGAAACTGCTCTGTGATGTCTGCATTCAAGTCACAGAGTTGAACATTGCCTTTCATAGAGCAGGTTTGAAACGCTCTTTTTGTAGTATATGGAAGTGGAAGTTTCGGACGGTTGGAGGCCCATGGTGATAAAGGGAATATCTTCCCCTACAAGCTAGAAAGAAGCATTCTGTGAAACTTGTTTGTGATGTGTGTACTCAACTAACAGAGTTGAACCTTTCTTTTTACAGAGTAGTTTTGAAACACTCTTTTTGTAGAATCTGCGAGGGGATATTTGGATAGGTTTCAGGATTTCGTTGGAAACGGGAATATCTTCATATAAAATCTCGACAGAAGCATTCTCAGAAACTTCTTTGTGATATCTGCATTCAAGTCACAGAAGTGAATATTCCCTTTCACAGAGTAGGTTTGAAACACTCTTTTTGTAGTATCTGGAAGTGGACATTTGGAGCGCCTTGACGCCTATGGTTAAAAGGGAAATATCTTCCCATAAAAACTAGACAGAAGCAATCTCAGAATCCGCTTTGGGATATATGCACGCAGCTAACAGAGTTGAACCTTTCTATTGACAGAGCAGTTTTGAAACAGTCTTTCTGTGGAATCTGCAAGTGGATATTTGGATAGCTTGGAGGATTTCGTTGGAAACGGGATTACGTATAAATAGTAGACAGCAGCATCCTCAGAAACTTTTTTGTGATATGTGCATTCAAGCCACAGATTTGAACATTCCCTTTCGTACAGCAGTTTTGAAACACTCTTTCTGTAGTATCTGGAAGTGAACATTAGGACAGCTTTCAGGTCTATGGTGAGAAAGGAAATATCTTCAAATAAAAACTAGACAGAAGCATTCTGATAAACTTGTTTGTGAAGTGTGATCTCAGCTAACAGAGGTGGATCTTTCTTTTGATAGAGTAGTTCTGAAAAACACTTTGTTGAATCTGCAAGTGGACATTTGGATAGATTTGAAGATTTCGTTGGAAACGGGAATATCGTCATAAATCTAGACAGAATCATTCTCAGAAACGTCTTTGTCATGTTTGCATTCAACTCATAGAGTTGAACATTCCGTTTCAGAGAGCAGCTTTGAAGCACTCTTTTTGTAGTATGTGCAAGTGGATATTTGGAGCGCTCTGAGGCCTAAGGTGAAAAAGCAAATATCTTCCCGTAACCACTAGACAGAAACATTCTCAGAAACTCCTTTATGACGTATGCACTCACCTAACAGAGAAGAACCTTCCTTTTGACAGAGCAGTTTTGATACACTCTTTTTGTAGAATCTGCAAGTGGATATTTGGATAGCTGTGAAGATTTCGTTGGAAAGGGGAATATCTTCCTATAAAATCTAGACGGAAGCATTCTCAGAAACTGCTCTGTGATGTCTGCATTCAAGTCACAGAGTTGAACATTGCATTTCATAGAGCAGGTTTGAAATGCTCTTTTTGTAGTATATGGAAGTGGACGTTTCAGACGGTTTGAGGCCCATGGTGATAAAGGGAATATCTTCCCCTACAAGCTAGAAAGAAGCATTCTGTGAAACTTGTTTGTGATGTGTGTACTCAACTAACAGAGTGGAACCTTTCTTTTTACAGAGCAGTTTTGAAACACTCTTTTTGTAGAATCTGCGAGGGGATATTTGGATAGATTTCAGGATTTCGTTGGAAACGGGAATATCTTAATATAAAATCTCGGCAAAAGCATTCTCAGAAACTTCTTTGTGATATGTGCATTCAAGTCACAGAGTTGAATATTCCCTTTCACAGAGTAGGTTTGAAACACTCTTTTTGTAGCATCTGGAAGTGGACATTTGGAGTGCCTTGACTCCTACGGTGAAAAGGGAAATATCTTCCCATAAAAACTAGACAGAAGCAATCTCAGAATCTTCTTTGGGATATATGCACGCAGCTAATAGAGTTGAACCTTTCTATTGACAGAGCAGTTTTGAAACAGTCTTTCTGTGGAATCTGCAAGTGGATATTTGGATAGCTTGGAGGATTTCGTTGGAAACGGGATTACGTAGAAAAAGTAGACAGCAGCATCCTCAGAATCTTCTTTGTGATGTGTGCATTCAAGTCACAGAGTTGAACATTCCCTTTCGTACAGCAGTTTTTAAACACTCTTTCTGTAGTATCTGGAAGTGAACATTAGGACAGCTTTCAGGTCTATGGTGAGAAAGGAAATATCTTCAAATAAAAACTAGACAGAAGCATTCTCATAAACTTGTTTGTGATGTGTGAACTCAGCTAACAGAGGTGGATCTTTCTTTTGATAGAGCAGTTCTGAAAAACACTTTTTGTTGAATCTGCAAGTGGACATTTGGATAGATTTGAAGATTTCGTTGGAAACGGGAATATCTTCATATCAAATCTAGACAGCAGCATTCTCAGAAACGTCTTTGCGATGTTTGCATTCAACTCACAGAGTTGAACATTCCGTTTCAGAGAGCAGCTTTGAGGCACTCTTTTTGTAGTATGTGCAACTGGATATTTGGAGCGCTCTGAGGCCTACGGTGAAAAAGAAAATATCTTCCCATAACCACTAGACAGAAACATTCTCAGAAACTTCTTTATGACGTATGTACTCAACTAGCAGAGAAGAACTTTCCTTTTGACAGAGCATTTTTGATACATTCTTTTTGTAGTATCTGCAAGTGGATATTTGGATAGCTGTGAAGATTTCGTTGGAAACGGGAATATCTTCCTATAAAGTCTGGACAGAAGCATTCTCAGAAACTGCTCTGTGATGTCTGCATTCAAGTCACAGAGTTGAACATTGCCTTTCATAGAGCAGGTTTGAAACGCTCTTTGTGTAGTATATGGAAGTGGATGTTTCGGACGGTTGGAGGCCCATGGTGATAAAGGGAATATCTTCCCCTACAAGCTAGAAAGAAGCATTCTGTGAAAGTTGTTTGTGATGTCTGTACTCAACTAACAGAGTTGAACCTTTCTTTTTACAGAGCAGTTTTGAAACACTCTTTTTGTAGAATCTGCGAGGGGATATTTGGATAGATTTCAGGATTTCGTTGGAAACGGGAATATCTTCATAAAAAATCTCGACAGAAGCATTCTCAGAAACTTCTTTGTGATATGTGCATTCAAGTCACAGAGTTGAATATTCCCTTTCACACAGTAGGTTTGAAACACTCTTTTTGTAGTATCTGGAAGTGGACATTTGGAGCGCCTTGACGCCTACGGTGAAAAGGGAAATATCTTCCCACAAAAACTAGACAGAAGCAATCTCAGAATCTTCTTTGGGATATATGCACGCAGCTAACAGAGTTGAACCTTTCTATTGACAGAGCAGTTTTGAAACATTCTTTCTGTGGAATCTGCAAGTGGATATTTGGATAGCTTGGAGGATTTCGTTGGAAACAGGATTACGTATAAAAAGTAGACAGCAGCATCCTCAGAAACATCCTTGTGATGTGTGCATTCAAGTCACAGAGTTGAACATTCCCTTTCGTACAGCAGTTTTGAAACACTCTTTCTGTAGTATCTGGAAGTGAACTTTAGGACACCTTTCAGGTCTATAGTGAGAAAGGATATATCTTCAAATAAAAACTAGACAGAAGCATTCTCATAAACTTGTTTGTGATGTGTGAACTCAGCTAACAGAGGTGGATCTTTCTTTTGATAGAGCAGTTCTGATAAACACTTTTTGTTGAATCTGCAAGTGGACATTTGGATAGATTTGAAGATTTCGTTGGAAACGGGAATATCTTCATATCAAATCTAGACAGAAGCATTCTCGGAAACGTCTTTGTGATGTTTGCATTCAACTCATAGAGTTGAACATTCCGTTTCAGAGAGCAGCTTTGAAGCACTCTTTTTGTAGTATGTGCAAGTGGATATTTGGAGCGCTGTGAGGCCTACGGTGAAAAAGCAAATATCTTCCCATAACCACTAGACAGAAACATTCTCAGAAACTCCTTTATGACGTATGCACTCACCTAACAGAGAAGAACCTTCCTTTTGACAGAGCAGTTTTGATACACTCTTTTTGTAGAATCTGAAAGTGGATATTTGGATAGCTGTGAAGAGTTCGTTGGAAACGGGAATATCTTCCTATAAAATCTAGACAGAAGCATTCTCAGAAACTGCTCTGTGATGTCTGCATTCAAGTCACAGAGTTGAACATTGCCTTTCATAGAGCAGGTTTGAAACGCTCTTTTTGTAGTATATGGAAGTGGACGTTTCGGACGGTTTGAGGCCCATGGTGATAAAGGGAATATCTTCCCCTACAAGCTAGAAAGCAGCATTCTGTGAAACTTGTTTGTGATGTGTGCACTCAACTAACAGAGTTGAACCTTTCTCTTTACAGAGCAGTTTTGAAACACTCTTTTTGTAGAATCTACGAGGGGATATTTGGATACATTTCAGGATTTCGCTGGAAACGGGAATATCTTCATATAAAATCTCGACAGAAGCACTCTCAGAAACTTCTTTGTGATATGTGCATTCAAGTCACAGAGTTGAATATTCCCTTTCACAGAGTAGGTTTGAAACACTCTTTTTGTAGTGTCTGGAAGTGGACATTTGGAGCGCCTTGACACCTACGGTGAAAAGGGAAATATCTTCCCATAAAAACTAGACAGAAGCAATCTCAGAATCTTCTTTGGGATATATGCACGCAGCTAACAGAGTTGAACCTTTCTATTGACAGAGCAGTTTTGAAACAGTCTTTCTGAGGAATCTGCAAGTGGATATTTGGATAGCTTGGAGGATTTCGTTGGAAACGGGATTACGTATAAAAAGTAGACAGCAGCATCCTCAGAAACTTCTTTGTGATGTGTGCATTCAAGTCACAGGGTTGAACATTCCCTTTCGTACAGCAGTTTTGAAACACTCTTTCTATAGTATCTGGAAGTGAACATTAGGACAGCTTTCACGTCTATGGTGAGAAAGGAAATATCTTCAAATAAAAACTAGACAGAAGCATTCTCATAAACTTGTTTGTGATGTGTGAACTCAGCTAACAGAGGTGGATCTTTCTTTTGATAGAGCAGTTCTGAAAAACACTTTTTGTTGAATCTGCAAGCGGACATTTGGATATATTTGAAGATTTCGTTGGAAACGGGAATATCTTCATATCAAATCTAGACAGAAGCATTCTCAGAAACGTCTTTGTGATGTTTGCATTCAACTCATAGAGTTGAACGTTCCGTTTCAGAGAGCAGCTTTGAAGCACTCTTTTTGTAGTATGTGCAAGTGGATATTTGGAGCGCTCTGAGGCCTACGGTGAAAAAGCAAATATCTTCCCATAACCACTAGACAGAAACATTCTCAGAAACTCCTTTATGACGTATGCACTCACCTAACAGAGAAGAACCTTCCTTTTGACAGAGCAGTTTTGATACACTCTTTTTGTAGAACCTGCAAGTGGATATTTGGATAGCTGTGAAGATTTCGTTGGAAACGGTAATATCTTCCTATAAAATCTAGACAGAAGCATTCTCAGAAACTGCTCTGTGATGTCTGCATTCAAGTCACAGAGTTGAACATTGCCTTTCATAGAGCAGGTTTGAAACGCTCTTTTTGTAGTATATGGAAGTGGACGTTTCGGACGGTTTGAGTCCCATGGTGATAAAGGGAATATCTTCCACCACAAGCTAGAAAGAAGCATTCTGTGAAACTTGTTTGTGATGTGTGTACTCAACTAACAGAGTTGAACCTTTCTTTTTAAAGAGCAGTTTTGAAACACTCTTTTTGTAGAATCTGCGAGGGGATATTTGGATAGATTTCAGGATTTCGTTGGAAACGGGAATATCTTCATATGAAATCTCGACAGAAGCATTCTCAGAAACTTCCTTGTGATATGTGCATTCAAGTCACAGAGTTGAATATTCCCTTTCACAGAGTAGGTTTGAAACACTCTTTTTGTAGTATCTGGAAGTGGACATTTGGAGCGCCTTGACGCCTACGGTGAAAAGGGAAGTATCTTCCCATCAAAACTAGACAGAAGCAATCTCAGAATCTTCTTTGGGATATACGCACGCAGCTAACAGAGTTGAACCTTTCTATTGACAGAGCAGTTTTGAAACAGTCTTTCTGTGGAATCTGCAAGTGGATATTTGGATAGCTTGGAGGATTTCGTTGGAAACGGGATTACGTATAAAAAGTAGACAGCAGCATCCTCAGAAACTTCTTTGTGATGTGTGCATTCAAGTCACAGAGTTGAACATTCCCTTTCGTACAGCAGCTTTGAAACACTCTTTCTGTAGTATCTGGAAGTGAACATTAGGACAGCTTTCAGGTCTGTGGTGAAAAAGGGAATATCTTCAAATAAAAACTAGACAGAAGCATTCTCATAAACTTGTTTGTGATGTGTGAACTCAGCTAACAGAGGTGGATCTTTCTTTTGATAGAGCAGTTCTGAAAAACACTTTTTGTTGAATCTGCAAGTGGACATTTGGATAGATTTGAAGATTTCGTTGGAAACGGGAATATCTTCATATCAAATCTAGACAGAAGCATTCTCAGAAACGTCTTTGCGATGTTTGCATTCAACTCATAGAGTTGAACATTCCGTTTCAGAGAGCAGCTTTGAGGCACTCTTTTTGTAGTATGTGCAAGTGGATATTTGGAGCGCTCTGAGGCTTACGGTGAAAAAGCAAATATCTTCCCATAACCACTAGTCAGAAACATTCTCAGAAACTCCTTTATGACGTATGCACTCACCTAACAGAGAAGAACCTTCCTTTTGACAGAGCAGTTTTGATACACTCTTTTTGTAGAATCTGCAAGTGGATATTTGGATAGCTGTGAAGATTTCGTTGGAATCGGGAATATCTTCCTACAAAATCTAGACAGAAGCATTCTCAGAAACTGCTCTGTGATGTCTGCATTCAAGTCATAGAGTTGAACATTGCCTTTCATAGAGCAGGTTTGAAACGCTCTTTTTGTAGTATATGGAAGTGGACGTTTCGGACGGTTTGAGGCCCATGGTGATAAAGGGAATATGTTCCCCTACAAGCTAGAAAGAAGCATTCTATGAAACTTGTTTGTGATGTGTGTACTCAACTAACAGAGTTGAACCTTTCTTTTTAAAGAGCAGTTTTGAAACACTCTTTTTGTAGAATCTGTGAGGGGATATTTGGATAGATTTGAGGATTTCGTTGGGAACGGGAATATCTTCATATAAAATCTCGACAGAAACATTCTCAGAAACCTCTTTGTGATATGTGCATTCAAGTCACAGAGTTGAATATTCCCTTTGACAGAGTAGGTTTGAAACACTCCTTTTGTAGTATCTGGAAGTGGACATTTGGAGCACCTTGACGCCTACGGTGAAAAGGGAAATATCTTCCCATAAAAACTAGACAGAAGCAATCTCAGAATCTTCTTTGGGATATATGCACGCAGCTAACAGAGTTGAACCTTTCTATTGACAGAGCAGTTTTGAAAGAGTCTTTCTGTGGAATCTGCAAGTGGATATTTGGATAGCTTGGAGGATTTCGTTGGAAACGGGATTACGTATAAAAAGTAGACAGCAGCATCCTCAGAAACTCCTTTGTGATGTGTGCATTCAAGTCACAGAGTTGAACATTCCCTTTCGTACAGCAGTTTTGAAACACTCTTTCTGTAGTATATGGAAGTGAACATTAGGACAGCTTTCAGCTCTATGGTGAGAAAGGAAATATCTTCAAATAAAAACTAGACAGAAGCATTCTCATAAACTTGTTTGTGATGTGTGAACTCAGCTAACAGAGGTGGATCTTTCTTTTGATAGAGCAGTTCTGAAAAACACTTTTTGTTGAATCTGCAAGTGGACATTTGGATAGATATGAAGATTTCGTTGGAAACGGGAATATCTTCATATCAAATCTAGACAGAAGCATTCTCAGAAACGTCTTTGTGATGTTTGCATTCAACTCATAGAGTTGAACATTCCGTTTCAGAGAGCAGCTTTGAGGCACTCTTTTTGTAGTATGTGCAAGTGGATATTTGGAGCGCTCTGAGGCCTACGGTGAAAAAGCAAATATCTTCCCATGACCACTAGACAGAAACATTCTCAGAAACTCCTTTATGACGTATGCACTCACCTAACAGAAAAGAACCTTCCTTTTGACAGAGCAGTTTTGATACACTCTTTTTGTAGAATCTGCAAGTGGATATTTGGATAGCTGTGAAGATTTCGTTGGAAACTTGAATATCTTCCTATAAAATCTAGACAGAAGCATTCTCAGTAAACTGCTCTGTGATGTCTGCATTCAAGTCACAGAGTTGAACATTGCCTTTCATGGAGCAGGTTTGAAACGCTCTTTTTGTAGTATATGGAAGTGGACTTATCGGACGGTTTGAGGCCCACGGTGATAAAGGGAATATCTTCCCCTACAAGCTAGAAAGAAGCATTCTGTGAAACTTGTTTGTGATGTGTGTACTCAACTAACAGAGTTGAACCTTTCTTTTTACAGCGCAGTTTTGAAACACTCTTTTTGTAGAATCTGCGAGGGGATATTTGGATAGATTTCAGGATTTCGTTGGAAACGGGAATATCTTCATATAAAATCTCGACAGAAGAATTCTCAGAAACTTCTTTGTGATATCTGCATTCAAGTGACAGAGTTGAATATTCCCTTTCACAGAGTAGGTTTGAAACACTCTTTTTGTAGTATCTGGAAGTGGACATTTTGAGCGCCTTGACACCTACGGTGAAAAGGGAAATATCTTCCCATAAAAACTAGACAGAAAGCAATCTCAGAATCTTCTTTGGGATATATGCACGCAGCTAACAGAGTTGAACCTTTCTATTGACAGAGCAGTTTTGTAACAGTTTTTCTGTGGAATCTGCAAGTGGATATTTGGATAGCTTGGAGGATTTCGTTGGAAACGGGTTTACGTATAAAAAGTAGACAGTAGCATCCTCAGAAACTTCTTTGTTATGTGTGCATTCAAGTCACAGAGTTGAACATTCCCTTTCGTACAGCAGTTTTGAAACACTCTTTCTGTAGTATCTGGAAGTGAACATTAGGACAGCTTTCAGCTCTATGGTGAGAAAGGAAATATCTTCAAATAAAAACTAGACAGAAGCATTCTCATAAACTTGTTTGTGATGTGTGAACTCAGCTAACAGAGGTGGATCTTTCTTTTGATAGAGCAGTTCTGAAAAACACTTTTTGTTGAATCTGCAAGTGGATATTTGGATAGATTGAAGATTTCGTTGGAAACGGGAATATCTTCATATCAAATCTAGACAGAAGCATTCTCAGAAACGTCTTTGTGATGTTTGCATTCAACTCATAGAGTTGAACATTCCCTTCCATAGAGCAGATATGAAGCACTCTTTTTGTAGCATGTGCAAGTGGACATTTGGAGCGCCCTGAGACCTACGGGGAAAAAGCAAATATCTTCCCATAACCACTAGACAGAAACATTCTCAGAAACTCCTTTATGAAGTATGCACTCACCTAACAGAGAAGAACCTTCCTTTTGACAGAGCAGTTTTGATAAACTCTTTTTGTAGAATCTGCAAGTGGATATTTGGATAGCTGTGAAGATTTCGTTGGAAACGGGAATATCTTCCTATAAAATACTAGACAGAAGCATTCTCAGAAACTGCTCTGTGATGTCTGCATTCAAGTCACAGAATTGAACATTGCCTTTCATAGAGCAGGTTTGAAACGCTCTTTTTGTACTATATGGAAGAGGACGTTTCGGACGGTTTGAGGACCATGGTGATAAAGGGAATATCTTCCCCTACAAGCTAGAAAGAAGCATTGTGTGAAACTAGTTTGGGATGTGTGTACTCAACTAACAGAGTTGAACCTTTCTTTTTACAGAGCAGTTTTGAAACACTCTTTTTGTAGAATCTGCGAGGGGATATTTGGATAGATTTCAGGATTTCGTTGGAAACGGGAATATCTTCATATAAAAGTCTCGACAGAAGCATTCTCAGAAACTTCTTTGTGATATCTGCATTCAAGTCACAGAGTTGAATATTCCCTTTCACCGAGTAGGTTTGAAACACTCTTTTTGTAGTATCTGGAAGTGGACATTTGGAGCGCCTTGACGCCTACGGTGAAAAGGGAAATATCTTCCCATAAAAACTAGACAGAAGCAATCTCAGAATCTTCTTTGTGATATATGCACGCAGCTAACAGAGTTGAACCTTTCTATTGACTGAGCAGATTTGAAACAGTCTTTCTGTGGAATCTGCAAGTGGATATTTGGATAGCTTGGAGGATTTCATTGGAAACGGGATTACGTATAAAAAGTAGACAGCAGCATCCTCAGAAACTTCTTTGTGATGTGTGCATTCAAGTCACAGAGTTGAACATTCCCTTTCGTACAGCAGTTTTGAAACACTCTTTCTGTAGTATCTGGAAGTGAACATTAGGACAGCTTTCAGGTCTATGGTGAGAAAGGAAATACCTTCCAATAAAAACTAGACAGAAGCATTCTCATAAACTTGTTTGTGATGTGTGAACTCAGCTAACAGAGGTGGATCTTTCTTTTGATAGAGCAGTTCTGAAAAACACTTTTTGTTGAATCTGCAAGTGGACATTTGGATAGAGTTGAAGATTTCGTTGGAAACGGGAATATCTTCATATCAAATCTAGACAGAAGCATTCTCAGAAACGTCTTTGTGATGTTTGCATTCAACTCATAGAGTTGAACATTCCCTTTCAGAGAGCAGCTTTGAAGTACTCTTTTTGTAGCATGTGCAAGTGGACATTTCGAGCGCCCTGAGGCCTACGGGGAAAAAGCAAATATCTTCCTATAACCACTAGACAGAAACATTCTCAGAAACTGCTTTAGGACGTATGCACTCACCTAACAGAGAAGAACCTTCCTTTTGACAGAGCAGTTTTGATACACTCTTTTTGTAGAATCTGCAAGTGGATATTTGGATAGCTGTGAAGATTTCGTTGGAAACGGGAATATCTTCCTATAAAATCTAGACAGAAGCATTCTCAGAAACTGCTCTGTGATGTCTGCATTCAAGTCACAGAGTTGAACATTGCCTTTCATAGAGCAGGTTTGAAACGCTCTTTTTGTAGTATAGGGAAGTGGATGTTTCGGACGGTTGGAGGCCCATGGTGATAAAGGGAATATCTTCCCCTACAAGCTAGAAAGAAGCATTCTGTGAAACTTGTTTGTGATGTGTGTACTCAACTAACAGAGTTGAACCTTTCTTTTTACAGAGCAGTTTTGAAACACTCTTTTTGTAGAATCTGTGAGGGGATATTTGGATAGATTTCAGGATTTCGTTGGAAACGAGAATATCTTCATATAAAATCTCGACAGAAGCATTCTCAGAAACTTCCTTGTGATATCTGCATTCAAGTCACAGAGTTGAATATTCCCTTTCACAGAGTAGGTTTCAAACACTCTTTTTATAGTATCTGGAAGTGGACATTTGGAGCGCCTTGACGCCTACGGTGAAAAGGGAAATATCTTCCCATAAAAACTAGACAGAAGCAATCTGAGAATCTTCTTTGGGATATATGCACGCAGCTAACAGAGTTGAACCTTTCTGTTGACAGAGCAGTTTTGAAACAGTCTTTCTGTGGAATCTGCAAGTGGATATTTGGATAGATTGGAGGATTTCGTTGGAAACGGGATTACGTATAAAAAGTAGACTGCAGCATCCTCAGAAACATCCTTGTGATGTGTGCATTCAAGTCACAGAGTTGAACATTCCCTTTCGTACAGCAGTTTTGAAACACTCTTTCTGTAGTATCTGGAAGTGAACTTTATGAGAGCTTTCAGGTCTATAGTGAGAAAGGATATATCTTCAAATAAAAACTAGACAGATAAGCATTCTCATAAACTTGTTTGTGATGTGTGAACTCAGCTAACAGAGGTGGATCTTTCTTTTGATAGAGCAGTTCTGAAAAACACTTTTTGTTGAATCTGCAAGTGGACATTAGGATAGATTTGAAGATTTCGTTGGAAACGGGAATATCTTCATATCAAATCTAGACAGAAGCATTCTCAGAAACGTCTTTGTGATGTTTGCATTCAACTCATAGAGTCGAACATTCCGTTTCAGAGAGCAGCTTTGAGGCACTCTTTTTGTAGTATGTGCAAGTGGATATTTGGAGCGCTCTGAGGCCTACGGTGAAAAAGCAAATATCTTCCCATAACCACTAGACAGAAACATTCTCAGAAACTCCTTTATGACGTATGCACTCACCTAACAGAGGAGAACCTTCCTTTCGACAGAACAGTTTTGATACACTCTTTTTGTAGAATCTGCAAGTGGATATTTGGATAGCTGTGAAGATTTCGTTGGAAACGGGAATATCTTCCTATAAAATCTAGACAGAAGCATTCTCAGAAACTGCTCTGTGATGTCTGCATTCAAGTCACAGAGTTGAACATTGCCTTTCATAGAGCAGGTTTGAAACGCTCTTTTTGTAGTATATGGAAGTGGACTTTTCGGACGGTTTGAGGCCCATGGTGATAAAGGGAATATCTTCCACTACAAGCTAGAAAGAAGCATTCTGTGAAACTTGTTTGTGATGTGTGTACTCAAGTAACAGAGTTGAACCTTTCTTTTTACAGAGCAGTTTTGAAACACTCTTTTTGTAGAATCTGCGAGGGGATATTTGGATAGATTTCAGGATTTCGTTGGAAAAGGTAATATCTTCATATAAAATCTCGACAGAAGCATTCTCAGAAACTTCTTTGTGATATGTGCATTCAAGTCACAGAGTTGAATATTCCCTTTCACAGAGTAGGTTTGAAACACTCTTTTTGTAGTATCTGGAAGTGGACATTTGGAGCACCTTGACACCTACGGTGAAAAGGGAAATATCTTCCCATAAAAACTAGACAGAAGCAATCTCAAAATCTTCTTTGGGATATATGCACGCAGCTAACAGAGTTGAACCTTTCTATTGACAGAGCAGTTTTGAAACAGTCTTTCTGTGGAATCTGCAAGTGGGTATTTGGATAGCTTGGAGGATTTCTTTGGAAACGGGATTACGTATAAAAAGTAGACAGCAGCATCCTCAGAAATTTCCTTGTGATGTGTGCATTCAAGTCACAGAGTTGAACATTCCCTTTCGTACAGCAGTTTTGAAACACTCTTTCTGTAGTATCTGGAAGTGAACTTTAGGAGAGCTTTCAGGTCTATAGTGAGAAAGGATATATCTTCAAATAAAAACTAGACAGAAGCATTCTCATAAACTTGTTTGTGATGTGTGAACTCAGCTAACAGAGGTGGATCTTTCTTTTGATAGAGCAGTTCTGAAAAACACTTTTTGTTGAATCTGCAAGTGGACATTTGGATAGATTTGAAGATTTCGTTGGAAAGGGGAATATCTTCATATCAAATCTAGACAGAAGCATTCTCAGAAACGTCTTTGTGATGTTTGCATTCAACTCATAGAGTTGAACATTCGGTTTCAGAGAGCAGCTTTGAGGCACTCTTTTTGTAGTATGTGCAAGTGGATATTTGGAGCGCTCTGAGGCCTACGGTGAAAAAGCAAATATCTTCCCATAACCACTAGACAGATAAACATTCTCAGAAACTCCTTTATGACGTATGCACTCACCTAACAGAAAAGAACCTTCCTTTTGACAGAGCAGTTTTGATACACTCTTTTTGTAGAATCTGCAAGTGGATATTTGGATAGCTGTGAAGGTTTCGTTGGAAACGGGAATATCTTCCTATAAAATCTAGACAGAAGCATTCTCAGAAACTGCTCTGTGATGTCTGCATTCAAGTCACAGAGTTGAACATTGCCTTTCATAGAGCCGGTTTGAAACGCTCTTTTTGTAGTATATGGAAGTGGATGTTTCGGACGGTTGGAGGCCCATGGTGATAAAGGGAATATCTTCCCCTACAAGATAGAAAGAAAGCATTGTGTGAAACTTGTTTGTGATGTGTGTACTCAACTAACAGAGTTGAACCTTTCTTTTCACAGAGCAGTTTTGAAACACTCTTTTTGTAGAATCTGCGAGGAGATATTTGGATAGATTTCAGCATTTGGTTGGAAACGGGAATATCTTCATGTAAAATCTCGACAGAAGCATTCTCAGAAACTTCTTTGTGATATCTGCATTCAAGTCACAGAGTTGAATATTGCCTTTCACATAGTAGGTTTGAAATACTCTTTTTGTAGTATCTGGAAGTGGACATTTGGAGCGCCTTGACACCTACGGTGAAAAGGGAAATATCTTCCCATAAAAACTAGACAGAAGCAATCTCAGAATTTTCTTTGGGATATATGCACGCAGCTAAAAGAGTTGAACCTTTCTATTGACAGAGCAGTTTTGAAACAGTCTTTCTGTGGAATCTGCAAGTGGATATTTGGATAGCTTGGAGGATTTCGTTGGAAACGGGATTACGTATAAAAAGTAGACAGCAGCATCCTCAGAAACTACTTTGTGATGTGTGCATTCAAGTCACAGAGTTGAACATTCCCTTTCGTACAGCAGTGTTGAAACACTCTTTCTGTAGTATCTGGAAGTGAACATTAGGACAGCTTTCAGGTCTATGGTGAGAAAGGAAATATCTTCAAATAAAAACTAGACAGAAGCATTCTCATAAACTTGTTTGTGATGTGTGAACTCAGCTAACAGACCTGGATCTTTCTTTTGATACAGCAGTTTTGAAAAACACTTTTTGTTGAATCTGCAAGTGGACATTTGGATAGATATGAAGATTTCGTTGGAAACGGGAATATCTTCATATCAAATCTAGACAGAAGCATTCTCAGAAACGTCTTTGTGATGTTTGCATTCAACTCATAGAGTTGAACATTCGGTTTCAGAGAGCAGCTTTGAAGCACTCTTTTTGTAGCATGTGCAAGTGGACATTTGGAGCGCCCTGAGGCCTACGGGGAAAAAGCAAATATCTTCCCATAACCACTAGACAGAAACATTCTCAGAAACTTCTTTATGACGTATGTACTCAACTAACCGAGAAGAACCTTCCTTTTGACAGAGCAGTTTTGATACACTCTTTTTGTAGACTCTGCAAGTGGATATTTGGATATCAGTGAAGAATTCGTTGGAAACGGGAATATCTTCCTATAAAATCTAAACAGAAGCATTCTCAGAAACTGCTCTGTGATGTCTGCATTCAAGTCACAGAGTTGAACATTGCCTTTCATAGAGCAGGTTTGAAACACTCTTTTTTTAGTATATGGAAGTGGACGTTTCGGACGGTTTGAGGCCCATGGTGATAAAGGAAATATCTTCACCTACAAGGTAGAAAGAAGCATTCTGTGAAACTTGTTTGTGATGTGTGTACTCAACTAACAGAGTTGAACCTTTCTTTTTACAGAGCAGTTTTGAAACACTCTTTTTGTAGAATCTGCGAGGGGATATTTGGATACATTTCAGGATTTCGTTGGAAAGGGGAATATCTTCATATAAAATCTCGACAGATGCATTCTCGGAAGCTTCTTTGTGATATGTGCATTCAAGTCACAAAGTTGAATATTCCCTTTCACAGAGTAGGTTTGAAACACTCTTTTTCTAGTATCTGGAAGTGGACATTTGGAGCGCCTTGATGCCTACGGTGAAAAGGGAAATATCTTCTCATAAAAAGTAGACAGAAGCAATCTGAGAATCTTCTTTGGGATATATGCACGCAGCTAACACAGTTGAACCTTTCTATTGAAAGAGCAGTTTAGAAACAGTCTTTCTGTGGAATCTGCAAGTGGATATTTGGATAGCTGTGAAGATTTCGTTGGAAACAGGAATATCTTCCTATAAAGGCTGGACAGAAGCATCCTCAGAAACTTCTTTGTGATGTGTGCATTCAAGTCACAGAGTTGAACATTCCCTTTCGTACAGCAGTTTTGAAACACTCTGTAGTATCTGGAAGTGAACATTAGGACAGCTTTCAGGTCTATGGTGAGAAAGGAAATATCTTCAAATAAAAACTAGACAGAAGCATTCTCATCAACTTGTTTGTGATGTGTGAACTCAGCTAACAGAGGTGGATCTTTCTTTTGATAGGGCAGTTCTGAAAAACACTTTTTGTTGAATCTGCAAGTGGACATTTGGATAGATTTGAAGATTTCGTTGGAAACGGGAATATCCTCATATCAAATCTAGACAGAAGCATTCTCAGAAACGTCTTTGTGATGTTAGCATTCAACTCATAGAGTTGAACATTCCCTTTCAGAGAGCAGCTTTGAAGCACTCTTTTTGTACTATGTGCAAGTGGATATTTGGAGCGCTCTGAGGCCTATGGTGAAAAAGCAAATATCTTCCCATAACCACTAGACAGAAACATTCTCAGAAACTCCTTTATGACGTATGCACTCACCTAACAGAGAAGAACCTTCCTTTTGACAGAGCAGTTTTGATACACTCTTTTTGTAGAATCTGCAAGTGGATATTTGGATAGCTGTGAAGATTTCGTTGGAAAGGGGAATATCTTCCTATAAAATTTAGACGGAAGCATTCTCAGAAACTGCTCTGTGATGTCTGCATTGAAGTCACAGGGTTGAACATTGCCTTTCATAGAGCAGGTTTGAAACGCTCTTTTTGTAGTATATGGAAGTGGACGTTTCGGACGGTTTGAGGCCCATGGTGATAAAGGGAATATCTTCCCCTACAAGCTAGAAAGAAGCATTCTGTGAAACTTGTTTTTGATGTGTGTACTCAACTAACAGAGTTGAACCTTTCTTTTTACAGAGCAGTTTTGAAACACTCTTTTTGTAGAATCTGCGAGGGGATATTTGGATACATTTCAGCATTTCGTTGGAAACGGGAATATCTTCATATAAAATCTCGACAGAAGCATTCTCAGAAACTTCTTTGTGATATGTACATTCAAGTCACAGAGTTGAATATTCCCTTTCACAGAGTAGGTTTGAAACACTCTTTTTGTAGTATCTGGAAGTGGACATTTGGAGCGCCTTGACACCTACGGTGAAAAGGGAAATATCTTCCCATAAAAACTAGACAGAAGCAATCTCAGAATCTTCTTTGGGATATATGCACGCAGCTAACAGAGTTGAACCTTTCTATTGACAGAGCAGTTTTGAAACAGTCTTTCTGTGGAATCTGCAAGTGGATATTTGGATAGAGTGGAGGATTTCGTTGGAAACGGGATTACGTATAAAAAGTAGACCGCAGCATCCTCAGAAACTTCTTTGTGATGTGTGCATTCAAGTCACAGAGTTGAACATTCCCTTTCGTACAGCAGTTTTGAAACACTCTTTCTGTAGTATCTGGAAGTGAACATTAGGACAGCTTTCAGGTCTATGGTGAGAAAGGAAGCATCTTCAAATAAAAACTAGACAGAAGCATTCTCATAAACTTGTTTGTGATGTGTGAACTCATCTAACAGAGGTGGATCTTTCTTTTGATAGAGCAGTTCTGAAAAACACTTTTTGTTGAATCTGCAAGTGGACATTTGGATAGATTTGAAGATTTCGTTGGAAACGGGAATATCTTCATATCAAATGCTAGACAGAAGCATTCTCAGAAACGTCTTTGTGATGTTTGCATTCAACTCATAGAGTTGAACATTCCGTTTCAGAGACCAGCTTTGAAGCACTCTTTTTGTAGTATGTGCACGTGGATATTTGGAGCGCTCTGAGGCCTACGGTGAAAAAGCAAATATCTTCCCATAACCACTAGACAGAAACATTCTCAGAAACTCCTTTATGACGTATGCACTCACCTAACAGAGAAGAACCTTCCTTTTGACAGAGCAGTTTTGATACACTCTTTTTGTAGAATCTGCAAGTGGATATTTTGATAGCTGTGAAGATTTCGTTGGAAACGGGAATATCTTCCTATAAAATCTAGACAGAAGCATTCTCAGAAACTGCTCTGTGATGTCTGCATTCAAGTCACAGAGTTGAACATTGCCTTTCATAGAGCAGGTTTGAAACGCTCTTTTTGTAGTATATGGAAGTGGATGTTTCGGACGGTTTGAGGCCCACGGTGATAAAGGGAATATCTTCCCCTACAAGCTAGAAAGAAGCATTCTGTGAATCTTGTTTGTGATGTGTGTACTCAACTAACAGGGTTGAACCTTTCTTTTTACAGAGCAGTTTTGAAACACTCTTTTTGTAGAATCTGCGAGGGGATATTTGGATAGATTTCAGGATTTCGTTGGAAACGGGAATATCTTCATATAAAATCTCGACAGAAGCATTCTCAGAAACTTCCTTGTGATATGTGCATTCAAGTCACAGAGTTGAATATTCCCTTTCACAGAGTAGGTTTGAAACACTCTTTTTGTAGTATCTGGAAGTGGACATTTGGAGCGCCTTGACGCCTACAGTGAAAAGGGAAATATCTTCCCATAAAAACTAGACAGAAGCTATCTCAGAATCTTCTTTGGGATATATGCACGCAGCTAACAGAGTTGAACCTTTCTATTGACAGAGCAGTTTTGAAACAGTCTTTCTGTGGAATCTGCAAGTGGATATTTGGATAGCTTGGAGGATTTCGTTGGAAACGGGATTACGTATAAAAAGTAGACAGCAGCATCCTCAGAAACTTCTTTGTGATGTGTGCATTCAAGTCACAGAGTTGAACATCACCTTTCGTACAGCAGTTTTGAAACACTCTTTCTGTAGTATCTGGAAGTGAACATTAGGATAGCTTTCAGGTCTATGGTGAGAAAGGAAATATCTTCAAATAAAAACTAGACAGAAGCATTCTCATAAACTTGTTTGTGAGGTGTGAACTCAGCTAACAGAGGTGGATCTTACTTTTGATAGAGCAGTTCTGAAAAACACTTTTTGTTGAATCTGCAAGTGGACATTTGGATAGATTTGAAGATTTCGTTGGAAACGGGAATATCTTCATATCAAATCTAGACAGAAGCATTCTCAGAAACGTCTTTGTGATGTTTGCATTCAACTCATAGAGTTGAACATTCCGTTTCAGAGAGCTGCTTTGAAGCACTCTTTTTGTAGCATGTGCAAGTGGATATTTGGAGCGCTCTGAGGCCTACGGTGAAAAAGCAAATATCTTCCCATAACCACTAGACAGAAACATTCTCAGAAACTTCTTTATGACGTATGTACTCAACTAGCAGAGAAGAACTTTCCTTTTGACAGAGCATTTTTGATACACTCTTTTTGCAGTATCTGCAAGTGTATATTTGGATAGCTGTGAAGATTTCTTTGGAAACGGGAATATCTTCCTATAAAGTCTGGACAGAAGCATTCTCAGAAACTGCTCTGTGATGTCTGCATTCAAGTCACAGAGTTGAACATTGCCTTTCATAGAGCAGGTTTGAAATGCTCTTTTTGTAGTATATGGAAGTGGACGTTTCAGACGGTTTGAGGCCCATGGTGATAAAGGGAATATCTTCCCCTTCAAGCTAGAAAGAAGCATTCTGTGAAACTTGTTTGTGATGTTTGTACTCAACTAACAGAGTTGAACCTTTCTTTTTACAGAGCAGTTTTGAAACACTCTTTTTGTAGAATCTGCGAGGGGATATTTGGATACATTTCAGGATTTCGTTGGAAACGGGAATATCTTCATAGAAAATCTCGACAAAAGCATTCTCAGAAACTTCCTTGTGATATGTGCATTCAAGTCACAGAGTTGAATATTCCCTTTCATAGAGTAGGTTTGAAACACTCTTTTTGTAGTATCTGGAAGTGGACATTTGGAGCGCCTTGACGCCTACGGTGAAAAGGGAAATATCTTCCCATAAAAACTAGACAGAAGCAATCTCAGAATCTGCTTTGGGATATATGCACGCAGCTAACAGAGTTGAACCTTTCTATTGACAGAGCAGTTTTGAAACAGTCTTTCTGTGGAATCTGCAAGTGGATATTTGGATAGCTTGGAGGATTTCGTTGGAAACGGGATTAAGTATAAAAAGTAGACAGCTGCATCCTCAGAAACTTCTTTGTGATGTGTGCATTCAAGTCACAGAGTTGAACATTCCCTTTCGTACAGCAGTTTTGAAACACTCTTTCTGTAGTATCTGGAAGTGAACATTAGGACAGCTTTCAGCTCTATGGTGAGAAAGGAAATATCTTCAAATAAAAACTAGACAGAAGCATTCTCATAAACTTGTTCGTGATGTGTGAACTCAGCTAACACACGTCGATCTTTCTTTTGATAGAGCAGTTCTGAAAAACACTTTTTGTTGAATCTGCAAGAGGACATTTGGATAGATTTGAAGATTTCGTTGGAAACGGGAATATCTTCATATCAAATCTAGACAGAAGCTTTCTCAGAAACGTCTTTGTGATGTTTGCATTCAACTCATAGAGTTGAACATTCCGTTTCAGAGAACAGCTTTGAGGCACTCTTTTTGTAGTATGTGCAAGTGGATATTTGGAGCGCTCTGAGGCCTACGGTGAAAAAGCAAATATCTTCCCATAACCACTAGACAGAAACTTTCTCAGAAACTCCTTTATGACGGTATGCACTCACCTAACAGAGAAGAACCTTCCTTTTGACAGAGCAGTTTTGATACACTCTTTTTGTAGAATCTGCAAGTGGATATTTGGATACCTGTGAAGATTTCGTTGGAAACGGGAATATCTTCCTATAAAATCTAGACAGAAGCATTCTCAGCAAACTGCTCTGTGATGTCTGCATTCAAGTCACAGAGTTGAACATTGCCTTTCATAGAGCAGGTTTGAAACGCTCTTTTTGTAGTATATGGAAGTGGACTTATCGGACGGTTTGAGGCCCATGGTGATAAAGGGAATATCTTCCCCTACAAGCTAGAAAGAAGCATTCTGTGAAACTTGTTTGTGATGTGTGTACTCAACTAACAGAGTTGAACCTTTCTTTTTACAGAGCAGTTTTGAAACACTCTTTTTGTAGAATCTGCGAGGGGATATTTGAATAGATTTCAGGATTTCGTTGGAAACGGGAATATCTTCATATAAAATCTCGACAGAAGCATTCTCAGAAACTTCTTTGTGATATGTGCATTGAATTCACAGAGTTGAATATTCCCTTTCACAGAGTAGGTTTGAAACACTCTTTTTGTAGTATCTGGAAGTGGACATTTGGAGCGCCTTGACACCTACGGTGAAAAGGGAAATATCTTCCCATAAAAACTAGACAGAAGCAATCTCAGAATCTTCTTTGGGATATATGCACGCAGCTAACAGAGTTGAACCTTTCTATTGACAGAGCAGTTTTGAAACAGTCTTTCTGTGGAATCTGCAAGTGGATATTTGGATAGCATGGAGGATTTCGTTGGAAACGGGATTACGTATAAAAGTAGACAGCAGCATCCTCAGAAACATCCTTGTGATGTGTGCATTCAAGTCACAGAGTTGAACATTCCCTTTCGTACAGCAGTTTTGAAACACTCTTTCTGTAGTATCTGGAAGTGAACATTAGGACAGCTTTCAGGTCTATGGTGAGAAAGGAAATATCTTCTAATAAAAACAAGACAGAAGCATTCTCATAAACTTGTTTGTTATGTGTGAACTCAGCTAACACACGTGGATCTTTCTTTTGATAGAGCAGTTCTGAAAAACAATTTTTGTTGAATCTGCAAGTGGACATTTGGGTAGATTTGAAGATTTCGTTGGAAACGAGAATATCTTCATATCAAATCTAGACAGAAGCATTCTCGGAAACGTCTTTGCGATGTTTGCATTCAACTCATAGTGTTGAACATTCCGTTTCAGAGAGCAGCTTTGAGGCACTCATTTTGTAGTATGTGCAAGTGGATATTTGGAGCGCTCTGAGGCCTTCGGTGAAAAAGCAAATATCTTCCCATAACCACTAGACAGAAACATTCTCAGAAACTCCTTTATGACGTATGCACTCACCTAACAGAGAAGAACCTTCCTTTTGACAGAGCAGTTTTCATACACTCTTTTGGTAGAATCTGCAAGTGGATATTTGGATAGCTGTGAAGATTTCGTTGGAAACGGGAATATCTTCCTATAAAATCTAGACAGAAGCATTCTCAGAAACTGCTCTGTGATGTCTGCATTCAAGTCACAGTAGTTGAACATTGCCTTTCATAGAGCAGGTTTGAAACGCTCTTTTTGTAGTATATGGAAGTGGACTTATCGGACGGTTTGAGGCCCATGGTGATAAAGGGAATATCTTCCCCTACAAGCTAGAAAGAAGCATTGTGTGAAACTTGTTTGTGATGTGTGTACTCAACTAACAGAGTTGAACCTTTCTTTTTACAGAGCAGTTTTGAAACACTCTTTTTGTAGAATCTGCAAGGGGATATTTGGATACATTTCAGGATTTCGTTGGAAACGGGAATATCTTCATATAAAATCTCGACAGAAGCATTCTCAGAAACTTCCTTGAGATATGTGCATTCAAGTCACAGAGTTGAATATTCCCTTTCACAGAGTAGGTTTGAAACACTCTTTTTGTAGTATCTGGAAGTGGACATTTGGAGCGCCTTGACGCCTACGGTGAAAAGGGAAATATCTTCCCATAAAAACTAGACAGAAGCAATCTCAGAATCTTCTTTGGGATATATGCACGCAGCTAACAGAGTTGAACCTTTCTATTGACAGAGCAGTTTTGAAACAGTCTTTCTGTGGAATCTGCAAGTGGATATTTGGATAGCCTGGAGGATTTCGTTGGAAACGGGATTACGTATAAAAAGTAGACAGCAGCATCCTCAGAAACTTCTTTGTGATGTGTGCATTCAAGTCACATAGTTGAACATTCCCTTTCGTACAGCAGTTTTGAAACACTCTTTCTGTAGTATCTGGAAGTGAACATTAGGACAGCTTTCAGGTCTATGGTGAGAAAGGAAATATCTTCAAATAAAAACTAGACAGACAAGCATTCTCATAAACTTGTTTGTTATGTGTGAACTCAGCTAACACACGTGGATCTTTCTTTTGATAGAGCAGTTCTGAAAAACAATTTTTGTTGAATCTGCAAGTGGACATTTGGATAGATTTGAAGATTTCGTTGGAAACGGGAATATCTTCATATCAAATCTAGACAGACGCATTCTCAGAAACGTCTTTGTGATGTTTGCATTCAACTCATAGAGTTGAACATTCCGTTTCAGAGAGCAGCTTTGAAGCACTCTTTTTGTAGTATGTGCAAGTGGATATTTGGTGCGCTCTGAGGCCTACGGTGAAAAAGCAAATATCTTCCCATAACCACTAGACAGAAACATTCTCAGAAACTCCTTTATGACGTATGCACTCACCTAACAGAAAATAACCTTCCTTTTGACAGAGCAGTTTAGATACACTCTTTTTGTAGAATCTGCAAGTGGATATTTGGATAGCTGTGAAGATTTCGTTGGAAACGGGAATATCTTCCTATAAAATCTAGACAGAAGCATTCTCAGAAACTGCTCTGTGATGTCTGCATTCAAGTCACAGAGTTGAACATTGCCTTTCATAGAGCAGGTTTGAAACGCTCCTTTTCTATTATATGGAAGTGGATGTTTCGGACGGTTGGAGGCCCATGGTGATAAAGGGAATATCTTCCCCTACAAGCTAGAAAGAAGCATTCTGTGAAACTTGTTTGTGATGTGTGTACTCAACTAACAGAGTTGAACCTTTCTTTTTACAGAGCAGTTTTGAAACACTCTTTTTGTAGAATCTGCGAGGGGATATTTGGATAGATTTCAGGATTTCGTTGGAAACTGGAATATCTTCATATAAAATTTCGACAGAAGCATTCTCAGAAACTTCTTTGTGATATCTGCATTCAAGTAACAGAGTTGAATATTCCCTTTCACAGAGTAGGTTTGAAACACTCTTTTTGTAGTATCTGGAAGTGGACATTTGGAGCGCCTTGACGCCTACGGTGAAAAGGGAAATATCTTCCCATAAAAACTAGACAGAATCAATCTCAGAATCTTCTTTGGGATATATGCACGCAGCTAACAGAGTTGAACCTTTCTATTGACAGAGCAGTTTTGAAACAGTCTTTCTGTGGAATCTGCAAGTGGATATTTGGATAGCCTGGAGGATTTCGTTGGAAACGGGATTACGTATAAAAAGTAGACAGCAGCATCCTCAGAAACTTCTTTGTGATGTGTGCATTCAAGTCACAGAGTTGAACATTCCCTTTCGTACAGCAGCTTTGAAACACTCTTTCTGTAGTATCTGGAAGTGAACATTAGGACAGCTTTCAGGTCTATGGTGAGAAAGGAAATATCTTCAAATAAAAACTAGACAGAAGCATTCTCATAAACTTGTTTGTGATGTGTGAACTCAGCTAACAGAGGTGGATCTTTCTTTTGATAGAGCAGTTCTGAAAAACACTTTTTGTTGAAACTGCAAGTGGACATTTGGATAGATTTGAAGATTTCGTTGGAAACGGGAATATCTTCATATCAAATCTAGACAGAAGCATTCTCAGAAACGTCTTTGTGATGTTTGCATTCAACTCATAGAGTTGAACATTCCCTTTCAGAGAGCAGCTTTGAAGCACTCTTTTTGTAGCATTTGCAAGTGGACATTTGGAGCGCCCTGAGGCCTACGGGGAAAAAGCAAATATCTTCCCATAACCACTAGACAGAAACATTCTCAGAAACTCCTTTGTGACGTATGCACTCACCTAACAGAGAAGAACCTTCCTTTTGACAGAGCAGTTTTGATACACTCTTTTTGTAGAATCTGCAAGTGGATATTTGGATAGCTGTGAAGATTTCGTTGGAAACGGGAATATCTTCCTATAAAATCTAGACAGAAGCATTCTCAGAAACTGCTCTGTGATGTCTGCATTCAAGTCACAGAGTTGAACATTGCCTTTCATAGAGCAGGTTTGAAACCCTCTTTTTGTAGTATATGGAAGTGGACGTTTCGGACGGTCTGAGGCCCATGGTGATAAAGGGAATATCTTCCCCTACAAGCTAGAAAGAAGCATTCTGTGAAACTTGTTTGTGATGTGTGTACTCAACTAACAAAGTTGAACCTTTCTTTTTACAGAGCAGTTTTGAAACACTCTTTTTGTAGAATCTGCGAGGGGATATTTGGATACATTTCAGGATTTCGTTGGAAACGGGAATATCTTCATATAAAATCTCGACAGAAGCATTCTCAGAAACTTCTTTGTGATATGTGCATTCAAGTCACAGAGTTGAATATTCCCTTTCACAGAGTAGGTTTGAAACACTCTTTTTGTAGTATCTGGAAGTGGACATTTAGAGCGCCTTGACACCTACGGTGAAAAGGGAAATATCTTCCCATAAAAACTAGACAGAAGCAATCTCAGAATCTTCTTTGGGATATATGCACGCAGCTAACAGAGTTGAACCTTTCTATTGAGAGAGCACTTTTGAAACAGTCTTTCTGTGGAATCTGCAAGTGGATATTTGGATAGCTTGGAGGATTTCGTTGGAAACGGGATTACGTATAAAAAGTAGACAGCAGCATCCTCAGAAACTTCTTTGTGATGTGTGCATTCAAGTCACAGAGTTGAACTTTCCCTTTCGTACAGCAGTTTTGAAACACTCTTTCTGTAGTATCTGGAAGTGAACACTAGGACAGCTTTCAGGTCTATGGTGAGAAAGGAAATATCTTCAAATAAAAACTAGACAGAAACATTCTCATAAACCTGTTTGTGATGTGTGAACTCAGCTAACAGACGTGGATCTTTCTTTTGATACAGCAGTTTTGAAAAACACTTTTTGTTGAATCTGCAAGTGGACATTTGGATAGATTTGAAGATTTCGTTGGAAACGGGAATATCTTCATATCAAATCTAGACAGATAAGCATTGTCAGAAACGTCTTTGTGATGTTTGCATTCAACTCATAGAGTTGAACATTCCGTTTCAGAGAGCAGCTTTGAAGCACTCTTTTTGTAGTATGTGCAAGTGGATATTTGGAGCGCTCTGAGGCCTAAGGTGAAAAAGCAAATATCTTCCCATAACCACTAGACAGAAACATTCTCAGAAACTCCTTTATGACGTATGCACTCACCTAACAGAAAAGAACCTTCCTTTTGACAGAGCAGTTTTGATACACTCTTTTTGTAGAATCTGCAAGTGGATATTTGGATAGCTGTGAAGATTTCTTTGGAAACCGGAATATCTTCCTATAAAATCTAGACAGAAGCATTCTCAGAAACTGCTCTGTGATGTCTGCATTCAAGTCACAGAGTTGAACATTGCCTTTCATAGAGCAGGTTTGAAACGCTCTTTTTGTAGTATATGGAAGTGGACTTATTGGACGGTTGGAGGCCCATGGTGATAAAGGGAATATCTTCCCCTACAAGCTAGAAAGAAGCATTCTGTGAAACTTGTTTGTGATGTGTGTACTCAACTAACAGAGTTGAACCTTTCTTTTTACAGAGCAGTTTTGAAACACTCTTTTTGTAGAATCTGCGAGGGGATATTTGGATAGATTTCAGGATTTCGTTGGAAACGGGAATATCTTCATATAAAATATCGACAGAAGCATTCTCAGAAACTTCTTTGTGATATCTGCATTCAAGTCACAGAGTTGAATATTCCCTTTCACAGAGAAGGTTTGAAGCACTCTTTTTGTAATATCTGGAAGTGGACATTTGGAGCGCCTTGACGCCTACGGTGAAAAGGGAAATATCTTCCCATAAAAACTAGACAGAAGCAATCTCAGAATCTTCTTTGGGATATATGTACGCAGCTAATAGAGTTGAACCTTTCTATTGACAGAGCAGTTTTGAAACAGTCTTTCTGTGGAATCTGCAAGTGGATATTTGGATAGCTTGGAGGATTTCGTTGGAAACGGGATTATGTATAAAAAGTAGACAGCAGCATCCTCAGAAACTTCTTTGTGATGTGTTCATTCAAGTCACAGAGTTGAACATTCCCTTTCGTACAGCAGTTTTGAAACACTCTTTCTGTAGTATCTGGAAGTGAACATTAGGACAGCTTTCAGGTCTATGGTGAGAAAGGCAATATCTTCAAATAAAAACTAGACAGAAGGTTTCTCATAAACCTGTTTGTGATGTGTGAACTCAGCTAACAGACGTGGATCTTTCTTTTGATACAGCAGTTTTGAAAAACACTTTTTGTTGAATCTGCAAGAGGACATTTGGATAGATTTGAAGATTTCGTTGGAAACGGGAATATCTTCCTATCAAATCTAGACAGAAGCATTCTCAGAAACGTCTTTGTCATGTTTGCATTCAACTCATAGAGTTGAACATTCCCTTTCAGAGAGCAGCTTTGGAACACTCTTTTTGTAGTATGTGCAAGTGGATATTTGGAGCGCTCTGAGGCCTACGGTGAAAAAGCAAATATCTTCCCATAACCACTAGACAGAAACATTCTCAGAAACTCCTTTATGACGTATGCACTCACCTAACAGAGAAGAACCTTCCTTTTGACAGAGCAGTTTTGATACACTCTTTTTGTAGAATCTGCAAGTGGATCTTTGGATAGCTGTGAAGATTTCGTTGGAATCGGGAATATCTTCCTACAAAATCTAGACAGAAGCATTCTCAGAAACTGCTCTGTGATGTCTGCATTCAAGTCACAGAGTTGAACATTGCCTTTCATAGAGCAGGTTTGAAACGCTCTTTTTGTAGTATATGGAAGTGGACGTTTCGGACGGTTTGAGGCCCATGGTGATAAAGGGAATATCTTACCCTACAAGCTAGAAAGAGAGCATTCTGTGAAACTTGTTTGTGATGTGTGTACTCAACTAACAGAGTTGAACCTTTCTTTTTACAGAGCAGTTTTGAAACACTCTTTTTGTAGAATCTGCGAGGGGATATTTGGATAGATTTCAGGATTTCGTTGGAAACGGGAATATCTTTATATAAAATCTCGACAGAGCATTCTCAGAAACTTCTTTGTGATATCTGCATTCCAGTCACAGAGTTGAATATTCCCTTTCACAGAGTAGGTTTGAAACACTCTTTTTATAGTATCTGGAATTGGACATTTGGAGCGCCTTGACGCCTACGGTGAAAAGGGAAATATCTTCCCATAAAAACTAGACAGAAGCAATCTCAGAATCTTCTTTGGGATATACGCACGCAGCTAACAGAGTTGAACCTTTCTATTGACAGAGCAGTTTTGAAACAGTCTTTCTGTGGAATCTGCAAGTGGATATTTGGATAGATTGGAGGATTTCGTTGGAAACGGGATTACGTATAAAAAGTAGACAGCAGCATCCTCAGAAACTACTTTGTGATGTGTGCATTCAAGTCACAGAGTTGAAAATTCCCTTTCGTACAGCAGTTTTGAAACACTCTTTCTGTAGTATCTGGAAGTGAACTTTAGGACAGCTTTCAGGTCTATAGTGAGAAAGGATATATCTTCAAATAAAAACTAGACAGAAGCATTCTCATAAACGTGTTTGTGATGTGTGTACTCAGCTAACAGACGTGGATCTTTCTTTTGATACAGCAGTTTTGAAAAACACTTTTTGTTGAATCTGCAAGTGGACATTTGGATAGATATGAAGATTTCGTTGGAAACGGGAATATCTTCATATCAAATCTAGACAGAAGCATTCTCAGAAACGTCTTTGCGATGTTTGCATTCAACTCATAGAGTTGAACATTCCGTTTCAGAGAGCAGCTTTGAAGCACTCTTTTTGTAGTATGTGCAAGTGGATATTTGGAGGGCTCTGAGGCCTACGGTGAAAAAGCAAATATCTTCCCATAACCACTAGACAGAAACATTCTCAGAAACTCCTTTATGACGTGTGCACTTACCTAACAGAGAAGAACCTTCCTTTTGACAGAGCAGTTTTGATACACTCTTTTTGTAGAATCTGCAAGTGGATATTTGGATAGCTGTGAAGATTTCGTTGGAAACGGGAATATCTTCCTATAAAATCTAGACAGAAGCATTCTCAGAAACTGCTCTGTGATGTCTGCATTCAAGTCACAGAGTTGAACATTGCCTTTCCTAGAGCAGGTTTGAAACGCTCTTTTTGTAGTATATGGAAGTGGACTTATCGGACGGATTGAGGCCCATGGTGATAAAGGGAATATCTTCCCCTACAAGCTAGAAAGAAGCATTGTGTGAAACTTGTTTGTGATGTGTGTACTCAACTAACAGAGTTGAACCTTTCTTTTTACAGAGCAGTTTTAAAACACTCTTTTTGTAGAATCTGCGAGGGGATATTTGGATAGATTTCAGGATTTCGTTGGAAACGGGAACATCTTCATAGAAAATCTCGACAGAAGCATTCTCAGAAGCTTCTTTGTGATATGTGCATTCAAGTCACAGAGTTGAATATTCCCTTTCACAGAGTAGGTTTGAAACACTCTTTTTGTAGTATCTGAAGTGGACATTTGGAGCGCCTTGACGCCTACGGTGAAAAGGGAAATATCTTCTCATAAAAAGTAGACAGAAGCAATCTCAGAATCTTCCTTGGGATATATGTACGCAGCTAACAGAGTTGAAACTTGCTATTGACAGAGCAGTTTTGAAACAGTCTTTCTGTGGAATCTGCAAGTGGATATTTGGATAGCTTGGAGGATTTCGTTGGAAACGGGATTACGTATAAAAAGTAGACAGCAGCATCCTCAGAAACTTCTTTGTGATGTGTTCATTCAAGTCACAGAGTTGAACATTCCCTTTCGTACAGCAGTTTTGAAACACTCTTTCTGTAGTATCTGGAAGTGAACATTAGGACAGCTTTCAGGTCTATGGTGAGAAAGGAAATATCTTCAAATAAAAACTAGACAGAAGCATTCTCATAAACTTGTTTGTGATGTGTGAACTCAGCTAACAGAGGTGGATCTTTCTTTTGATAGAGCAGTTCTGAAAAACACTTTTTGTTGAATCTGCAAGTGGACATTTGGATAGATTTGAAGATTTCGTTGGAAACGGGAATATCTTCATATCAAATCCAGACAGAAGCATTCTCAGAAACGTCTTTGAGATGTTTGCATTCAACTCATAGAGTTGAACATTCCCTTTCAGAGAGCAGCTTTGAAGCACTCTTTTTGTAGTATGTGGAAGTGGATATTTGGAGCAGCTCTGAGGCCTACGGTGAAAAATCAAATATCTTCCCATAACCACTAGACAGAAGCATTCTGTGAAACTTGTTTGTGATGTGTGTACTCAACTAACAGAGTTGAACCTTTCTTTTTACAGAGCAGTTTTGAAACACTCTTTTTGTAGAATCTGCGAGGGGTTATTTGGATAGATTTCAGGATTTCGTTGGAAACGGGAATATCTTCCTATAAAATCTAGACAGAAGCATTCTCAGAAACTGCTCTGTGATGTCTGCATTCAAGTCACAGAGTTGAACATTGCCTTTCATAGAGCAGGTTTGACACGCTCTTTTTGTAGTATATGGAAGTGGACGTTTCGGACGGTTTGAGGCCCATGGTGATAAAGGGAATATGCTTCCCCTACTAGCTAGAAAGAAGCATTGTGTGAAACTTGTTTGTGATGTGTGTACTCAACTAACAGAGTTGAACCTTTCTTTTTACAGAGCAGTTTTGATACACTCTTTTTGTAGAATCTGCGAGGGGATATTTGGATAGATTTCAGGATTTCGTTGGAAACGGGAATATCTTCATATAAAATCTCGACAGAAGCATTCTCAGAAACTTCTTTGTGATATGTGCATTCAAGTCACAGAGTTGAATATTCGCTTTCACAGAGTAGGTTTGAAACACTCTTTTTGTAGTATCTGGAAGTGGACATTTGGAGCGCCTTGACACCTACGGTGAAAAGGAAAATATCTTCCCATAAAAACTAGACAGAAAGCAATCTCAGAATCTTCTTTGGGATATATGCACGCAGCTAACAGAGTTGAACCTTTCTATTGACAGAGCAGTTTTGAAACAGTCTTTCTGTGGAATCTGCAAGTGGATATTTGGAAAGCTTGGAGGATTTCGTTGGAAACGGGATTAAGTATAAAAAGTAGACAGCAGCATCCTCAGAAACTTCTTTGTGATGTGTGCATTCAAGTCACAGAGTTGAACATTCCCTTTCGTACAGCAGTTTTGAAACACTCTTTCTGTAGTATCTGGAAGTGAACATTAGTACAGCTTTCAGGTCTATGGTGAGAAAGGCAATATCTTCAAATAAAAACTAGACAGAAGCATTCTCAAAAACTTGTTTGGGAAGTGTGAACTCAGGTAACAGAGGTGGATCTTTATTTTGATAGAGCAGTTCTGAAAAACACTTTTTGTTGAATCTGCAAGTGGACATTTGGATAGATTTGAAGATTTCGTTGGAAACGGGAATATCTTCATATCAAATCTAGACAGAAGCATTCTCAGAAACGTCTTTGTGATGTTTGCATGCAACTCATAGAGTTGAACATTCCGTTTCAGAGAGCAGCTTTGAAGCACTCTTTTTGTAGTATGCGCAAGTGGATATTTGGAGCGCTCTGAGGCCTACGGTGAAAAAGCAAATATCTTCCCATAACCACTAGACAGAAACATTCTCAGAAACTTCTTTATGACGTATGTACTGAACTAGCAGAGAAGAACTGTCCTCTTGACAGAGCATTTTTGATACACTCTTTTTGTAGTATCAGCAAGTGGATATTTGGATAGATGTGAAGATTTCGTTGGAATCGGGAATATCTTCCTATAAAGTCCGGACAGAAGCATTCTCAGAAACTGCTCTGTGATGTCTGTATTCAAGTCACAGAGTTGAACATTGCCTTTCATAGAGCAGGTTTGAAATGCTCTTTTTGCAGTATATGGAAGTGGACGTTTCAGACGGTTTGAGGCCCATGGTGATAAAGGGAATATCTTCCCCTACAAGCTAGAAAGAAGCATTCTGTGAAACTTGTTGGTGATGTGTGTACTCAACTAACAGAGTTGAACCTTTCTTTTTACAGAGCAGTTTTGAAACACTCTTTTTGTAGAATCTGCGAGGGGATATTTGGATAGATTTCAGGATTTCGTTGGAAACGGGAATATCTTCATATAAAATCTCGACAGAAGCATTCTCAGAAACTTCCTTGTGATATGTGCATTCAAGTCACAGAGTTGAATATTCCCTTTCACAGAGTAGGTTTGAAACACTCTTTTTGTAGTATCTGGAAGTGGACATTTGGAGCGCCTTGACGCCCACGGTGAAAAGGGAAATATCTTCCCATAAAAACTAGACAAAAGCAATCTCAGAATCTTCTTTGGGATATATGCACGCAGCTAACAGAGTTGAACCTTTCTATTGACAGAGCAGTTTTGAAACAGTCTTTCTGAGGAATCTGCAAGTGGATATTTGGATAGCTTGGAGGATTTCGTTGGAAACGGTATTATGTATAAAAAGTAGACAGCAGCATCCTCAGAAACTTCTTTGTGATGTGTGCATTCAAGTAACAGAGTTGAACATTCCCTTTCGTACAGCAGTTTTGAAACACTCTTTCTGTAGTATCTGGAAGTGAACATTAGGACAGCTTTCAGCTCTATGGTGAGAAAGGAAATATCTTCAAATAAAAACTAGACAGAAGCATTCTCATAAACTTGTTTGTGATGTCTGAACTCAGCTAACAGAGGTGGATCTTTCTTTTGATAGAGCAGTTCTGAAAAACACTTTTTGTTGAATCTGCAAGTGGACATTTGGATAGATTTGAAGATTTCGTTGGAAACGGGAATATCTTCATATCAAATCTACACAGAAGCATTCTCAGAAACGTCTTTGTGATGTTTGCATTCAACTCATAGAGTTGAACATTCCGTTTCAGAGACCAGCTTTGAAGCACTCTTTTTGTAGGATGTGCAAGTGGATATTTGGAGCGCTCTGAGGCCTACGGTGTAAAAGCAAATATCTTCCCATAACCACTAGACAGAAACATTCTCAGAAACTCCTTTATGACGTATGCACTCACCTAACAGAGAAGAACCTTCCTTTTGACAGAGCAGTTTTGATACACACTTTTTGTAGAATCTGCAAGTGGATATTTGGATAGCTGTGAAGATTTCGTTGGAAACGGAAATATCTTCCTATAAAATCTAGACAGAAGCATTCTCAGCAAACTGCTCTGTGATGTCTGCATTCAAGTCACAGAGTTGAACATTGCTTTTCCTAGAGCAGGTTTGAAACGCTCTTTTTGTAGTATATGGAAGTGGACGTTTCGGACGGTTTGAGGCCCATGGTGATAAAGGGAATATCTTCCCCTACAAGCTAGAAAGAAGCATTCTGTGAAACTTGTTTGTGATGTGTGTACTCAACTAACAGAGTTGAACCTTTCTTTTACAGAGCAGTTTTGAAACACTCTTTTTGTAGAATCTGCGAGGGGATATTTGGATAGATTTCAAGATTTCGTTGGGAACGGGAATATCTTCATATAAAATCTCGACAGAAGCATTCTCAGAAACTTCTTTGTGATATCTGCATTCAAGTCACAGAGTTGAATATTCCCTTTCACAGAGAAGGTTTGAAACACTCTTTTTGTAGTATCTGGAAGTGGACATTTGGAGCGCCTTGACGCCTACGGTGGAAAGGGAAATATCTTCCCATAAAAACTAGACAGAAAGCATCTCAGAATCTTCTTTGGGATATATGCACGCAGCTAACAGAGTTGAACCTTTCTATTGACAGAGCAGTTTTGAAACAGTCTTTCTGTGGAATCTGCAAGTGGATATTTGGATAGCTTGGAGGATTTCGTTGGAAACGGGATTACGTATAAAAAGTAGACAGAGCATCCTCAGAAACTTCTTTGTGATGTGTGCATTCAAGTCACAGAGTTGAGCATTCCCTTTCGTACAGCAGTTTTGAAACACTCTTTCTGTAGTATCTGGAAGTGAACATTAGGACAGCTTTCATCTCTATGGTGAGAAAGGAAATATCTTCAAATAAAAACTAGACAGAAAGCATTCTCATAAACTTGTTTGTGATGTGTGAACTCAGCTAACACACGTGGATCTTTCTTTTGATACAGCAGTTTTGAAAAACACTTTTTGTTGAATCTGCAAGTGGACATTTGGATAGATATGAAGATTTCGTTGGAAACGGGAATATCTTCATATCAAATCTAGACAGAAGCATTCTCAGAAACGTCTTTGTGATGTTTGCATTCAACTCATAGAGTTGAACATTCCGTTTCAGAGAGCAGCTTTGAAGCACTCTTTTTGTAGTATGTGCAAGTGGACATTTGGAGCGCTTTGAGGCCTACGGTGAAAAAGCAAATATCTTCCCATAACCACTAGACAGAAAACATTCTCAGAAACTCCTGTATGACGTATGCACTCACCTAACAGAGAAGAACCTTCCTTTTGACAGAGCAGTTTTGATACACTCTTTTTGTAGAATCTGCAAGTGGATATTTGGATAGCTGTGAAGCTTTCGTTGGAAACGGGAATATCTCCCTATAAAATCTAGACAGAAGCATTCTCAGAAACTTCTCTGTGATGTCTGCATTCAAGTCACAGAGTTGAACATTGCCTTTCATAGAGCAGGTTTCAAACACTCTTTTTTTAGTATATGGAAGTGGACGTTTCGGACGGTTTGAGGCCCATGGTGATAAAGGAAATATCTTCCCCTACAAGCTAGAAAGAAAGCATTCTGTGAAACTTGTTTGTGATGTGTGTACTCAACTAACAGAGTTGAACCTTTCTTTTTACAGAGCAGTTTTGAAACACTCTTTTTGTAGAATCTGCGAGGGGATATTTGGATACATTTCAGGATTTCGTTGGAAAGGGGAATATCTTCATATAAAATCTCGACAGAAGCATTCTCAGAAACTTCTTTGTGATATCTGCATTCAAGTCACAGAGTTGAATATTCCCTTTCACAGAGTAGGTTTGAAACACTCTTTTTGTAGTATCTGGAAGTGGACATTTGGAGCGCCCTGACGCCTACGGTGAAAAGAGAAATATCTTCCCATAAAAACTAGACAGAAGCAATCTCAGAATCTTCTTTGGGATATATGCACGCAGCTAACAGAGTTGAACCTTTCTATTGACAGAGCAGTTTTGAAACAGTCTTTCTGTGGAATCTGCAAGTGGATATTTGGATAGCTTGGAGGATTTCGTTGGAAACGGGAATACGTATAAAAAGTAGACAGCAGCATCCTCAGAAACTTCTTTGTGATGTCTGCATTCAAGTCACAGAGTTGAACATTCCCTTTCGTACAGCAGTTTTGAAACACTCTTTCTGTAGTATCTGGAAGTGAACATTAGGAGAGCTTTCAGGTCTATGGTGAGAAAGGAAATATCTTCAAATAAAAACTAGACAGAAGCATTCTCATAAACTTGTTTGTGATGTGTGAACTCAGCTAACAGAGGTGGATCTTTCTTTTGATAGAGCAGTTCTGAAAAACACTTTTTGCTGAATCTGCAAGTGGACATTTGGATAGATTTGAAGATTTCGTTGGAAACGGGAATATCTTCATATCAAATCTAGACAGAAGCATTCTCAGAAACGGCTTTGTGATGTTTGCATTCAACTCATAGAGTTGAAAATTCCCTTTCAGAGAGCAGCTTTGAAGCACTCTTTTTGTAGTATGTGCAAGTGGATATTTGGAGCGCTCTGAGGCCTACGGTGAAAAAGCAAATATCTTCCCATAACCACTAGACAGAAACATTCTCAGAAACTCCTTTATGACGTATGCACTCACCTAACAGAAAAGAACCTTCCTTTTGACAGGGCAGTTTTGATACACTCTTTTTGTAGAATCTGCAAGTGGATATTTGGATAGCTGTGAAGATTTCGTTGGAAACGGGAATATCTTCCTATAAAATCTAGACAGAAGCATTCTCAGAAACTGCTCTGCGATGTCTGCATTCAAGTCACAGAGTTGAACATTGCCTTTCATAGAGCAGGTTTGAAACGCTCTTTTTGTAGTATATGGAAGTGGACTTATCGGACGGTTTGAGGCCCATGGTGATAAAGGGAATATCTTCCCCTACAAGCTAGAAAGAAGCATTCTGTGAAACTTGTTTGTGATGTGTGTACTCAACTAACAGAGTTGAACCTTTCTTTTTACAGAGCAGTTTTGAAACACTCTTTTTGTAGAATCTGCGAGGGGATATTTGGATACATTTCAGGATTTCGTTGGAAACGGGAATATCTTCATATAAAATCCTCGACAGAAGCATTCTCAGAAGCTTCTTTGTGATATGTGCATTCAAGTCACAGAGTTGAATATTCCCTTTCACAGAGTAGGTTTGAAACACCCTTTTTCTAGTATCTGGAAGTGGACATTTGGAGCGCCTTGACGCCTACAGTGAAAAGGGAAATATCTTCTCATAAAAAGTAGACAGAAGCAATCTCAGAATCTCCTTTGGGATATATGCACGCAGCTAACAGAGTTGAACCTTTCTATTGACAGACCAGTTTTGAAACAGTCTTTCTGTGGAATCTGCAAGTGGATATTTGGATAGCTTGGAGGATTTCGTTGGAAACGGGATTACGTATAAAAAGTAGACAGCAGCATCCTCAGAAACTTCTTTGTGATGTGTGCATTCAAGTCACAGAGTTGAACATTCCCTTTCATACATCAGTTTTGAAACACTCTTTCTGTAGTATCTGGAAGTGAATTTTAGGAGAGCTTTCATGTCTATAGTTGGAAAGGATATATCTTCAAATAAAAACTAGACAGAAGCATTCTCATAAACTTCTTTGTGATGTGTGAACTCAGCTAACCAAGGTGGATCTTTCTTTTGATAGAGCAGTTCTGAAAAACACTTTTTGTTGAATCTGCAAGTGGACATTTGGATAGATTTGAAGGTTTCGTTGGAAACGGGAATATCTTCATATCAAATCTAGACAGAAGCATTCTCAGAGACGTCTTTGTGATGTTTGCATTCAACTCATAGAGTTGAACATTCCCTTCCAGAGAGTAGCTTTGAAGCACTCTTTTTGTAGCATGTGCAAGTGGACATTTGGAGCGCCCTGAGGCCTACGGGGAAAAAGCAAATATCTTCCCATAACCACTAGACAGAAACATTCTCAGAAACTTCTTTCTGACGTATGTACTCAACTAACAGAGAAGAACCTACCTTTTGACAGAGCATTTTTGATACACTCTTTTTGTAGAATATGCAAGTGGATATTTGGATAGCTCTGAAGATTTCTTTGGAAACGGGAATATCTTCATATCAAATCTAGACAGAAGCATTCTCAGAAACTGCTCTGTGATGTCTGCATTCAAGTCACAGAGTTGAACATTGCCTTTCAGAGACCAGGTTTGAAACGCTCTTTTTGTAGTATATGGAAGTGGATGTTTCGGACGGTTGGAGGCCCATGGTGATAAAGGGAATATCTTCCCCTACAAGCTAGAAAGAAGCATTCTGTGAAACTTGTTTGTGATGTGTGTACTCAACTAAAAGAGTTGAACCTTTCTTTTCACAGAGCAGTTTTGAAACACTCTTTTTGTAGAATCTGCGAGCGGATATTTGGATAGATTTCAGGATTTCGTTGGAAACGGGAATATCTTCATATAAAATCTCGACAGAAGCATTCTCAGAAACTTCTTTGTGACATCTGCCTTTAAGTCACAGAGTTGAATATTCCCTTTCACAGAGTAGGTTTGAAGCACTCTTTTTGTAGTATCTGGAAGTGGACATTTGGAGCGCCTTGACACCTACGGTGAAAAGGGAAATATCTTCCCATAAAAACTAGACAGAAGCAATTTCAGAATCTTCTTTGGGATATATGCACGCAGCTAACAGAGTTGAACCTTTCTATTGACAGAGCAGTTTTGAAACAGTCTTTCTGTGGAATCTGCAAGTGGATATTTGGATAGTTGGAGGATTTCGTTGGAAACGGGATTACGTATAAAAAGTAGACAGCAGCATCCTCAGAAACATCCTTGTGATGTGTGCATTCAAGTCACAGAGTTGAACATTCCCTTTCGTACAGCAGTGTTGAAATACTCTTTCTGTAGTATCTGGAAGTGAACTTTAGGACAGCTTTCAGGTCTATAGTGAGAAAGGATATATCTTCAAATAAAAACTAGACAGAAGCATTCTCATAAACTTGTTTGTTATGTGTGAACTCAGCTAACACACGTGGATCTTTCTTTTGATAGAGCAGTTCTGAAAAACAATTTTTGTTGAATCTGCAAGTGGACATTTGGATAGATTTGAAGATTTCCTTGGAAACGGGAATATCTTCATATCAAATCTAGACAGAAGCATTCTCAGAAACGTCTTTGTCATGTTTGCATTCAACTCATAGAGTTGAACATTCCCTTTCAGAGAGCAGCTTTGAAAGACTCTTTTTGTAGTATGTGCAAGTGGATATTTGGAGCGCTCTGAGGCCAACGGTGAAAAAGCAAATATCTTCCCATAACCACTAGACAGAAACATTCTCAGAAACTCCTTTATGACGTATGCACTCACCTAACAGAGAAGAACCTTCCTTTTGACAGAGCAGTTTTGATACACTCTTTTTGTAGAATCTGCAAGTGGATATTTGAATAGCATTGAAGATTTCGTTGGAAACGGGAATATCTTCCTATAAAATCTAGACAGCAGCATTCTCAGAAACTGCTCTGTGATGTCTGCATTCAAGTCACAGAGTTGAACGTTGCCTTTCATAGAGTAGGTTTCAAACACTCTTTTTTTAGTATATGGAAGAGCACGTTTCGGACGGATTGAGGACCATGGTGATAAAGGAAATATCTTCCCCTACAAGCTAGAAAGAAGCATTCTGTGATACTTGTTTGTGATGTGTGTACTCAACTAACAGAGTTGAACCTTTCTTTTTACAGAGCAGTTTTGAAACACTCTTTTTGTAGAATCTGCGAGGGGATATTTGGATAGATTTCAGAATTTCGTTGGAAACGGGAATATCTTCATATAAAATCTCGACAGAAGCATTCTCAGAAACTTCTTTGTGATATGTGCATTCAAGTCACAGAGTTGAATATTCCCTTTCACAGAGTAGGTTTGAAACACTCTTTTTGTAGTATCTGGAAGTGGACATTTGGAGAGCCTTGACGCCTACGGTGAAAAGGGAAATATCTTCCCATAAAAACTAGACAGAAGCAATCTCAGAATCTTCTTTGGGATATATGCACGCAGCTAACAGAGTTGAACATTTCTATTGACAGAGCAGTTTTGAAACAGTCTTTCTGTGGAATCTGCAAGTGGATATTTGGATAGCTTGGAGGATTTTGTTGGAAACGGGATTACGTATAAAAAGTAGACAGCAGCATCCTCAGCAAACTTCTTTGTGATGTGTGCATTCAAGTCACAGAGTTGAACATTCCCTTTCGTACAGCAGTTTTGAAACACTCTTTCTGTAGTAACTGGAAGTGAACATTAGGACAGCTTTCAGGTCTATGGTGAGAAAGGAAATATCTTCAAATAAAAACTAGACAAAAGCATTCTCATAAACTTGTTTGTGATGTGTGAACTCAGCTAACAGAGATGGATCTTTCTTTTGATAGAGCAGTTCTGAAAAACACTTTTTGTTGAATCTGCAGGTGGACATTTGGATAGATTTGAAGATTTCGTTGGAAACGGGAATATCTTCATATCAAATCTAGGCAGAAGCATTCTCGGAAACGTCTTTGTGATGTTTGCATTCAACTCATAGAGTTGAACATTCCGTTTCAGAGAGCAGCTTTGAGGCACTCATTTTGTAGTATGTGCAAGTGGATATCTGGAGTGCTCTGAAGCCTTTGGTGAAAAAGCAAATATCTTCCCATAACCACCAGACAGAAACATTCTCAGAAACTCCTTTATGACGTATGCACTCACCTAACAGAGAAGGACCTTCCTTTTGACAGAGCACTTTTGATACACTCTTTTTGTAGAATCTGCAAGTGGATATTGGGATAGCTGTGAAGATTTCATTGGAAACGGGAATATCTTCCTATAAAATCTAGACAGAAGCATTCTCAGAAACTGCTCTGTGATGTCTGCATTCATGTCACGGAGTTGACCATTGCCTTTCATAGAGCAGGTTTGAAACGCTCTTTTTGTAGTATATGGAAGTGGACGTTTCGGACGGTTTGAGGCCCATGGTGATAAAGGGAATATCTTCCCCTACAAGCTAGAAAGAATCATTCTGTGAAACTTGTTTGTGATGTGTGTACTCAAGTAACAGAGTTGAACCTTTCTTTTTACAGAGCAGTTTTGAAACACTCTTTTTGTAGAATCTGCGAGGGGATATTTGGAGAGATTTCAGGATTTCGTGGGAAACGGGAATATCTTCATATAAAATCTCGACAGAAGCATTCTCAGAATCTTCTTTGTGATATCTGCATTCAAGTCACAGAGTTGAATATTCCCTTTCACAGAGTAGGTTTGAAACACTCTTTTTGTAGTATCTGGAAGTGGACATTTGGAGCGCCTTGACGCCTACGGTGAAAAGGGAAATATCTTCCCATAAAAACTAGACAGAAGCAATCTCAGAATCTTCTTTGGGATATATGCACGCAGTTTACAGAGTTGAACCTTTCTATTGACAGAGCAGTTTTGAAACAGTCTTTCTGTGGAATCTGCAAGTGGATATTTGGATAGCTTGGAGGATTTCGTTGGAAACGGGATTACGTATAAAAAGTAGACAGCAGCATTCTCAGAAACTTCGTTGTGATGTGTGCATTCATGTCACAGAGTTCAACATTCCCTTTCATACAGCAGGTTTCAAACACTCTTTCTGTAGTATCTGGAAGTGAACATTATGAGAGTTTTCAGGTCTGCGGTGAGAAAGGAAATATCTAAAAATAAAAACTAGACAGGAAGCATTCTCATAAACTTGTTTGTGATGTCTGAACTCAGCTAACAGAGGTGGATCTTTCTTTTGATAGAGCAGTTCTGAAAAACACTTTTTGTTGAGTCTGCAAGTGGACATTTGGATAGATTTGAAGATTTCGTTGGAAACGGGAATATCTTCATATCAAATCTAGACAGAAGCATTCTCAGAAACGTCTTTGTGATGTTTACATTCAACTCATAGAGTTGAACATTCCCTTTCAGAGAGCAGCTTTGAAGCACTCTTTTTGTAGCATGTGCAAGTGGACATTTGGAGCGCTCTGAGGCCTACGGGGAAAAAGCAAATATCTTCCCATAACCACTAGACAGAAAACATTCTCAGAAACTCCTTTATGACGTATGCACTCACCTAGCAGAGAAGAACCTTCCTTTTGACAGAGCAGTTTTGATACACTCTTTTTGTAGAATCTGCAAGTGGATATTTGGATAGCTGTGAAGATTTCGTCGGAAACGGGAATATCTTCCTATAAAATCTTGACAGAAGCATTCTCAGAAACTGCTCTGTGATGTCTGCATTCAAGTCACAGAGTTGAACATTGTCTTTCATAGAGCAGGTTTGAAACGCTCTTTTTGTAGTATATGGAAGTAGACGTTTCGGACGGTTTGAGGCCCATGGTGATAAAGGGAATATCTTCCCCTACAAGCTAGAAAGAAGCATTCTGTGAAACTTGTTTGTGAGGTGTGTACTCAACTAACAGAGTTGAACCTTTCTTTTTACAGAGCAGTTTTGAAACACTCTTTTTGTAGAATATGTGAGGGGATATTTGGATAGATTTCAGGATTTCGTTGGAAACGGGAATATCTTCATATAAAATCTCGACAGAAGCATTCGCAGAAACTTCTTCGTGATATGTGCATTCAAGTCACAGAGTTGAATATTCCCTTTCACAGAGTAGGTTTGAAACACTCTTTTTGTAGTATCTGGAAGTGGACATTTGGAGCGCCTTGATGCCTATGGTGAAAAGGGAAATATCTTCCCATAAAAACTAGACAGAAGCAACCTCAGAATCTTCTTTGGGATGTATGCACCCAGCTAACAGAGGTGAACCTTTCTATTGACAGAGCAGTTTTGAAACACTCTTTTTGTGGAATCTGCAAGTGGATATTTGGATAGCTTGGAGGATTTCGTTGGAAACGGGATTACGTATACAAAGTAGACAGCAGCATCCTCAGAAACATCCTTGTGATGTGTGCATTGAAGTCACAGAGTTGAACATTCCCTTTCGTACAGCAGTTTTGAAACACTCTTTCTGTAGTATCTGGAAGTGAACTTTAGGACAGCTTTCAGGTCTATAGTGAGAAAGGATATATCTTCAAATAAAAACTAGACAGATAAGCATTCTCATAAACTTGTTTGTGATGTGTGAACTCAGCTAACAGAGGTGGATCTTTCTTTTGATAGAGCAGTTCTGAAAAACACTTTTTGTTGAATCTGCAAGTGGACATTTGGATAGATTTGAATATTTCGTTGGAAACGGGAATATCGTCATATCAAATCTAGACAGAAGCATTCTCAGAAACGTCTTTGCGATGTTTGCATTCAACTCATAGAGTTGAACATTCCGTTTCAGAGAGCAGCTTTGAAGCACTCTTTTTGTAGTATGTGCAAGTGGATATTTGGAGCGCTCTGAGGCCTACGGTGAAAAAGCAAATATCTTCTCATAACCACTAGACAGAAACATTCTCAGAAACTCCTTTATGACGTATGTACTCAACTAACAGGAGAAGAACCTTCCTTTTGACAGAGCAGTTTTGATACACTCTTTTTGTGGAATCTGCAAGTGGATATTTGGATAGCTGTGAAGATTTCGTTGGAAACGGGAATATCTTCCTATAAAATCTAGACAGAAAGCATTCTCAGAAACTGCTCTGTGATGTCTGCATTCAAGTCACAGAGTTGAACATTGCCGTTCATAGAGCAGGTTTGAAACACTCTTTTTGTAGTATATGGAAGTGGACGTTTCGGACGGTTTGAGGCCCATGGTGATAAAGGGAATATCTTCCCCTACAAGCTAGAAAGAGCATTCTGTGAAACTTGTTTGTGATGTGTGTACTCAACTAACAGAGTTGAACCTTTCTTTTTACAGAGCAGTTTTGAAACACTCTTTTTGTAGAATCTGCGAGGGGATATTTGGATAGATTTCAGGATTTCGTTGGAAAGGGGAATATCTTCATATAAAATCTTGACAGAAGCATTCTCTGAAACTTCTTTGTGATATGTGCATTCAAGTCACAGAGTTCAATATTCCCTATCACAGAGTAGGTTTGAAACACTCTTTTTGTAGTATCTGAAGTGGACATTTGGAGCGCCTTGACGCCTACGGTGAAAAGGGAAATATCTTCTCATAAAAAGTAGACAGAAGCAATCTCAGAATCTTCTTTGGGATATATGTACGCAGCTAATAGAGTTGAACCTTTCTATTGACAGAGCAGTTTTGAAACAGTCTTTCTGTGGAATCTGTAAGTGGATATTTGGATAGCTTGGAGGATTTCGTTGGAAACGGGATTACGTATAAAAAGTAGACAGCAGCATCCTCAGAAACAACCTTGTGATGTGTGCATTCAAGTCACAGAGTTGAACATTCCCTTTCGTACAGCAGTTTTGAAACACTCTTTCTGTAGTATCTGGAAGTGAACTTTAGGAGAGCTTTCAGGTCTATAGTGAGAAAGGATATATCTTCAAATAAAAACTAGACAGAAGCATTCTGATAAACTTGTTTGTGAAGTGTGATCTCAGCTAACAGAGGTGGATCTTTCTTTTGATAGAGCAGTTCTGAAAAACATTTTGTTGAATCTGCAAGTGGACATTTGGATAGATTTGAAGATTTCGTTGGAAACGGGAATATCTTCATATCAAATCTAGACAGAAGCATTCTCAGAAACGTCTTTGTGATGTTTGCATTCAACCCATAGAGTTGAACATTCTGTTACAGAGAGCAGCTTTGAAGCGCTCTTTTTGTAGTATGTGCAAGTGGATATTTTGAGCGCTCTGAGGCCTAAGGTGAAAAAGCAAATATCTTCCCATAACCACTAGACAGAAACATTCTCAGAAACTCCTTTATGACGTATGCACTCACATAACAGAGAAGAACCTTCCTTTTGACAGAGCAGTTTTGATACACTCTTTTTGTAGAATCTGCAAGTGGATATTTGGATAGCTGTGAAGATTTCGTTGGAAACGGGAATATCTTCCTATAAAATCTAGACAGAAGCATTCTCAGAAACTGCTCTGTGATGTCTGCATTCAACTCACAGAGTTGAACATTGCCGTTCATAGAGCAGGTTTGAAACACTCTTTTTGTAGTATATGGAAGTGGACGTTTCGGACGGTTTGAGGCCCATGGTGATAAAGGGAATATCTTCCCATACAAGCTAGAAAGAAACATTCTCAGAAACTCCTTTATGACGTATGTACTCAACTAACAGAGAAGAACCTTCCTTTTGACAGAGCAGTTTTGAAACACTCTTTTTGTAGAATCTGCGAGGGGATATTTGGATAGCTTTCAGGATTTCATTGGAAACGGGAATATCTTCATATAAAATCTCGACAGAAGCATTCTCAGAAACTTCTTTGTGATATCTGCATTCAAGTCACAGAGTTGAATATTCCCTTTCAGAGAGTAGGTTTGAAACACTCTTTTTGTAGTATCTGGAAGTGGACATTTGGAGCGCCTTGACACCTACGGTGAAAAGGGAAATATCTTCCCATAAAAACTAGACAGAAGCAATCTCAGAATCTTCTTTGGGATATATGCACGCAGCTAAAAGAGTTGAACCTTTCTATTGACAGAGCAGTTTTGAAACAGTCTTTCTGTGGAATCTGCAAGTGGATATTTGGATAGCTTGGAGGATTTCGTTGGAAACGGGATTACGTATAAAAAGTAGACAGCAGCATCCTCAGAAACTTCTTTGTGATGTGTGCATTCAAGTCACAGAGTTGAACATTCCCTTTCGTACAGCAGTTTTGAAACACTCTTTCTGTAGTATCTGGAAGTGTACATTAGGACAGCTTTCAGGTCTATGGTGAGAAAGGAAATATCTTCAAATAAAAACTAGACAGAAGCATTCTCATAAACTTGTTTGTGATGTGTGAACTCAGCTAACAGACGTGGATCTTTCTTTTGATACAGCAGTTTTGAAAAACACTTTTTGTAGAATCTGCAAGTGGACATTTGGATAGATTTGAAGATTTCGTTGGAAACGGGAATATCTTCATATCAAATCTAGACAGAGGCATTCTCAGAAACGTCTTTGTGATGTTTGCATTCAACTCATAGAGTTGAACATTCCGTTTCAGAGAGCAGCTTTGAGGCACTCTTTTTGTAGTATGTGCAAGTGGATATTTGGAGCGCACTGAGGCCTACGGTGAAAAAGCAAATATCTTCCCATAACCACTAGACAGAAAACATTCTCAGAAACTCCTTTATGACGTATGCACTCACCTAACAGAGAAAAACCTTCCTTTTGACAGAGCAGTTTTGATACACTCTTTTTGTAGAATCTGCAAGTGGATATTTGGATAGCTGTGAAGATTTCGTTGGAAACGGGAATATCTTCCTATAAAATCTAGACAGAAGCATTCTCAGAAACTGCTCTGTGATGTCTGCATTCAAGTCACAGAGTTGAACATTGCCTTTCCTAGAGCAGGTTTGAAACGCTCTTTTTGTAGTATATGGAAGTGGACGTTTCAGACGGTTTGAGGCCGATGGTGATAAAGGGAATATCTTCCCCTACAAGCTAGAAAGAAGCATTCTGTGAAACTTGTTTGTGATGTGTGTACTCAACTAACAGAGTTGAACCTTTCTTTTTACAGAGCAGTTTTGATACACTCTTTTTGTAGAATCTGCGAGGGGATATTTGGATAGATTTCAGGATTTCGTTGGAAACGGGAATATCTTCATATAAAATCTCGACAGAAGCATTCTCAGAAACTTCTTTGTGATATGTGCATTCAAGTCACAGAGCTGAATATTCTGCCTTTCACAGAGTAGGTTTGAAACACTCTTTTTGTAGTATCTGGAAGTGGACATTTGGAGCGCCTTGACGCCTACGGTGAAAAGGGAAATATCTTCCCATAAAAACTAGACAGAAGCAATCCTCAGAATCTTCTTTGGGATATATGCACGCAGCTAACAGAGTTGAACCTTTCTATTGACAGAGCAGTTTTGAAACAGTCTTTCTGTGGAATCTGCAAGTGGATATTTGGATAGCTTGGAGGATTTCGTTGGAAACGGGATTACGTATAAAAAGTAAGACAGCAGCATCCTCAGAAACTTCTTTGTGATGTGTGCATTCAAGTCACAGAGTTGAACATTCCCTTTCGTACAGCAGTATTGAAACACTCTTTCTGTAGTATCTGGAAGTGAACATTAGGACAGCTTTCAGGTCTATGGTGAGAAAGTAAATATCTTCAAATAAAAACTAGACAGAAGCATTCTCATAAAGTTGTTTGTGATGTGTGAACTCAGCTAACAGAGGTGGATCTTTCTTTTGATAGAGCAGTTCTGAAAAACACTTTTTGTTGAATCTGCAAGTGGACATTTGGATAGATTTGAAGATTTCGTTGGAAACGGGAATATCTTCATATCAAATCTAGACAGAAGCATTCTCAGAAACGTCTTTGTGATGTTTGCATTCAACTCATAGAGTTGAACATTCCCTTTCAGAGAGCAGCTTTGATGCACTCTTTTTGTAGCATGTGCAAGTGGACATTTGGAGCGCCCTGAGGCCTACGGGGAAAAAGCAAATATCTTCCCATAACCACTAGACAGAAACATTCTCAGAAACTTCTTTATGACGTATGTACTCAACTAGCAGAGAAGAACTTTCCTTTTGACAGAGCACTTTTGATACACTCTTTTTGTAGAATCTGCAAGTGGATATTTGGATAGCTGTGAAGATTTCGTTGGAAACGGGAATATCTTCCTATGAAATCTAGACAGAAGCATTCTCAGAAACTGCTCTGTGATGTCTGCATTCACGTCACAGAGTTGAACATTGCCTTTCATAGAGCAGGTTTGAAACGCTCTTTTTGTAGTATATGGAAGTGGACGTTTCGGACGGTTTGAGGCCCATGGTGATAAAGGGAATATCTTCCCCTACAAGCTAGAAAGAAGAATTGTGTGAAACTTGTTTGTGATGTGTGTACTCAACTAACAGAGTTGAACCTTTCTTTTCACAGAGCAGTTTTGAAACACTCTTTTTGTAGAATCTGCGAGGGGATATTTGGATAGATTTCAGGATTTCGTTGGAAACGGGAATATCTTCATATAAAATCTCGACAGAAGCATTCTCAGAAACTTCTTTGTGATATGTGCATTCAAGTCACAGAGTTGAATATTCCCTTTCACAGAGTAGGTTTGAAACACTCTTTTTGTAGTATCTGGAAGTGGACATTTGGAGCGCCTTGACACCTACGGTGAAAAGGGAAATATTTCCCATGAAAACTAGACAGAAGCAATCTCAGAATCTTCTTTGGGGATATATGCACGCAGCTAACAGAGTTGAACCTTTCTATTGACAGAGCAGTTTTGAAACAGTCTTTCTGTGGAATCTGCAAGTGGATATTTGGATAGCTTGGAGGATTTCGTTGGAAACGGGATTACGCATAAAAAGTAGACAGCAGCATCCTCAGAAACTTCTTTGTGATGTGTGCATTCAAGTCACAGAGTTGAACATTCCCTTTCGTACAGCAGTTTTGAAACACTCTTCCTGTAGTATCTGGAAGTGAACATTAGAACAGCTTTCAGCTCTATGGTGAGAAAGGAAATATCTTCAAATAAAAACTAGACAGAAGCATTCTGATAAACTTGTTTGTGAAGTGTGAACTCAGCTAACAGAGGTGGATCTTTCTTTTGATAGAGCAGTTCTGAAAAACACTTTTTGTTGAATCTGCAAGTGGACATTTTGATAGAATTGAAGATTTCGTTGGAAACGGGAATATCTTCATATCAAATCTAGACAGAAGCATTCTCAGAAACGTCTTTGTGATGTTTGCATTCAACTCATAGAGTTGAACATTCCGTTTCAGAAAGCAGCTTTGAAGCACTCTTTTTGTAGTATGTGCAAGGGGATATTTGGAGCGCTCTGAGGCCTAAGGTGAAAAAGCAAATATCTTCCCATAACCACTAGACAGAAACATTCTCAGAAACTCCTTTATGACGTATGTACTCAACTAACAGAGAAGATCCTTCCTTTTGACAGAGCAGTTTTGATACACTCTTTTTGTAGAATCTGCAAGTGGATATTTGGATAGCTGTGAAGATTTCGTTGGAAACGGGAATATCTTCCTATAAAATCTAGACAGAAGCATTCTCAGAAACTGCTCTGTGATGTCTGCATTCAAGTCACAGAGTTGAACATTGCCTTTCATAGAGCAGGTTTGAAACGCTCTTTTTGTAGTATATGGAAGTGGATGTTTCGGACGGTTGGAGGCCCATGGTGATAAAGGGAATATCTTCCCGTACAAGCTAGAAAGAAGCATTCTGTGAAACTTGTTTGTGATGTGTGTACTCAACTAACAGAGTTGAACCTTTCTTTTTACAGAGCAGTTTTGAAACACTCTTTTTGTAGAATCTGCGAGGGGATATTTGGATAGATTTCAGGATTTCGTTGGTAACGGGAATATCTTCATATAAAATCTCGACAGAAGCATTCTCAGAAACTTCTTTGTTATATGTGCATTCGAGTCACAGAGTTGAATATTCCCTTTCACAGAGTAGGTTTGAAACACTCTTTTTGTAGTATCTGGAAGTGGACATTTGGAGCGCCTTGACACCTACGGTGAAAAGGGAAATATCTTCCCATAAAAACTAGACAGAAGCAATCTCAGAATCTTCTTTGCGATATATGCACGCAGCTAACAGAGTTGAACTTTTCTATTGACAGAGCAGTTTTGAAACAGTCTTTCTGTGGAATCTGCAAGTGGATATTTGGATAGATTGGAGGATTTCGTTGGAAACGGGATTACGTATAAAAAGTAGACAGCAGCGTCCTCAGAAACTTCTTTGTGATGTGTGCATTCAAGTCACAGAGTTGAACATTCCCTTTCGTACAGCAGTTTTGAAACACTCTTTCTGTAGTATCTGGAAGTGAACATTAGGACAGCTTTCAGGTCTATGGTGAGAAAGGAAATATCTTCAAATAAAAACTAGACAGAAGCATTCTCATAAACTTGTTTGTGATGTGTGAACTCAGCTAACACACGTGGATCTTTCTTTTGATACAGCAGTTTTGAAAAACACTTTTTGTTGAATCTGCAAGTGGACATTTGGATAGATATGAAGATTTCGTTGGAAACGGGAATATCTTCACATCAAATCTAGACAGAAGCATTCTCAGAAACGTCTTTGTGATGTTTGCATTCAACTCATAGAGTTGAACATTCCGTTTCAGAGACCAGCTTTGAAGCACTCTTTTTGTAGTATGTGCAAGTGGATATTTGGAGCGCTCTGAGGCCTACGGTGAAAAAGCAAATATCTTCCCATAACCACTAGACAGGAACATTCTCAGAAACTCCTTTATGACGTATGCACTCACCTAACAGAGAAGAACCTTCCTTTTGACAGAGCAGTTTTGATACAGTCTTTTTGTAGAATCTGCAAGTGGATATTGGGATAGCTGTGAAGATTTCGTTGGAAACGGGAATATCTTCCTATAAAATCTAGACAGAAGCATTCTCAGAAACTGCTCTGTGATGTCTGCATTCAAGTCACAGAGTTGAACATTGCCTTTCATAGAGCAGGTTTGAAACGCTCTTTTTGCAGTATATGGAAGTGGATGTTTCGGACGGTTTGAGGCCCATGGTGATAAAGGGAATATCTTCCCCTACAAGCTAGAAAGAAGCATTCTGTGAAACTTGTTTGTGATGTGTGTACTCAACTAACAGAGTTGAACCTTTCTTTTCACAGAGCAGTTTTGAAACACTCTTTTTGTACAATCTGCGAGCGGATATTTGGATAGATTTCAGGATTTCGTTGGAAACGGGAATATCTTCATATAAAATCTCGACAGAAGCATTCTCAGAAACTTCTTTGTGATATCGGCATTCAAGCCACAGAGTTGAATATTCCCTTTCACAGAGTAGGTTTGAAACACTCTTTTTGTAGTATCTGGAAGTGGACATTTGGAGCGCCTTGACACCTACGGTGAAAAGGGAAATATCTTCCCATAAAAACTAGACAGAAAGCAATCTCAGAATCTTCTTTGGGATATATGCACGCAGCTAACAGAGTTGAACCTTTCTATTGACAGAGCAGTTTTGAAACAGTCTTTCTGTGGAATCTGCAAGTGGATATTTGGATAGCTTGGAGGATTTCGTTGGAAACGGGATTACGCATAAAAAGTAGACAGAGCATCCTCAGAAACTTCTTTGTGATGTGTGCATTCAAGTCACAGAGTTGAACTTTCCCTTTCGTACAGCAGTTTTGAAACACTCTTTCTGTAGTACCTGGAAGTGAACATTAGGACAGCTTTCAGGTCTATGGTGAGAAAGGAAATATCTTCAAATAAAAACTAGACAGAAGCATTCTGATAAACTTGTTTGTGAAGTGTGAACTCAGCTAACAGAGGTGGATCTTTCTTTTGATACAGCAGTTCTGAAAAACACTTTTTGTTGAATCTGCAAGTGGACATTTGGATAGATTTGAAGATTTCGTTGGAAACGGGAATATCTTCATATCAAATCTAGACAGAAGCATTTCTCGGAAACGTCTTTGTGATGTTTGCATTCAACTCATAGAGTTGAACATTCCGTTTCAGAGAGCAGCTTTGAAGCACTCTTTTTGTAGTATGTGCAAGTGGATATTTGGAGCGCTGTGAGGCCTGCAGTGAAAAAGCAAATATCTTCCCATAACCACTAGACTGAAACATTCTCAGAAACTCCTTTATGACGTATGCACTCACCTAACAGAGAAGAACCTTCCTTTTGACAGAGCAGTTTTGATACACTCTTTTTGTAGAATCTGCAAGTGGATATTTGGATACCTGTGAATATTTCGTTGGAAACGGGAATATCTTCCTATAAAATCTAGACAGAAGCATTCTCAGAAACTGCTCTGTGATGTCTGCATTCAAGTCACAGAGTTGAACATTGCCTTTCATAGAGCAGGTTTGAAACGCTCTTTTTGTAGTATATGGAAGTGGACGTTTCGGACGGTTTGAGTCCCATGGTGATAAAGGGAATATCTTCCCCCACAAGCTAGAAAGAAGCATTCTGTGAAACTTGTTTGTGATGTGTGTACACAACCAACAGAGTTGAACCTTTCTTTTTACAGAGCAGTTTTGAAACACTCTTTTTGTAGAATCTGCGAGGGGATATTTGGATAGATTTCAGGATTTCATTGGAAACGGGAATATCTTCATATAAAATCTCGACAGAAGCATTCTCAGAAACTTCTTTGTGATATGTGCATTCAAGTCAGAGAGTTGAATATTCCCTTTCACAGAGTAGGTTTGAAACACTCTTTTTGTAGTATCTGGAAGTGGACATTTGGAGCGCCTTGACGCCTACGGTGAAAAGGGAAATATCTTCCCATAAAAACTAGACAGAAGTAATCTCAGAATCTTCTTTGGGATATATGCACGGAGCTAACAGAGTTGAACCTTTCTATTGACATAGCAGTTTTGAAACAGTCTTTCTGTGGAATCTGCAAGTGGATATTTGGATAGCTTGGAGGATTTCGTTGGAAACGGGATTACGTATAAAAAGTAGACAGCAGCATCCTCAGAAACTTCTTTGTGATGTGTGCATTCAAGTCACAGAGTTGAACATTCCCTTTCGTACAGCAGTTTTGAAACACTCTTTCTGTAGTATCTGGAAGTGAACATTAGGACAGCTTTCAGGTCTATGGTGAGAAGGGAAATATCTTCCAATAAAAACTAGACAGAAGCATTCTCATAAACTTGTTTGTGATGTGTGAACTCAGCTAACAGAGATGGGTCTTTCTTTTGATAGAGCAGTTCTGAAAAACACTTTTTGTTGAATCTGCAAGTGGACATTTGGATAGATTTGAAGATTTCGTTGGAAACGGGAATATCTTCATATCAAATCTAGACAGAAGCATTCTCAGAAACGTCTTTGGGATGTTTGCATTCAACTCATAGAGTTGAACATTCCGTTTCAGAGAGCAGTTTGAGGCACTCTTTTTGTAGTATGTGCAAGTGGATATTTGGAGCGCTCTGAGGCCTACGGTGAAAAAGCAAATATCTTCCCATAACCACTAGACAGAAACATTCTCAGAAACTTCTTTATGACGTATGTACTCAACTAGCAGATAAGAACTTTCCTTTTGACAGAGCATTTTTGATACACTCTTTTTGTAGTATCTGCAAGTGGATATTTGGATAGCTGTGAAGATTTCGTTGGAAACGGGAATATCTTCCTATAAAGTCTGGACAGAAGCATTCTCAGAAACTGCTCTGTGATGTCTGCATTCAAGTCACAGAGTTGAACATTGCCCTTCATAGAGCAGGTTTGAAACGCTCTTTTTGTAGTATATGGAAGTGGACTTATCGGACGGTTTGAGGCCCATGGTGATAAAGGGAATATCTTCCCCTACAAGCTAGAAAGAAGCATTCTGTGAAACTTGTTTGTGAGGTGTGTACTCAACTAACAGAGTTGAACCTTTCTTTTTACAGAGCAGTTTTGAAACACTCTTTTTGTAGAATCTGCGAGGGGATATTTGGATAGATTTCAGGATTTGGTTGGAAACGGGAATATCTTCATATAAAATCTCGACAGAAGCATTCTCAGAAACTTCCTTGTGATATGTGCATTCAAGTCACAGAGTTGAATATTCCCTTTCACAGAGTAGGTTTGAAACACTCTTTTTGTAGTATCTGGAAGTGGACATTTGGAGCGCCTTGACGCCTATGGTGAAAAGGGAAATATCTTCCCATAAAAACTAGACAGAAGCAATCTCAGAATCTTCTTTGGGATATATGCACGCAGCTAACAGAGTTGAACCTTTCTATTGACAGAGCAGTTTTGAAACAGTCTTTCTGTGGAATCTGCAAGTGGATATTTGGATAGCTTGGAGGATTTCGTTGGAAACGGGATTACGTATAAAAAGTAGACCGCAGCATCCTCAGAAACATCTTTGTGATGTGGGCATTCAAGTCACAGAGTTGAACATTCCCTTTCGTACAGCAGTTTTGAAACACTCTTTCTGTAGTATCTGGAAGTGAACATTAGGACAGCTTTCAGGTCTATGGTGAGAAAGGAAATATCTTCAAATAAAAACTAGACAGAAGCATTCTCATAAACTTGTTTGTGATGTGTGAACTCAGCTAACAGAGGTGGATCTTTCTTTTGATAGAGCAGTTCTGAAAAACACTTTTTGTTGAATCTGCAAGTGGACATTTGGAAAGATTTGAAGATTTCGTTGGAAACGGGAATATCTTCATATCAAATCTAGACAGACGCATTCTCAGAAACGTCTTTGTGATGTTTGCATTCAACTCATAGAGTTGAACATTCCGTTTCAGAGAGCAGCTTTGAAGCACTCCTTTTGTAGTATGTGCAAGTGGATATTTGGTGCGCTCTGAGGCCTACGGTGAAAAAGCAAATATCTTCCCATAACCACTAGACAGAAACATTCTCAGAAACTCCTTTATGACGTATGTACTCAACTAACAGAGAAGAACCTTCCTTTTGACAGAGCAGTTTTGATACACTCTTTTTGTAGAATCTGCAAGTGGATATTTGGATAGCTGTGAAGATTTCGTTGGAAGCGGGAATATCTTCCTATAAAATCTAGACAGAAGCATTCTCAGAAACTGCTCTGTGATGTCTGCATTCAAGTCACAGAGTTGAACATTGCCTTTCATAGAGCAGGTTTGAAACGCTCTTTTTGTAGTATATGGAAGTGGATGTTTCGGACGGTTGGAGGCCTATGGTGATAAAGGGAATATCTTCCCCTACAAGCTAGAAAGAAGCATTCTGTGAAACTTGTTTGTGATGTCTGTACTCAACTAACAGAGTTGAACCTTTCTTTTCACAGAGCAGTTTTGAAACACTCTTTTTGTAGAATCTGCGAGGGGATATTTGGATAGATTTCAGGATTTCGTTGGAAACGGGAATATCTTCATATAAAATCTCGACAGAAGCATTCTCAGAAACTTCATTGTGATATCTGCATTCAAGTCACAGAGTTGAATATTCCCTTTCAGAGAGTAGGTTTGAAACACTCTTTTTGTAGTATCTGGAAGTGGACATTTGAAGCGCCTTGACACCTACGGTGAAAAGGGAAATATCTTCCCATAAAAACTAGACAGAAGCAATCTCAGAATCTTCTTTGGGATATATGCACGCAGCTAACAGAGTTGAACCTTTCTATTGACAGAGCAGTTTTGAAACAGTCTTTCTGTGGAATCTGCAAGTGGATATTTGGATAGCTTGAAGGATTTCGTTGGAAACGGGATTAAGTATAAAAAGTAGACAGCAGCATCCTCAGAAACTTCTTTGTGATGTGTGCATTCAAGTCACAGAGTTGAACATTCCCTTTCGTACAGCAGTTTTGAAACACTCTTTCTGTAGTATCTGGAAGTGAACATTAGGACAGCTTTCAGGTCTACGGTGAGAAAGGAAATATCTTCAAATAAAAACTAGACAGAAGCATTCTCATAAACTTGTTTGTGATGTGTGAACTCAGCTAACACACGTGGATCTTTCTTTTGATAGAGCAGTTCTGAAAAACAATTTTTGTTGAATCTGCAAGGGGACATTTGGATAGATTTGAAGATTTCGTTGGAAACGGGAATATCTTCATATCAAATCTAGACAGAAGCATTCTCAGAAAGGTCTTTGTGATGTTTGCATTCAACTCATAGAGTTGAACATTCCCTTCCAGAGAGTAGCTTTGAAGCACTCTTTTTGTAGCATGTGCAAGTGGACATTTGGAGCGCCCTGAGGCCTACGGGGAAAAAGCAAATATCTTCCCATAACCACTAGACAGAAACATTCTCAGAAACTCCTTTATGACGTATGCACTCACCTAACAGAGGAGAACCTTCCTTTCGACAGAGCAGTTTTGATACACTCTTTTTGTAGAATCTGCAAGTGGATATTTGGATAGCTGTGAAGATTTCGTTGGAAACGGGAATATCTTCCTATAAAATCTAGACAGAAGCATTCTCAGAAACTGCTCTGTGATGTCTGCATTCAAGTCACAGAGTTGAACATTGCCTTTCCTAGAGCAGGTTTGAAACGCTCTTTTTGTAGTATATGGAAGTGGACGTTTCGGACGGTTTGAGGCGCATGGTGATAAAGGGAGTATCTTCCCCTACAAGCTAGAAAGAAGCATTCTGTGAAACTTGTTTGTGATGTGTGTACTCAACTAACAGAGTTGAACCTTTCTTTTTACAGAGCAGTTTTGAAACACTCTTTTTGTAGAATCTGTGAGGGGATATTTGGATAGATTTCAGGATTTCGTTGGAAACGGGAATATCCTCATATAAAATCTCGACAGAAGCATTCTCAGAAACTTCTTTGGGATATCTGCATTCAAGTCACATAGTTGAATATTCCCTTTCACAGAGTAGGTTTCAAACACTCTTTTTGTAGTATCTGGAAGTGGACATTTGGAGCGCCTTGATGCCTACGGTGAAAAGGGAAATATCTTCCCATAAAAACTAGACAGAAGGAATCTCAGAATCTTCTTTGGGATATATGCACGCAGCTAACAGAGTTGAACCTTTCTATTGACAGAGCGGTTTTGAAACAGTCTTTCTGTGGAATCTGCAAGTGGATATTTGGATAGCTTGGAGGATTTCGTTGGAAACGGGATTAAGTATAAAAAGTAGACAGCAGCATCCTCAGAAACTTCTTTGTGATGTGTGCATTCAAGTCACAGAGTTGAACGTTCCCTTTCGTACAGCAGTTTTGAAACACTCTTTCTGTAGTATCTGGAAGTGAACATTAGGACAGCTTTCAGGTCTATGGTGAGAAAGGAAATATCTTCAAATAGAAACTAGACAGAAAGCATTCTCATAAACTTGTTTGTGATGTGTGAACTCAGCTAACAGACGTGGATCTTTCTTTTGATACAGCAGTTTTGAAAAACACTTTTTGTTGAATCTGCAAGTGGACATTTGGATAGATATGAAGATTTCGTTGGAAACGGGAATATCTTCATATCAAATCTAGACAGAGCATTGTCAGAAACGTCCTTGTGATGTTTGCATTCAACTCATAGAGTTGAACATTCCCTTTCAGAGAGCAGCTTTGAAGCACTCTTTTTGTAGTATGTGCAAGTGGATATTTGGAGCGCTCTGAGGCCTAAGGTGAAAAAGCAAATATCTTCCCATAACCACTAGACAGAAACATTCTCAGAAACTTCTTTATGACGTATGTACTCAACTAACAGAGAAGAACCTTCCTTTTTACAGAGCAGTATTGATACACTCTTTTTGTAGACTCTGCAAGTGGATATTTGGATATCAGTGAAGAATTCGTTGGAAACGGGAATATCTTCCTATAAAATCTAAACAGAAGCATTCTCAGAAACTGCTCTGTGATGTCTGCATTCAAGTCAGAGAGTTGAACATTGCCTTTCACAGAGGAGGTATGAAACGCTCTTTTCGTAATATATGGAAGTGGACGTTTCGGACGGCTTGATGCCCATGGAGATAAAGGAAATATCTTCCCCTACAAGCTAGAAAGAAGCATTCTGTGAAACTTGTTTGTGATGTGTGTACTCAACTAACAGAGTTGAACTTTTCTTTTTACAGAGCAGTTTTGAAACACTCTTTTTGTAGAATCTGCGAGGGGATATTTGGATAGATTTCAGGATTTCGTTGGAAAGGGGAATATCTTCATATAAAATCTCGACAGAAGCATTCTCAGAAACTTCTTTGTGATATGTGCATTCAAGTCACAGAGTTGAATATTCCCTTTCACAGAGTAGGTTTGAAACAATCTTTTTGTAGTATCTGGAAGTGGACATTTGGAGCGCCTTGACGCCTACGGTGAAAAGGGAAATATCTTCCCATAAAAACTAGACAGAAGCAATCTCAGAATTATCTTTGGGATATATGCACACAGCTAACAGAGTTGAACTTTTCTATTGACATAGCAGTTTTGAAACAGTCTTTCTGTGGAATCTGCAAGTGGATATTTGGATAGCTTGGAGGATTTCGTTGGAAATGGGATTACGTATAAAAAGTAGACAGCAGCATCCTCAGCAAACTTCTTTGTGATGTGTGCATTCAAGTCACAGTGTTGAACATTCCCTTTCGTACAGCAGTTTTGAAACACTCTTTCTGTAGTATCTGGAAGTGAACATTAGGACAGCTTTCAGGTCTATGGTGAGAAAGGAAATATCTTCAAATAAAAACAAGACAGAAGCATTCTCATAAACTTGTTTGTGATGTGTGAACTCAGCTAACAGAGGTGGATCTTTCTTTTGATAGAGCAGTTCTGAAAAAAACTTTTTGTTGAATCTGCAAGTGGACATTTGGATAGATTTGAAGATTTCGTTGGAAACGGGAATATCTTCATATCAAATCTAGACAGAAGCATTCTCAGAAACGTCTTTGTGATGTTTGCATTCAACTCATAGAGTTGAACATTCCGTTTCAGAGAGCAGCTTTGAAGCACTCTTTTTGTAGTATGTGCAAGTGGATATTTGGAGCGCTCTGAGGCCTACGTTGAAAAAGCAAATATCTTCCCATAACCACTAGACAGAAACATTCTCAGAAACTCCTTTATGACGTATGCACTCACCTAACAGAGAAGAACCTTCCTTTTGACAGAGCACTTTTCATACACTCTTTTTGTAGAATCTGAAAGTGGATATTTGGATAGCTGTGAAGATTTCGTTGGAAACGGGAATATCTTCCTATAAAATCTAGACAGAAGCATTCTCAGAAACAGCTCTGTGATGTCTGCATTCAAGTCACAGAGTTGAACATTGCCTTTCATAGAGCAGGTTTGAAACGCTCTTTTTGAAGTATATGGAAGTGGACGTTTCGGACGGTTTGAGGCCCATGGTGATAAAGGGAATATCTTCCCCTACAAGCTAGAAAGAAGCATTGTGTGAAACTTGTTTGTGATGTGTGTACTCCACTAACAGAGTTGAACCTTTCTTTTTACAGAGCAGTTTTGAAACACTCTTTTTGTAGAATCTGCGAGGGGATATTTGGATAGATTTCAGGATTTCGTTGGAAACGGGAATATCTTCATATAAAATCTCGACAGAAGCATTCTCAGAAACTTCTTTGTGATATCTGCATTCAAGTCACAGAGTTGAATATTCCCTTTCACAGAGTAGGTTTGAAACACTCTTTTTGTAGTATCTGGAAGTGGACATTTGGAGCGCCTTGACACCTACGGTGAAAAGGGAAATATTTTCCCATAAAAAGTAGACAGAAGCAATCTCAGAATCTTCCTTTGGGATATATGCACGCAGCTAACAGAGTTGAACCTTTCTATTGACAGAGCAGTTTTGAAACAGTCTTTCTGTGGAATCTGCAAGTGGATATTTGGATAGCTTGGAGGATTTCGTTGGAAACGGGATTACGTATAAAAAGTAGACAGCAGCATTCTGTGAAACTTGTTTGTGATGTGTGTACTCAACTAACAGAGTTGAACCTTTCTTTTTACAGAGCAGTTTTGAAACACTCTTTCTGTAGTATCTGGAAGTGAACATTAGGACAGCTTTCAGGTCTATGGTGAGAAAGGAAATATCTTCAAATAAAAACTAGACAGAAGCATTCTCATAAACTTGTTTGTGATGTGTGAACTCAGCTAACAACGGTGGATCTTTCTTTTGATAGAGCAGTTCTGAAAAACACTTTTTGTTGAATCTGCAAGTGGACATTTGGATAGTTTTGAAGATTTCCTTGGAAAAAGGAATATCTTCATATCAAATCTAGACAGAAGCATTCTCAGAAACGTCTTTGTGATGTTTGCATTCAACTCATAGAGTTGAACATTCCCTTTCAGAGAGCAGCTTTGAAGCACTCTTTTTGTAGTATGTGCAAGGGGATATTTGGAGCGCTGTGAGGCCTACGGTGAAAAAGCAAATATCTTCCCATAACCACTAGACAGAAACATTCTCAGAAACTCCTTTATGACGTATGCACTCACCTAACAGAGAAGAACCTTCCTTTTGACAGAGCAGTTTTGATACACTCTTTTTGTAGAATCTGCAAGTGGATATTTGGATATCTGTGAAGATTTCGTTGGAAACGGGAATATCTTCCTATAAAATCTAGACAGAATCATTCTCAGAAACTGCTCTGTGATGTCTGCATTCAAGTCACAGAGTTGAACATTGCCTTTCCTAGAGCAGGTTTGAAACGCTCTTTTTGTAGTATATGGAAGTGGACGTTTCGGACGGTTTGAGGCCCTTGGTGATAAAGGGAATATCTTCCCCTACAAGCTAGAAAGAAGCATTCTGTGAAACTTGTTTGTGATGTGTGTACTCAACTAACAGAGTTGAACCTTTCTTTTTACAGAGCAGTTTTGAAACACTCTTTTTGTAGAATGTGCGAGGGGATATTTGGATAGATTTCAGGATTTCGTTGGAAACGGGAATATCTTCATATAAAATCTCGACAGAATCATTCTCAGAAACTTCTTTGTGATATGTGCATTCAAGTCACAGAGTTGAATATTCCCTTTCACAGAGTAGGTTTGAAACACTCTTTTTGTAGTATCTGGAAGTGGACATTTGGAGCGCCTTGACGCCTACGGTGAAAAGGGAAATATCTTCCCATAAAAACTAGACAGAAGCAATCTCAGAATCCTCTTTGGGATACATGCACGCAGCTAACAGAGTTGAACCTTTCTATTGACAGAGCAGTTTTGAAACAGTCTTTCTGTGGAATCTGCAAGTGGATATTTGGATAGCTTGGAGGATTTCGTTGGAAACAGGATTACGTATAAAAAGTAGACAGCAGCATCCTCAGAAACTTCTTTGTGATGTATGCATTCAAGTCCCAGAGTTGAACATTCCCTTTCGTACAGCAGTTTTGAAACACTCTTTCTGTAGTATCTGGAAGTGAACATTAGGACAGCTTTCAGGTCTAGGGTGAGAAAGGAAATACCTTCAAATAAAAACTAGACAGAAGCATTCTCATAAACTTGTTTATGATGTCTGAACTCAGCTAACAGAGGTGGATCTTTCTTTTGATAGAGCAGTTCTGAAAAACACTTTTTGTTGAATCTGCAAGTGGACATTTGGATAGATTTGAAGATTTCGTTGGAAACGTGAATATCTTCAAATCAAATCTAGACAGAAGCATTCTCAGAAAGGTCTTTGTGATGTTTGCATTCAACTCATAGTAGTTGAACATTCCCTTCCAGAGAGTAGCTTTGAAGCACTCTTTTTGTAGCATGTGCAAGTGGACATTTGGAGCGCCCTGAGGCCTACGGGGAAAAAGCAAATATCTTCCCATAACCACTAGACAGAAACATTCTCAGAAACTCCTTTATGACGTATGCACTCACCTAACAGAGAAGAACCTTCCTTTTGACAGAGCAGTTTTGATACACTCTTTTTGTAGAATCTGCAAGTTTATATTGGGATAGCTGTGAAGATTTCGTTGGAAACGGGAATATCTTCCTATAAAATCTAGACAGAAGCATTCTCAGAAACTGCTCTGTGATGTCTGCATTCAAGTCACAGAGTTCAACATTGCCTTTCCTAGAGCAGGTTTGAAACGCTCTTTTTGTAGTATATGGAAGTGGACGTTTCGGACGGTTTGAGGCCCATGGTGATAAAGGGAATATCTTCCCCTACAAGCTAGAAAGAAGCATTCTGTGAAACTTGTTTGTGATGTGTGTACTCAACTAACAGTGTTGAACCTTTCTTTATACAGAGCAGTTTTGAAACACTCTTTTTGTAGAATCTGCGAGGGGATATTTGGATAGATTTCAGGATTTCGTTGGAAACGGGAATATCTTCATATAAAATCTCGACAGAAGCATTCTCAGAAACTTCTTTGTGATATCTGCCTTCAAGTCACAGAGTTGAATATTCCCTTTCACAGAGTAGGTTTGAAACACTCTTTTTGTAGTATCTGGAAGTGGACATTTGGAGGGCCTTGACGCCTACGGTGAAAAGGGAAATATCTTCCCATAAAAACTAGACAGAGAAGCAATCTCAGAATCTTCTTTGGGATATATGCACGCAGCTAACATAGTTGAACCTTTCTATTGACAGAACAGTTTTGAAACAGTGTTTCTGTGGAATCTGCAAGTGGATATTTGGATAGCTTGGAGGATTTCGTTGGAAACGGGATTACGTATAAAAAGTAGACAGCAGCATCCTCAGAAACTTCTTTGTGATGTGTGCATTCAAGTCACAGAGTTGAACATTCCCTTTAGTACAGCAGTTTTGAAACACTCTTTCTGTAGTATCTGGAAGTGAACATTAGGACAGCTTTCAGGTCTATGGTGAGAAAGGAAATATCTTCAAATAAAAACTAGACAGAAGCATTCTGATAAACTTGTTTGTGAAGAGTGATCTCAGCTAACAGAGGTGGATCTTTCTTTTGATAGAGCAGTTCTGAAAAACACTTTGTTGAATCTGCAAGTGGACATTTGGATAGATTTGAAGATTTCGTTGGAAACGGGAATATCTTCATATCAAATCTAGACAGAAGCATTCTCAGAAACGTCTTTGTGATGTTGGCATTCAACTCATAGAGTTGAAGATTCCCTTTCAGAGAGCAGCTTTGAAGCACTCTTTTTGTAGTATGTGCAAGGGGATATTTGGAGCGCTCTGAGGCCTACGGTGAAAAAGCAAATATCTTCCCATAACCACTAGACAGAAACATTCTCAGAAACTCCTTTATGACGTATGCACTCACCTAACAGAAAAGAACCTTCCTTTTGACAGAGCAGTTTTGATACACTCTTTTTGTAGAATCTGCAAGTGGATATTTGGATAGCTGTGAAGATTTCGTTGGAAACGGGAATATCTTCCTATAAACTCTAGACAGAAGCATTCTCAGAAACTGCTCTGTGATGTCTGCATTCAAGTCACAGAGCTGAACATTGCCTTTCATAGAGCAGGTTTGAAACACTCTTTTTGTAGTATATGGAAGTGGACGTTTCGGACGGTTTGAGGCCCATGGTGATAAAGGGAATATCTTCCCCTACAAGCTAGAAAGAAGCATTCTGTGAAACTTGTTTGTGATGTGTGTACTCAACTAACAGAGTTGAACCTTTCGTTTTACAGAGCAGTGTTGAACCACTCTTTCTGTAGAATCTGCGAGGGGATATTTGGATAGATTTCAGGATTTCCTTGGAAACGGGAATATCTTCATATAAAATCTCGACAGAAGCATTCTCAGAAACTTCTTTGTGATATCTGCATTCAAGTCACAGAGTTGAATATTCCCTTTCACAGAGTAGGTTTGAAACACTCTTTTTGTAGTATCTTTAAGTGGACATTTGGAGCGCCTTGACACCTACGGTGAAAAGGGAAATATCTTCCCATAAAAACTAGACAGAAGCAATCTCAGAATCTTCTTTGGGATATATGCACGCAGCTAACAGAGTTGAACCTTTCTATTGACAGAGCAGTTTTGAAACAGTCTTTCTGTGGAATCTGCAAGTGGATATTTGGATAGCTTGGAGGATTTCGTTGGAAACGGGATTACATATAAAAAGTAGACAGCAGCATCCTCAGAAACTCCTTTGTGATGTGTGCATTCAAGTCACAGAGTTGAACATTCCCTTTCGTACAGCAGTTTTGAAACACTCTTTCTGTAGTATCTGGAAGTGAACATTAGGACAGCTTTCAGGTCTATGGTGAGAAAGGAAACATCTTCAAATAAAAACTAGACAGAAGCATTCTCATAAACTTGTTTGTGATGTGTGAACTCAGCTAACAGAGGTGGATCTTTCTTTTGATACAGCAGTTTTGAAAAACACTTTTTGTTGAATCTGCAAGTGGACATTTGGATAGATTTGAAGATTTCATTGGAAACGGGAATATCTTCATATCAAATCTAGACAGAAGCATTCTCAGAAACGTCTTTGCGTTGTTTGCATTCAACTCATAGAGTTGAACATTCCGTTTCAGAAAGCAGCTTTGAGGCACTCTTTTTGTAGTATGTGCAAGTGGATATTTGGAGCGCTCTGAGGCCTACGGTGAAAAAGCAAATATCTTCCCATAACCACTAGACAGAAACATTCTCAGAAACTCCTTTATGACGTATGCACTCACCTAACAGAAAAGAACCTTCCTTTTGACAGAGCAGTTTTGATACACTCTTTTTGTAGAATCTGCAAGTGGATATTTGGATAGCTGTGAAGATTTCGTTGGAAACGGGAATATATTCCTATAAAATCTAGACAGAAGCATTCTCAGAAACTGCTACTGTGATGTCTGCATTCAAGTCACAGAGTTGAACATTGCCTTTCATAGAGCAGGTTTCAAGCACTCTTTTTTTAGTATATGGAAGTGGACGTTTCGGACGGTTTGAGGCCCATGGTGATAAAGGAAATATCTTCCCCTACAAGCTAGAAAGAAGCATTCTGTGAAACTTGTTTGTGATGTGTGTACTCAACTAACAGAGTTGAACCTTTCTTTTTACAGAGCAGTTTTGAAACACTCTTTTTGTAGAATCTGCGAGGGCATATTTGGATAGATTTCAGGATTTCGTTGGAAATGGGAATATCTTCATATAAAATCTCGACAGAAGCATTCTCAGAAGCTTCTTTGTGATATGTGCATTCAAGTCACAGAGTTGAATATTCCCTTTCACAGAGTAGGTTTGAAACACTCTTTTTGTAGTATCTGGAAGTGGACATTGGGAGTGCCTTGACGCCTACGGTGAAAAGGGAAATATCTTCTCATAAAAAGTAGACAGAAGCAATCTCAGAATCTGTTTTGGGATATATGCACGCAGCTAACAGAGTTGAACCTTTCTATTGACAGAGCAGTTTTGAAACAGTCTTTCTGTGGAATCTGCAAGTGGATATTTGGATAGCTTGGAGGATTTCGTTGGAAACGGGATTACGTATAAAAAGTAGACAGCAGCATCCTCAGAAACTTCTTTGTGATGTGTGCATTCAAGTCACAGAGTTGAACATTCCCTTTCGTACAGCAGTTTTGAAACACTCTTTCTGTAGTATCTGGAAGTGAACTTTAGGAGAGCTTTCAGGTCTATAGTGAGAAAGGATATATCTTCAAATAAAAGCTAGACAGAAGCATTCTCATAAACTTGTTTGTGATGTGTGAACTCAGCTAACAGAGGTGGATCTTTCTTTTGATAGAGCAGTTCTGAAAAACACTTTTTGTTGGATCTGCAAGTGGACATTTGGATAGATTTGAAGATTTCATTGGAAACGGGAATATCTTTATATCAAATCTAGACAGAAGCATTCTCAGAAACTTCTTTGTGATGTTTGCATTCAACTCATAGAGTTGAACATTCACTTTCAGAGAGCAGCTTTGAAGCACTCTTTTTGTAGTATGTGCAAGTGGATGTTTTGATCGCTCTGTGGCCTACGGTGAAAAAGCAAATATCTTCCCATAACCACTAGACAGAAACATTCTCAGAAACTCCTTTATGACGTATGCCCTCACCTAACAGAGAATAACCTTCCTTTTGACAGAGCATTTTTGATACACTCTTTTTGTAGCATCTGCAAGTGGATATTTGGATAGCTGTGAAGATTTCTTTGGAAACGGGAATATCTTCCTATAAAATCTAGACAGAAGCATTCTCAGAAACTGCTCTGTGATGTCTGCATTCAAGTCACAGAGTTGAACATTGCCTTTCATAGAGCAGGTTTGAAACGCTCTTTTTGTAGGATATGGAAGTGGACTTATCGGACGGTTGGAGGCCCATGGTGATAAAGGGAATATCTTCCCCTACAAGCTAGAAAGAAGCATTCTGTGAAACTTCTTTGTGATGTGTGTACTCAACTAACAGAGTTGAACCTTTCTTTTCACAGAGCTGTTTTGAAACACTCTTTTTATAAAATCTGCGAGGGGATATTTGGATAGATTTCAGGATTTCGTTGGAAACGGGAATATCTTCATATAAAATCTCGACAGAAGCATTCTCAGAAACTTCTTTGTGATATCTGCCTTTAAGTCACAGAGTTGAATATTCCCTTTCACAGAGTAGGTTTGAAACACTCTTTTTGTAGTATCTGGAAGTGGACATTTGGAGCGCCTTGTCACCTACGGTGAAAAGGGAAATATCTTCCCATAAAAACTAGACAGAAGCAATCTCAGAATCTTCTTTGGGATATATGCACGCAGCTAACAGAGTTGAACCTTTCTATTGACAGAGCAGTTTTGAAACAGTCTTTCTGTGGAATCTGCAAGTGGATATTTGGATAGATTGGAGGATTTCGTTGGAAACGGGATTACGTATAAAAAGTGGACAGCAGCATCCTGAGAAACTTCCTTGTGATGTGTGCATTCAAGTCACAGAGTTGAATATTCCCTTTCGTACAGCAGTTTTGAAACACTCTTTCTGTAGTATCTGGAAGTGAACTTTAGGAGAGCTTTCAGGTCTATAGTGAGAAAGGATATATCTTCAAATAAAAACTAGACAGAAGCATTCTCATAAACTTGTTTGTGATGTGTGAACTCAGCTAACAGAGGTGGATCTTTCTTTTGATAGAGCAGTTCTGAAAAACACTTTTTGTTGAATCTGCAAGTGGACATTTCGATAGATTTGAAGATTTCGCTGGAAACGGGAATATCTTCATATCAAATCTAGACAGAAGCATTCTCAGAAACGTCTTTGCGATGTTTGCATTCAACTCATAGAGTTGAACATTCCGTTTCAGAGAGCAGTATGAGGCACTCTTTTTGTAGTATGTGCAAGTGGATATTTGGAGCGCTCTGAGGCCTACGGTGAAAAAGCAAATATCTTCCCATAACCACTAGACAGAAACATTCTCAGAAACTGCTTTATGACGTATGCACTCACCTAACAGAGAAGAACCTTCCTTTTGACAGAGCAGTTTTGACACACTCTTTTTGTAGAATCTGCAAGTGGATATTTGGATAGCTGTGAAGATTTCGTTGGAAACGGGAATATCTTCCTATAAAATCTAGACAGAAGCATTCTCAGAAACTGCTCTGTGATGTCTGCATTCAAGTCACAGAGTTGAACATTGCCTTTCATAGAGCAGGTTGGAAATGCTCTTTTTGTAGTATATGGAAGTGGACGTTTCAGACGGTTTGAGGCCCATGGTGATAAAGGGAATATCTTCCACTACAAGCTAGAAAGAAGCATTCTGTGAAACTTGTTTGTGATGTGTGTACTCAACTAACAGAGTTGAACCTTTCTTTTTACAGAGCAGTTTTGAAACACTCTTTTTGTAGAATCTGCGAGGGGATATTTGGATACATTTCAGGATTTTGTTGGAAACGGGAATATCTTCATATAAAATCTCGACAGAAGCATTCTCAGAAACTTCTTTGTGATATGTGCATTCAAGTCACAGAGTTGAATATTCCCTTTCACAGAGTAGGTTTGAAACACTCTTTTTGTAGTATCTGGAAGTGGACATTTGGAGCGCGTTGACACCTACGGTGAAAAGGGAAATATCTTCCCATAAAAACTAGACAGAAGCAATCTCAGAATCTTCTTTGGGATATATGCACGCAGCTAACAGAGTTGAACCTTTCTATTGACAGAGCAGTTTTGAAACAGTCTTTCTGTGGAATCTGCAAGTGGATATTTGGATAGCTTGGAGGATTTCGCTGGAAACGGGATTACGTATAAAAAGTAGACAGCAACATCCTCAGAACCTTCTTTGTGATGTGTGCATTCAAGTCACAGAGTTGAACATTCCCTTTCGTACAGCAGTTTTTAAACACTCTTTCTGTGGTATCTGGAAGTGAACATTAGGACAGCTTTCAGGTCTATGGTGAGAAAGGAAATATCTTCAAATAAAAACTAGACAGAAGCATTCTCATAAACTTGTTTGTGATGTGTGAACTCAGCTAACAGAGGTGGATCTTTCTTTTGATAGAGCAGTTCTGAAAAACACTTTTTGTTGAATCTGCAAGTGGACATTTGGATAGATTTGAAGATTTCGTTGGAAACGGGAATATCTCCATATCAAATCTAGACAGAAGCATTCTCAGAAACGTCTTTGTGATGTTTGCATTCAACTCATAGAGTTGAACATTCCGTTTCAGAGAGCAGCTTTGAAGCACTCTTTTTGTAGTATGTGAAAGTGGATATTTGGAGCGCTGTGAGGCCTAAGGTGAAAAAGCAAATATCTTCCCGTAACCACTAGACAGAAACATTCTCAGAAACTCCTTTATGACGTGTGCACTCACCTAACAGAGAAGAACTTTCCTTTTGACAGAGCAGTTTTGATACACTCTTTTTGTAGAATCTGCAAGTGGATATTTGGATAGCTGTGAAGATTTCGTTGGAAACGGGAATATCTTCCTATAAAATCTAGACAGAAGCATTCTCAGAAACTGCTCTGTGATGTCTGCATTCAAGTCACAGAGTTGAACATTGCCTTTCATAGAGCAGGTTTGAAACACTCTTTTTGTAGTATATGCAAGTGGACGTTTCGGACGGTTTGAGGCCCATGGTGATAAAGGGAATATCTTCCCCTACAAGCTAGAAAGAAGCATTCTGTGAAACTTGTTTGTGATGTGTGTACTCAACTAACAGAGTTGAACCTTTCTTTTTACAGAGCAGTTTTGAAACACTCTTTTTGTAGAATCTGCGAGTGGATATTTGGATACATTTCAGGATTTCGTTGGAAACGGGAATATCTTCATATAAAATCTCGACAGAAGCATTCTCAGAAACTTCTTTGTGATATGTGCATTCAAGTCACAGAGTTGAATATTCCCTTTCGCAGAGTAGGTTTGAAACACTCTTTTTGTAGTATCTGGAAGTGGACATTTGGAGTGCCTTGACGCCTACGGTGAAAAGGGAAATATCTTCCCATAAAAACTAGACAGAAGCAATCTCAGAATCTTCTTTGGGATATATGCACGCAGCTAACAGAGTTGAACCTTTCTATGGACAGAGTAGTTTTGAAATAGTCTTTCTGTGGAATCTGCAAGTGGATATTTGGATAGCTTGGAGGATTTCGTTGGAAACGGGATTACGTATAAAAAGTAGACAGCAGCATTCTCAGAAACTGCTCTGTGATGTCTGCATTCAAGTCACAGTAGTTGAACATTCCCTTTCATACAGCAGTTTTGAAACACTCTTTCTGTAGTATCTGGAAGTGAACATTAGGACAGCTTTCAGGTCTATGGTGAGAAAGGAAATATCTTCAAATAAAAACTAGACAGAAGCATTCTCATAAACTTGTTTGTGATGTGTGAACTCAGCTAACAGAGGTGGATCTTTCTTTTGATAGAGCAGTTGTGAAAAACACTTTTTGTTGAATCTGCAAGTGGACATTTGGATAGATTTGAAGATTTCGTTGGAAACGGGAATATCTTCATATCAAATCTAGACAGAAGCATTCTCAGAAACGTCTTTGTGATGTTTGCATTCAACTCATAGAGTTGAACATTCAGCTTCAGAGAGCACCTTTTAAGCACTCTTTTTGTAGTATGTGCAAGTGGATATTTAGAGCGCTGTGAGGCCTACGGTGAAAAAGCAAATATCTTCCCATAACCACTAGACAGAAACATTCTCAGAAACTCCTTTATGACGTATGCACTCACCTAACAGAGAAGAACCTTCCTTTTGACAGAGCAGTTTTGATACACTCTTTTTGTAGAATCTGCAAGTGGATATTTGGATAGCTGTGAAGATTTCGATGGAATCGGGAATATCTTCCTACAAAATCTAGACAGAAGCATTCTCAGAAACTGCTCTGTGATGTCTGCATTCAAGTCACAGAGTTGAACATTGCCTTTCATAGAGCAGGTTTGAAATGCTCTTTTTGTAGTATATGGAAGTGGACTTATCGGACGGTTTGAGGCCCATGGTGATAAAGGGAATATCTTCCCCTACAAGCTAGAAAGAAGCATTGTGTGAAAGTTGTTTGTGATGTGTGTACTCAACTAACAGAGTTGAACCTTTCTTTTTACAGAGCAGTTTTGAAACACTCTTTTTGTAGAATCTGCGAGGGGATATTTGGATACATTTCAGGATTTCGTTGGAAACGGGAATATCTTCATATAAAATCTCGACAGAAGCATTCTCAGAAGCTTCTTTGTGATATGTGCATTCAAGTCACAGAGTTGAATATTCCCTTTCACAGAGTAGGTTTGAAACACTCTTTTTGTAGTATCTGGAAGTGGACATTTAGAGCGCCTTGACGCCTACGGTGAAAAGGGAAATATCTTCTCATAAAAAGTAGACAGAAGCAATCTCAGAATCTTCTTTGGGATATGTGCACGCAGCTAACAGAGTTGAACCTTTCTATTGACAGAGCAGTTTTGAAACAGTCTTTCTGTGGAATCTGCAAGTGGATATTTGGATAGCTTGGAGGATTTCGTTGGAAACGGGATTACGTATAAAAAGTAGACAGCAGCATCCTCAGAAACTTCTTTGTGATGTGTGCATTCAAGTCACAGAGTTCAACATTCCCTTTCGTACAGCAGTTTTGAAACACTCTTTCTGTAGTAACTGGAAGTGAACATTAGGACAGCTTTCAGGTCTATGGTGAGAAAGGAAATATCTTCAAATAAAAACTAGACAGAAGCATTTTCATAAACTTGTTTGTGATGTGTGAACTCAGCTAACAGAGGTGGATCTTTCTTTTGATAGAGCAGTTCTGAAAAACACTTTTTGTTGAATCTGCAAGTGGACATTTAGATAGATTTGAAGATTTCGTTGGAAACGGGAATATCTTCATATCAAATCTATACAGAAGCATTCTCAGAAACGTCTTTGTGATGTTTGCATTCAACTCATAGAGTTGAACATTCCGTTTCAGAGAGCAGCTTTGAGGCACACTTTTTGTAGTATGTGCAAGTGGATATTTGGAGAGCTCTGAGGCCTACGGTGAAAAAGCAAATATCTTCCCATAACCACTAGACAGAAACATTCTCAGAAACTCCTTTATGACGTATGCACTCACCTAACAGAGAACAACCTTCCTTTTGACAGAGCAGTTTTGATACACTCTTTTTGTAGAATCTGCAAGTGGATATTTGGATAGCTGTGAAGATTTCGTTGGAAACGGGAATATCTTCCTATAAAATCTAGACAGAAGCATTCTCAGAAACTTCTTTGTGATATCTGCATTCAAGTCACAGAGTTGAATATTCCGTTTCACAGAGTAGGTTTGAAACACTCTTTTTGTAGTATCTGGAAGTGGACATTTGGAGCGCCTTGACGCCTACGGTGAAAAGGGAAATATCTTCTCATAAAAAGTAGACACAAGCAATCTCAGAATCTTCTTTGGGATATATGCACGCAGCTAACAGAGTTGAACCTTTCTATTGACAGAGCAGTTTTGAAACAGTCTTTCTGTGGAATCTGCAAGTGGATATTTGCATAGCTTGGAGGATTTCGTTGGAAACGGGATTACGTATAAAAAGTAGACAGCAGCATCCTCAGAAACTTCTTTGTGATGTGTGCATTCAAGTAACAGAGTTGAACATTCCCTTTCGTACAGCAGTTTTGAAACACTCTTTCTGTAGTATCTGGAAGTGAACATTAGGACAGCTTTCAGGTCTATGGTGAGAAAGGAAATATCTTCAAATAAAAACTAGACAGAAGCATTCTCATAAACTTGTTTGTGATGTGTGAACTCAGCTAACAGAGGTGGATCTTTCTTTTGATAGAGCAGTTCTGAAAAACACTTTTTGTTGAATCTGCAAGTGGACATTTGGATAGATTTGAAGATTTCGTTGGAAACGAGAATATCTTCATATCAAATCTAGACAGAAGCATTCTCAGAAACGTCTTTGTGATGTTTGCATTCAACTCATAGAGTTGAACATTCCGTTTCAGAGAGCAGCTTTGAGGCACTCTTTTTGTAGTTTGTGCAAGTGGATATTTGGAGCGCTCTGAGGCCTACGGTGAAAAAGCAAATATCTTCCCATAACCACTAGACAGAAACATTCTCAGAAACTCCTTTATGACGTATGTACTCAACTAACAGAGAAGAACCTTCCTTTTGACAGAGCAGTTTTGATACACTCTTTTTGTAGAATCTGCAAGTGGATATTTGGATAGCTGTGAAGATTTCGTTTGAAACGGGAATATCTTCCTATAAAATCTAGACGGAAGCATTCTCAGAAACTGCTCTGTGATGTCTGCATTCAAGTCACAGAGTTGAACATTGCCTTTCATAGAGCAGGTTTGAAACGCTCTTTTTGTAGTATATGGAAGTGGACGTTTCGGACGGTCTGAGGCCCATGGTGATAAAGGGAATATCTTCCCCTACAAGCTAGAAAGAAGCATTCTGTGAAACTTGTTTGTGATGTGTGTACTCAACTAACAGAATTGAACCTTTCTTTTCACAGAGCAGTTTTGAAACACTCTTTTTGTAGAATCTGCGAGGGGATATTTGGATAGATTTCAGCATTTCGTTGGAAACGGGAATATCTTCATATAAAATCTCGACAGAAGCATTCTCAGAAACTTCTTTGTGATATGTGCATTCAAGTCACAGAGTTGAATATTCCCTTTCACAGAGTAGGTTTGAAACACTCTTTTTGAGGTATCTGGAAGTGGATATTTGGAGCGCCTTGACGCCTACGGTGAAAAGGGAAATATCTTCCCATAAAAACTAGACAGCAGAAATCTCAGAATCTTCTTTGGGATATATGCACGCAGCTAACAGAGTTGAACCTTTCTATTGACAGAGCAGTTTTGAAACAGTCTTTCTGTGGAATCTGCAATTGGATATTTGGATAGCTTGGAGGATTTCGTTGGAAACGGGATTACGTATAAAAAGTAGACAGCAGCATCCTCAGAAACTTCTTTGTGATGTGTGCATTCAAGTCACAGAGTTGAACTTCCCTTTCGTACAGCAGTTTTGAAACACTCTTTCTGTAGTAACTGGAAGTGAACATTAGGACAGCTTTCAGGTCTATGGTGAGAAAGGAAATATCTTCAAATAAAAACTAGACAGAAGCATTCTCATAAACTTGTTTGTGATGTGTGAACTCAGCTAACAGAGGTGGATCTTTCTTTTGATGGAGCAGTTCTGAAAAACACTTTTTGTTGAATCTGCAAGTGCACATTTGGATAGATTTGAAGATTTCGTTGGAAACGGGAATATCTTCATATCAAATCTAGACAGAAGCATTCTCAGAAACGTCTTTGTGATGTTTGCATTCAACTCATAGAGTTGAACATTCCGTTTCAGAGACCAGCTTTGAAGCACTCTTTTTGTAGTATGTGCAAGTGGATATTTGGAGCGCTCTGTGGCCTACGGTGAAAAAGCAAATATCTTCCCATAACCACTAGACAGAAACATTCTCAGAAACTCCTTTATGACGTATGCACTCACCTAACAGAGAAGAACCTTCCTTTTGACAGAGCAGTTTTGATACACTCTTTTTGTTGAATCTGCAAGTGGATATTTGGATAGCTGTGAAGATTTCGTTGGAAACGGGAATATCTTCCTATAAAATCTAGACAGAAGCATTCTCAGCAAACTGCTCTGTGATGTCTGCATTCAAGTCACAGAGTTGAACATTGTCTTTCATAGAGCAGGTTTGAAGCGTTCTTTTTGTAGTATATGGAAGTGGACGTTTCGGACGGTTTGAGGCCCATGGTGATAAAGGGAATATCTTCCCCTACAAGCTAGAAAGAAGCATTCTGTGAAACTTGTTTCTGATGTGTGTACTCAACTAACAGAGTTGAACCTTTCTTTTTACAGAGCAGTTTTGAAACACTCTTTTTGTAGAATCTGCGAGGGGATATTTGGATAGATTTCAGGATTTTGTTGGAAACGGGAATATCTTCATATAAAATCTCGACAGAAGCATTCTCAGAAACTTCTTTGTGATATCTGCATTCAAGTCACAGAGTTGAATATTCCCTTTCACAGAGTAGGTTTGAAACACTCTTTTTGTAGTATCTGGAAGTGGACATTTGGAGCGCCTTGACGCCTATGGTGAAAAGGGAAATATCTTCCCATAAAAACTAGACAGAAGCAATCTCAGAATCTTCTTTGGGATATATGCACGCAGCTAACAGAGTTGAACCTTTCTATTGACAGAGCAGTATTGAAACAGTCTTTTTGTGAAATCTGCAAGTGGATATTTGGATAGCTTGGAGGATTTCGTTGGAAACGGGATTACGTATAAAAAGTAGACAGCAGCATCCTCAGAAACTTCTTTGTGATGTGTGCATTCAAGTCACAGAGTTGAACATTCCCTTTCGTACAGCAGTTTTAAAACACTCTTTCTGTAGTATCTGGAAGTGAACATTAGGACAGCTTTCAGGTCTATGGTGAGAAAGGAAATATCTTCAAATAAAAACTACACAGAAGCATTCTCATAAACTTGTTTGTGATGTGTGAACTCAGCTAACAGAGGTGGATCTTTCTTTTGATAGAGCAGTTCTGAAAAACACTTTTTGTAGAATCTGCAAGTGGACATTTGGATAGATTTGCAGATTTCGTTGGTAACGGGAATATCTTCATATCAAATCTAGACAGAAGCATTCTCAGAAACGTCTTTGTGATGTTTGCATTCAACTCATAGAGTTGAACATTCCGTTTCAGAGAGCAGGTTTGAAGCAATCTTTTTGTAGTATGTGCAAGTGGACATTTGGAGCGCTCTGAGGCCTACGGTGAAAAAGCAAATATCTTCCCATAACCACTAGACAGAAACATTCTCAGAAACTCCTTTATGACGTATGCACTCACCTAACAGAGAAGAACCTTCCTTTTGACTGAGCAGTTTGATACACTCTTTTTGTAGAATCTGAAAGTGGATATTTGGATAGCTGTGAAGATTTCGTTGGAAACGGGAATATCTTCCTATAAAATCTAGACAGAAGCATTCTCAGAAACTGCTCTGTGATGTCTGCATTCAACTCACAGAGTTGAACATTGCCTTTCATAGAGCAGGTTTGAAACACTCTTTTTGTAGTAAATGGAAGTGGACGTTTCGGACGGTTTGAGGCCCATGGTGATAAAGGGAATATCTTCCCCTACAAGCTAGAAAGAAGCAATCTCAGAATTTTCTTTGGGATATACGCACACAGCTAACAGAGTTGAACTTTTCTATTGACATAGCAGTTTTGAAACAGTCTTTCTGTGGAATCTGCAAGTAGATATTTTGATAGCTTGGAGGATTTCGTTGGAAACGGGATTACGTATAAAAATTAGACAGCAGCATCCTCAGAAACTTCTTTGTGAAGTTTCTGCATTCTAGTCACAGAGTTGAACATTCCCTTTCGTACAGCAGTTTTGTATCTGGAAGTGGACATTTGGAGCGCCTTGACACCTACGGTGAAAAGGGAAATATCTTCCCATAAAAACTAGACAGAAGCAATCTCAGAATCTTCTTTGGGATATATGCACGCAGCTAACAGAGTTGAACCTTTCTATTGACAGAGCAGTTTTGAAACAGTCTTTCTGTGGAATCTGCAAGTGGATATTTGGATAGCTTGGAGGATTTCTTTGGAAACGGGATTACGTGTAAAAAGTAGACAGCAGCATCCTCAGAAACATCCTTGTGATGTGTGCATTCAAGTCACAGAGTTGAACATTCCCTATCGTACAGCAGTTTTGAAACACTCTTTCTGTAGTATCTGGAAGTGAACTTTAGGACAGCTTTCAGGTCTATAGTGAGAAAGGATATATCTTCAAATAAAAACTAGACAGAAGCATTCTCATAAACTTGTTTGTGATGTGTGAACTCAGCTAACAGAGGTGGATCTTTCTTTTGATAGAGCAGTTCTGAAAAACACTTCTTGTTGAATCTGCAAGTGGACATTTGGATAGATTTGAAGATTTCATTGGAAACGGGAATATCTTCATATCAAATCTAGACAGAAGCATTCTCAGAAACGTCTTTGTCATGTTTGCATTCAACTCATAGAGTTGAACATTCCCTTTCAGAGAGCAGCTTTGAAACACTCTTTTTGAAGTATGTGCAAGTGGATATTTGGAGCGCTCTGAGGCCTACGCTGAAAAAGCAAATATCTTCCCATAACCACTAGACAGAAACATTCTCAGAAACTCCTTTATGACGTATGGCACTCACCTAACAGAAAAGAACCTTCCTTTTGACAGAGCAGTTTTGATACACTCTTTTTGTAGAATCTGCAAGTGGATATTTGGATAGCTGTGAAGATTTCGTTGGAAACGGGAATATCTTCCTATAAAATCTAGACAGAAGCATTCTCAGAAACTGCTCTGTGATGTCTGCATTCAAGTCACAGAGTTGAACATTGCCTTTCATAGAGCAGGTTTGAAACACTCTTTTTGTAGTATATGGAAGTGGACATTTCGGAAGGTTTGAGGCCCATGGTGATAAAGGGAATATCTTCCCCTACAAGCTAGAAAGAAGCATTCTGTGAAACTTGTTTGTGATGTGTGTACTGAACTAACAGAGTTGAACCTTTCTTTTTACAGAGCAGTTTTGAAACACTCTTTTTGTAGAATCTGCGAGGGGATATTTGGAGAGATTTCAGGATTTCGTTGGAAACGGGAATATCTTCATATAAAATCTCGACAGAAGCATTCTCAGAAACATCTTTGTGATATCTGCATTCAAGTCACAGAGTTGCATATTCCCTTTCACAGAGTAGGTTTTAAACACTCTTTTTGTAGTATCTGGAAGTGGACATTTGGAGTGCCTTGACGTCTACGGTGAAAAGGGAAATATCTTCCCATAAAAACTAGACAGAAGCAATCTCAGAATTTTCTTTGGGATATATGCACACAGCTAACAGAGTTGAACTTTTCTATTGACATAGCAGTTTTGAAACAGTCTTTCTGTGGAATCTGCAAGTGGATATTTGGATAGCTTGGAGGATTTCGTTGGAAACGGGATTACGGTATAAAAAGTAGACAGCAGCATCCTCAGGAACTTCTTTGTGATGTGTGCATTCAAGTCACAGAGTTGAACATTCCCTTCCGTACAGCAGTTTTGAAACACTCTTTCTGTAGTATCTGGAAGTGAACATTAGGACAGCTTTCAGGTCTATGGTGAGAAAGGAAATATCTTCAAATAAAAACTAGACAGAAGCATTCTCATAAACTTGTTTGTGATGTGTGAACTCAGCTAACAGAGGTGGATCTTTCTTTTGATACAGCAGTTCTGAAAAACACTTTTTGTTGAATCTGCAAGTGGACATTAGGATAGATTTGAAGATTTCGTTGGAAACGGGAATATCTTCATATCAAATCTAGACAGAAGCATTCTCAGAAACGTCTTTGTGATGTTTGCATTCAACTCATAGAGTTGAACATTCCGTTTCAGAGAGCAGCTTTGAAGCACTCTTTTTGTAGTATGTGCAAGTGGATATTTGGAGCGCTGTGAGGCCTAAGGTGAAAAAGCAAATATCTTCCCGTAACCACTAGACAGAAACATTCTCAGAAACTCCTTTATGACGTATGCACTCACCTAACAGAGAAGAACCTTCCTTGTGACAGAGCAGTTTTGATACACTTTTTTTGTAGAATCTGCAAGTGGATATTTGGATAGCTGTGAAGATTTCGTTGGAAACGGGAATATCTTCCTATAAAATCTAGACAGAAGCATTCTCAGAAACTGCTCTGTGATGTCTGCATTCAAGTCACAGAGTTGAACATTGCCTTTCCTAGAACAGGTTTGAAACGCTCTTTTTGTAGTATATGGAAGTGGACGTTTCGGACGGTTTGAGGCCCATGCTGATAAAGGGAATATCTTCCCCTACAAGATAGAAAGAAGCATTCTGTGAAACTAGTTTGTGATGTGTGTACTCAACTAACAGAGTTGAACCTTTCTTTTTACAGAGCAGTTTTGAAACACTCTTTTTGTAGAATCTGCGAGGGGATATTTGGATACATTTCAGCATTTCGTTGGAAACGGGAATATCTTCATATAAAATCTCGACAGAAGCATTCTCAGAAACTTCTTTGTGATATCTGCATTCAAGTCACAGAGTTGAATATTCCCTTTCACAGAGTAGGTTTGAAACACTCTTTTTGTAGTATCTGGAAGTGGACATTTGGAGCGCCTTGACGCCTACGGTGAAAAGGGAAATATCTTCCCATTAAAACTAGAGAGAAGCAATCTCAGAATCTTCTTTGGGATATATGCACTCAGCTAACAGAGTTGAACCTTTCTATTGACAGAGCAGTTTTGAAACAGTCTTTCTGTGGAATCTGCAAGTGGATATTTGGATAGCTTGGAGGATTTCGTTGGAAACGGGATTACGTATAAAAAGTAGACAGCAGCATCCTCCGAAACTTCTTTGTGATGTGTGCATTCAAGTCACAGAGTTGAACATTCCTTTTCGTACAGCAGTTTTGAAACACTCTTTCTGTAGTATCTGGAAGTGAACATTAGGACAGCTTTCAGGTCTATGGTGAGAAAGGAAATATCTTCAAATAAAAACTAGACAGAAGCATTCTCATAAACTTGTTTGTGATGTGTGAACTCAGCTAACAGAGGTGGATCTTTCTTTTGATAGAGCAGTTCTGAAAAACACTTTTTGTTGAATCTGCAAGTGGACATTTGGATAGATTTGAAGATTTCGTTGGAAACGGGAATATCTTCATATCAAATCTAGAAAGAAGCATTCTCAGAAACGTCTTTGTGATGTTTGCATTCAACTCATAGAGTTGAACATTCCCTTTCAGAGAGCAGCTTTGAAGCACTCTTTTTGTAGCATGTGTAAGTGGACATTTGGAGCGCCCTGAGGCCTACGGGGAAAAAGGAAATATCTTCCCATAACCACTAGAGAGAAACATTCTCAGAAACTCCTTTATGACGTATGTACTCAACTGACAGAGAAGAACCTTCCTTTTGACAGAGCAGTTTTGATACACTCTTTTTGTAGAATCTGCAAGTGGATATTTGGATAGCTGTGAAGATTTCGTTGGAAACGGGAATATCTTCCTATAAAATCTAGACAGAAGCATTCTCAGAAACTGCTCTGTGATGTCTGCATTCAAGTCACAGAGTTGAACATTGCCTTTCCTAGAGCAGGGTTGAAACGCTCTTTTTGTAGTATATGGAAGTGGACGTTTCGGACGGTTTGAGGCCCATGGTGATAAAGGGAATATCTTCCCCTACAAGCTAGAAAGAAGCATTCTGTGAAACTTGTTTGTGATGTGTGTACTCAACTAACAGAGTTGAACCTTTCTTTTTACAGAGCAGTTTTGAAACACTCTTTTTGTAGAATCTGCGAGGGGATATTTCGATAGATTTCAGGATTTCGTTGGAAACGGTAATATCTTCATATAAAATCTCGACAGAAACATTCTCAGAAACTTCATTGTGATATCTGCATTCAAGTCACAGAGTTGAATATTCCCTTTCAGAGAGTAGGTTTGAAACACTCTTTTTGTAGTATCTGGAAGTGGACATTTGGAGCGCCTTGACACCTACGGTGAAAAGGGAAATATCTTCCCATAAAAACGAGACAGAAGCAATCTCAGAATCTTCTTTGGGATATATGCACGCAGCTAACAGAGTTGAACCTTTCTATTGACAGAGCAGTTTTGTAACAGTCTTTCTGTGGAATCTGCAAGTGGATATTTGGATAGCTTGGAGGATTTCGTTGGAAACGGGATTACCTATAAAAAGTAGACAGCAGCATCCTCAGAAACTTCTTTGTGATGTGTGCATTCAAGTCACAGAGTTAAATATTCCCTTTCGTACAGCAGTTTTGAAAAACTCTTTCTGTAGTATCTGGAAGTGAACATTAGGACAGCATTCAGGTCTATGGTGAGAAAGGAAATATCTTCAAATAAAAACTAGACAGAAGCATTCTCATAAACTTGTTTGTGATGTGTGAACTCAGCTAACAGAGGTGGATCTTTCTTTTGATAGAGCAGTTCTGAAAAACACTTTTTGTTGAATCTGCAAGTGGACATTTGGATAGATTTGAAGATTTCGTTGGAAACGGGAATATCTTCATATCAAATCTAGACAAAAAGCATTCTCAGAAACGTCTTTGTGATGTTTGCATTCAACTCATAGAGTTGAACATTCCCTTCCAGAGAGTAGCTTTGAAGCACTCTTTTTGTAGCATGTGCAAGTGGACATTTGGAGCGCCCTGAGGCCTACGGGGAAAAAGCAAATATCTTCCCATAACCACTAGACAGAAACATTCTCAGAAACTCCTTTATGACGTATGCACTCACCTAACAGAGAAGAACCTTCCTTTTGACAGAGCAGTTTTGATACACTCTTTTTGTAGAATCTGCCAGTGGATATTTGGATAGCTGTGAAGATTTCGTTGGAAACGGGAATATCTTCATATCAAATCTAGACAGAAAGCATTCTCAGAAACTGCTCTGTGATGTCTGCATTCAAGTCACAGAGTTGAACATTGCCTTTCATAGAGCAGGTTTGAAACGCTCTTTTTGTAGTATATGGAAGTGGACTTATCGGACGGTTTGAGGCCCATGGTGATAAAGGGAATATCTTCCCCTACAAGCTAGAAAGAAGCATTCTGTGAAACTTGTTTGTGAAGTGTGTACTCAACTAACAGAGTTGAACCTTTCTTTTTACAGAGCAGTTTTGAAACACTCTTTTTGTAGAATCTGCGAGGGGATATTTGGATAGATTTCAGGATTTCATTGGAAACGGGAATATCTTCATATAAAATCTCGACAGAAGCATTCTCAGAAACTTCTTTGTGATATGTGCATTCAAGTCACAGAGTTGAATATTCCCTTTCACAGAGTAGGTTTGAAACACTCTTTTTGTAGAATCTGGAAGTGGACATTTGGAGCGCCTTGACACCTACGGTGAAAAGGGAAATATCTTCCCATAAAAACTAAACAGAAGCAATCTCAGAATTTTCTTTGGGATATATGCACACAGCTAACAGAGTTGAACTTTTCTATTGACAGAGCAGTTTTGAAACAGTCTTTCTGTGGAATCTGCAAGTGGATATTTGGATAGCTTGGAGGATTTCGTTGGAAACAGGATTACGTATAAAAAGTAGACAGCAGCATCCTCAGAAACTTCTTTGAGATGTGTGCATTCAAGTCACAGAGTTGAACATTCCCTTTCGTACAGCAGTTTTGAAACACTCTTTCTGTAGTATCTGGAAGTGAACATTAGGACAGCTTTCAGCTCTATGGTGAGAAAGGAAATATCTTCAAATAAAAACTAGACAGAAGCATTCTCATAAACTTGTTTGTGATGGGTGAACTCAGCTAACAGAGGTGGATCTTTCTTTTGATAGAGCAGTTCTGAAAAACACTTTTTGTTGAATCTGCAAGTGGACATTTGGATAGATTTGAAGATTTCGTTGGAAACGGGAATACCTTCATATCAAATCTAGACAGAAGCATTCTCAGAAACGTATTTGTGATGTTTGCATTCAACTCACAGAGTTGAACATTCCCTTTCAGAGCGCAGCTTTGAAGCACTCTTTTTGTAGTATGTGCAAGGGGATATTTGGAGCGCTCTGAGGCCTACGGTGAAAAAGCAAATATCTTCCCATAACCACTAGACAGAAACATTCTCAGAAACTCCTTTATGACGTATGTACTCAACTAACAGAGAAGAACCTTCCTTTTGACAGAGCAGTTTTGATACACTCTTTTTGTAGAATCTGCAAGTGGATATTTGGATAGCTGTGAAGGTTTCGTTGGAAACGGGAATATCTTCCTATAAAATCTAGACAGAAGCATTCTCAGAAACTGCTCTGTGATGTCTGCATTCAAGTCACAGAGTTGAACATTGCCTTTCATAGAGCAGGTTTGAAACGCTCTTTTTGTAGTATATGGAAGTGGACTTTTCGGACAGTTTGAGGCCCATGGTGATAAAGGGAATATCTTCCCCTACAAGCTAGAAAGAAGCATTCTGTGAAACTTGTTTGTGATGTGTGTACTCAACTAAGAGAGTTGAACCTTTCTTTTCACAGAGCAGTTTTGAAACACTCCTTTTGTAGAATCTGCGAGGGGATATTAGGATAGATTTCAGGATTTCGTTGGAAACGGGAATATCTTCATACAAAATCTCGACAGAAGCATTCTCAGAAACTTCTTTGTGATATGTGCATTCAAGTCACAGAGTTGAATATTCCCTTTCACAGAGTAGGTTTGAAGCACTCTTTTTGTAGTATCTGGAAGTGGACATTTGGAGCGCCTTGACACCTACGGTGAAAAGGGAAATATCTTCCCATAAAAACTAGACAGAAAGCAATCTCAGAATCTTCTTTGGGATATATGCACGCAGCTAACAGAGTTGAACCTTTCTATTGACAGAGCAGTTTTGAAACAGTCTTTCTGTGGAATCTGTAAGTGGATATTTGGATAGCTTGGAGGATTTCGTTGGTAACGGGATTACGTATAAAAATTAGACAGCAGCATCCTCAGAAACTTCTTTGTGATGTGTGCATTCAAGTCACAGAGTTGAACATTCCCTTTCGTACAGCAGTTTTGAAACACTCTTTCTGTAGTATCTGGAAGTGAACATTAGGACAGCTTTCAGGTCTATCGTGAGAAAGGAAATATCTTCAAATAAAAACTAGACAGAAGCATTCTCATAAACCTGTTTCTGATGTGTGAACTCAGCTAACAGAGGTGGATCTTTCTTTTGATAGAGCAGTTCTGAAAAACACTTTTTGTTGAATCTGCAAGTGGACATTTGGATAGATTTGAAGATTTCGTTGGAAACGGGAATATCTTCATATCAAATCTAGACGGAAGCATTCTCAGAAACGTTTTTGTGATGTTTGCATTCAACTCATAGAGTTGAACATTCCGTTTCAGAGAGCAGCTTTGAAGCACTCTTTTTGTAGTATGTGCAAGTGGATATTTGGAGCGCTCTGAGGCCTACGGTGAAAAAGCAAATATCTTCCCATAACCACTAGACAGAAACATTCTCAGAAACTCCTTTATGACGTGTGCACTCACCTAACAGAGAAGAACCTTCCTTTTGAAAGAGCAGTTTTGATACACTCTTTTTGTAGAATCTGCAAGTGGATATTTGGATAGCTGTGAAGATTTCGTTGGAAACGGGAATATCTTCCTATAAAATCTAGACAGAAGCATTCTCAGAAACTGCTCTGTGATGTCTGCATTCAAGTCACAGAGTTGAACATTGCCTTTCATAGAGCAGGTTTGAAACGCTCTTTTTGTAGTATATGGAAGTGGACTTTTTGGACGGTTTGAGGCCCATGGTGATAAAGGGAATATCTTCCCCTACAAGCTAGAAAGAAGCATTCTGTGAAACTTGTTTGTGATGTGTGTACTCAACTAACAGAGTTGAACCTTTCTTTTTACAGAGCAGTTTTGAAACACTCTTTTTGTAGAATCTGTGAGGGGATATTTGGATAGATTTCAGGATTTCGTTGGAAACGGGAATATCTTCATAGAAAATCTCGACAGAAGCATTCTCAGAAACTTCTTTGTGATATGTGCATTCAAGTCACAGAGTTCAATATTCCCTTTCACAGAGTAGGTTTGAAACACTCTTTTTGTAGTATCTGGAAGTGGACATTTGGAGCGCCTTGACGCCTACGGTGAAAAGGGAAATATCTTCCCATAAAAACTAGACAGAAGCAATCTCAGAATCTTCTTTGGGATATATGCACGCAGCTAACAGAGTTGAACCTTTCTATTGACAGAGCAGTTTTGAAACAGTCTTTCTGTGGAATCTCCAAGTGGATATTTGGATAGCTTGGAGGATTTCGTTGGAAACGGGATTACGTATAAAAAGTAGACAGCAGCATCCTCAGAAACTTCTTTGTGATGTGTGCATTCAAGTCACAGAGTTGAACATTCCCTTTCGTACAGCAGTTTTGAAACACTCTTTCTGTAGTATCTGGAAGTGAACATTAGGACAGCTTTCAGGTCTATGGTGAGGAAGGAAATATCTTCAAATAAAAACTAGGCAGAAGCATTCTCATAAACTTGTTTTGATGTCTGAACTCAGCTAACAGAGGTGGATCTTTCTTTTGATAGAGCAGTTCTGAAAAACACTTTTTGTTGAATCTGCAAGTGGACATTTGGATAGATTTGAAGATTTCGTTGGAAACGGGAATATCTTCATATCAAATCTAGACAGAAGCATTCTCAGAAACGTCTTTGTGATGTTTGCATTCAACTCATAGAGTTGAACATTCCCTTTGAGAGAGCAGCTTTGAAGCACTCTTTTTGTAGCATGTGCAAGTGGACATTTGGAGCGCCCTGAGGCCTACGGGGAAAAAGCAAATATCTTCCCATAACCACTAGACAGAAACATTCTCAGAAACTCCTTTATGACGTATGTACTCAACTAACAGAGAAGAACCTTCCTTTTGACAGAGCAGTTTTGATACACTCTTTTTGTAGAATCTGCAAGTGGATATTTGGATAGCTTTGAAGATTTCGTTGGAAACGGGAATATCTTCCTATAAAATCTAGACAGAAGCATTCTCAGAAACTGCTCTGTGATGTCTGCATTCAAGTCACAGAGTTGAACATTGCTTTTCCTAGAGCAGGTTTGAAACGCTCTTTTTGTAGTATATGGAAGTGGACGTTTCGGACGGTTTGAGGCCCATGGTGATAAAGGGAATATCTTCCCCTACAAGCTAGAAAGAAGCATTCTGTGAAACTTCTTTGTGATGTGTGTAGTCAAGTAACAGAGTTGAACCTTTCTTTTTACAGAGCAGTTTTGAAACACTCTTTTTGTAGAATCTGCGAGGGGATATTTGGATAGATTTCAGGATTTCGTTGGAAACGGGAATATTTTCATATAAAATCTCGACAGAAGCATTCTCAGAAACTTCTTTATGATATCTGCATTCAAGTCACAGAGTTGAATATTCCCTTTCACAGAGTAGGTTTGAAACACTCTTTTTGTAGTATCTGGAAGTGGACATTTGGAGCGCCTTGACCCCTACGGTGAAAAGGGAAATATCTTCCCATAAAAACTAGACAGAAGGAATCTCAGAATCTTCTTTGGGATATATGCACGCAGCTAACAGAGTTGAACCTTTCTATTGACAGAGCAGTTTAGAAACAGTCTTTCTTTGGAATCTGCAAGTGGATATTTGGATAGCTTGGAGGATTTCGTTGGAAACGGGATTACGTATAAAAAGTAGACAGCAGCATCCTCAGAAACTTCTTTGTGATGTGTGCATTCAAGTCACAGAGTTGAACATTCCCTTTCGTACAGCAGTTTTGAAACTCTCTTTCTGTAGTATCTGGAAGTGAACATTAGGACAGCTTTCAGCTCTATGGTGAGAAAGGAAATATCTTCAAATAAAAACTAGACAGAAGCATTCTCATCAACTTCTTTGTGATGTGTGAACTCAGCTAACAGAGGTGGATCTTTCTTTTGATAGAGCAGTTCTGAAAAACACTTTTTGTTGAATCTGCAAGTGGACATTTGTATAGATTTGAAGATTTCGTTGGAAACGGGAATATCTTCATATCAAATCTAGACAGAAGCATTCTCAGAAACGTCTTTGTCATGTTTGCATTCAACTCATAGAGTTGAACATTCCCTTTCAGAGAGCAGCTTTGAAACACTCTTTTTGTAGTATGTGCAAGTGGATATTTGGAGCGCTCTGAGGCCTAAGGTGAAAAAGCAAATATCTTCCCATAACCACTAGACAGAAACATTCTCAGAAACTCCTTTATGACGTATGCACTCACCTAACAGAAAAGAAACTTCCTTTTGACAGAGCAGTTTTGATACACTCTTTTTGTAGAATCTGCAAGTGGATATTTGGATAGCTGTGAAGATTTCGTTGGAAACGGGAATATCTTCCTATAAAATCTAGACAGAAGCATTCTCAGAAACTGCTCTGTGATGTCTGCATTCAAGTCAGAGAGTTGAACATTGCCTTTCACAGAGGAGGTATGAAACGCTCTTTTCGTAATATATGGAAGTGGACGTTTCGGACGGCTTGAGGCCCATGGAGATAAAGGAAATATCTTCCCCTACAAGCTAGAAAGAAGCATTCTGTGAAACTTGTTTGTGTTGTGTGTACTCAACTAACAGAGTTGAACCTTTCTTTTTACGGAGCAGTTTTGAAACACTCTTTTTGTAGAATCTACGAGGGGATATTTGGATAGATTTCAGGATTTCGTTGGAAACGGGAATATCTTCATATAAAATCTCGACAGAAGCATTCTCAGAAACTTCATTGTGATATCTGCATTCAAGTCACAGAGTTGAATATTCCCTTTCAGAGAGTAGGTTTGAAACACTCTTTTTGTAGTATCTGGAAGTGGACATTTGGAGCGCCTTGACACCTACGGTGAAAAGGGAAATATCTTCCCATAAAAACTAGACAGAAGCAATCTCAGAATCTTCTTTGGGATATATGCACGCAGCTAACAGAGTTGAAACTTTCTATTGACAGAGCAGTTTTGAAACAGTCTTTCTGTGGAATCTGCAAGTGGATATTTGGATAGCTTGGAGGATTTCGTTGGAAACGGGATTACGTATAAAAAGTAGACAGCAGCATCCTCAGAAACTTCCTTGTGATGTGTGCATTCAAGTCACAGAGTTGAACATTCCCTTTCGTACAGCAGTTTTGAAACACTCTTTCTGTAGTATCTGGAAGTGAACTTTAGGAGAGCTTTCAGGTCTATAGTGAGAAAGGATATATCTTCAAATAAAAACTAGACAGAAGCATTCTCATAAACTTGTTTGTGATGTGTGAACTCAGCTAACAGAGGTGGATCTTTCTTTTGATAGAGCAGTTCTGAAAAACACTTTTTGTTGAATCTGCAGGTGGACATTTGGATAGATTTGAAGATTTCGTTGGAAACGGGAATATCTTCATATCAAATCTAGACAGAAGCATTCTCAGAAACATCTTTGTGATGTTTGCATTCAACTCATAGAGTTGAACATTCCCTTTCAGAGAGCAGCTTTGAAGCACTCTTTTTGTAGTATGTGCAAGTGGATATTTGGAGCGCTCTGAGGCCTACGGTGAAAAAGCAAATATCTTCCCATAACCACTAGACAGAAACATTCTCAGAAACTCCTTTATGACGTATGTACTCAACTAACAGAGAAGAACCTTCCTTTTGACAGAGCAGTTTTGATACACTCTTTTTGTAGAATCTGCAAGTGGATATTTGGATAGCTGTGTAGATTTCGTTGGAAATGGGAATATCTTCCTATAAAATCTAGACAGAAGCATTCTCAGAAACTGCTGTGTGATGTCTGCATTCAAGACACAGAGTTGAACATTGCCTTTCATAGAGCAGGTTTGAAACGCTCTTTTTGTAGTATATGGAAGTGGACGTTTCGGACGGTTTGAGGCCCATGGTGATACAGCGAATATCTTCCCCTACCAGCTAGAAAGAAGCATTCTGTGAAACTTGTTTGTGATGTGTGTACTCAACTAACAGAGTTGAACCTTTCTTTTTACAGAGCAGTTTTGAAACAGTCTTTTTGTAGAATCTGCGAGGGGATATTTTGATAGATTTCAGGATTTCGTTGGAAACGGGAATATCTTCATATAAAATCTCGACAGAAGCATTCTCAGAAACTTCCTTGTGATATGTGCATTCAAGTCACAGAGTTGAATATTCCCTTTCACAGAGGAGGTTTGAAACACTCTTTTTGTAGTATCTGGAAGTGGACATTTGGAGCGCCTTGACGCCTACGGTGAAAAGGGAAATATCTTCCCATAAAAACTAGACAGAAGCAATCTCAGAATCTTCTTTGGGATATATGCATGCAGCTAACAGAGTTGAACCTTTCTATTGACAGAGCAGTTTTGAAACAGTCTTTCTGTGGAATCTGCAAGTGGATATTTGGATAGCTTGGAGGATTTCGTTGGAAACGGGATTACCGTATAAAAAGTAGACAGCAGCATCCTCAGAAACTTCTTTGTGATGTGTGCATTCAAGTCACAGAGTTGAACATTCCCTTTCGTACAGCAGTTTTGAAACACTCTTTCTGTAGTATCTGGAAGTGAACATTAGGACAGCTTTCAGGTCTATGGTGAGAAAGGAAATATCTTCAAAAAAAACTGGACAGAAACATTCTCATAAACTTGTTTGTGATGTGTGAACTCAGCTAACAGAGGTGGATCTTTCTTTTGATAGAGCAGTTCTGAAAAACACTTTTTGTTGAATCTGCAAGTGGACATTTGGATAGATTTGAAGATTTCGTTGGAAATGGGAATATCTTCATATCAAATCTAGACAGAAGCATTCTCAGAAACGTCTTTGTGATGTTTGCATTCAACTCATAGAGTTGAACATTCCGTTTCAGAGACCAGCTTTGAAGCACTCTTTTTGTAGTATGTGCAAGTGGATATTTGGAGCGCTCTGAGGCCTACGGTGAAAAAGCAAATATCTTCCCATAACCTCTAGACAGAAACATTCTCAGAAACTCCTTTATGACGTATGCACTCACCTAACAGAAAAGAACCTTCCTTTTGACAGAGCAGTTTTGATACACTCTTTTTGTAGAATCTGCAAGTGGATATTTGGATAGCTGTGAAGATTTCGTTGGAAACGGGAATATCTTCCTATAAAATCTAGACAGAAGCATTCTCAGAAACTGCTCTGTGATGTCTGCATTCAAGTCACAGAGTTGAACATTGCCTTTCATAGAGCAGGTTTGAAATGCTCTTTTTGTAGTATATGGAAGTGGACTTTTCGGACGGTTTGAGGCCCATGGTGACAAAGGGAATATCTTCCCCTACAAGCTAGAAAGAAGCATTCTGTGAAACTTGTTTGTGATGTGTGCACTCAACTAACAGAGTTGAACCTTTCTTTTTACAGAGCAGTTTTGAAACACTCTTTTTGTAGAATCTGCGAGGGGATATTTGGATAGATTTCAGGATTTCGTTGGAAACGGGAATATCTTCATAGAAAATCTCGACAGAAGCATTCTCAGAAACTTCTTTGTGATATGTGCATTCAAGTCACAGAGTTGAATATTCCCTTTCACAGAGTAGGTTTGAAACACTCTTTTTGTAATATCTGGAAGTGGACATTTGGAGCGCCTTGACGCCTACGGTGAAAAGGGAAATATCTTCCCATAAAAACTAGACAGAAGCAATCTCAGAAACTTCTTTGGGATATATGCACGCAGCTAACAGAGTTGAACCTTTCTATTGACTGAGCAGATTTGAAACAGTCTTTCTGTGGAATCTGCAAGTGGATATTTGGATAGATTGGAGGATTTCGTTGGAAACGGGATTACGTATAAAAAGTAGACAGCAGCATCCTCAGAAACTTCTTTGTGATGTGTGCATTCAAGTCACAGAGTTGAACATTCCCTTTCGTACAGCAGTTTTGAAACGCTCTTTCTGTAGTATCTGGAAGTGAACATAAGGACAGCTTTCAGGTCTATGGTGAGAAAGGAAATATCTTCAAATAAAAACTAGACAGAAGCATTCTCATAAACTTGTTTGTGATGTGTGAACTCAGCTAACAGAGGTGGATCTTTCTTTTGATAGAGCAGTTCAGAAAAACACTTTTTGTTGAATCTGCAAGTGGACATTTGGATAGATTTGAAGATTTCGTTGGAAACGGGAATATCTTCATATCAAATCTAGACAGAAGCATTCTCAGAAACGTCTTTGTGATGTTTGCATTCAACTCATAGAGTTGAACATTCCGTTTCAGAGAGCAGCTTTGAAGCACTCTTTTTGTAGTATGTGCAAGTGGATATTTGGAGCGCTCTGAGGCCTAAGGTGAAAAAGCAAATATCTTCCCGTAACCACTAGACAGAAAAATTCTCAGAAACTCCTTTATGACGTATGCACTCACCTAACAGAGAAGAACCTTCCTTTTCACAGAGCAGTTTTGATACACTCTTTTTGTAGAATCTGCAAGTGGATATTTGGATAGCTGTGAAGATTTCGTTGGAAACGAGAATATCTTCCTATAAAATCTAGACAGAAGTATTCTCAGAAACTGCTCTGTGATGTCTGCATTCAAGTCACAGAGTTGAACATTGCCTTTCATAGAGGAGGTTTCAAACACTCTTTTTTTAGTATATGGAAGTGGACGTTTCGGACGGTTTGAGGCCCATGGTGATAAAGGAAATATCTTCCCCTACAAGCTAGAAAGAAGCATTCTGTGAAACTTGTTTGTGATGTGTGTACTCAAGTAACAGAGTTGAACCTTTCTTTTTACAGAGCAGTTTTGAAACACTCTTTCTGTAGAATCTGCGAGGGGATATTTGGATAGATTTCAGGATTTCTTTGGAAACGGGAATATCTTCATATAAAATCTCGACAGAAACATTCTCAGAAACTTCTTTGTGATATGTGCATTCAAGTCACAGAGTTGAATATTCCCTTTCACAGAGTAGGTTTGAAACACTCTTTTTGTAGTATCTGGAAGTGGACATTTGGAGCGCCTTGACGCCTACGGTGAAAAGGGAAATATCTTCCCATAAAAACTAGACAGAAGCAATCTCAGAATCTTCTTTGGGATATATGCACGCAGCTAACAGAGCTGAACCTTTCTATTGACAGAACAGTTTTGAAAGAGTCTTTCTGTGGAATCTGCAAGTGGATATTTGGATAGCTTGGAGGATTTCGTTGGAAACGGGATTACGTATAATAAGTAGACAGCAGCATCCTCAGAAACTTCTTTGTGATGTGTGCATTCAAGTCACAGAGTTGAACATTCCCTTTCGTACAGCAGTTTTGAAACACTCTTTCTGTAGTATCTGGAAGTGAACATTAGTACAGCTTTCAGGACTATGGTGAGAAAGGAAATATCTTCAAATAAAAACTTGAGAGAAGCATTCTAATAAACTTGTTTGTGATGTGTGAACTCAGCTAACAGAGGTGGATCTTTCTTTTGATAGAGCAGTTCTGAAAAACACTTTTTGTTGAATCTGCAAGTGGACATTTGGATAGATTTGAAGATTTCGTTGGAAACGGGAATATCTTCATATCAAATCTAGACAGAAGCATTCTCAGAAACGTCTTTGTGATGTTTGCATTCAACCCATAGAGTTGAACATTCTGTTTCAGAGAGCAGCTTTGAAGCGCTCTTTTTGTAGTATGTGCAAGTGGATATTTTGAGCGCTCTGAGGCCTAAGGTGAAAAAGCAAATATCTTCCCATAACCACTAGACAGAAACATTCTCAGAAACTTCTTTATGACGTATGTACTCAACTAGCAGAGAAGAACCTTCCTTTTGAGAGAGCAGTTTTGATACACTCTTTTTGTAGAATCTGCAAGTGGATATTTGGATAGCTGTGAAGATTTCGTTGGAAACGGGAATATCTTCCTATAAAATCTAGACAGAAGCATTCTCAGAAACTGCTCTGTGATGTCTGCATTCAAGTCACAGAGTTGAACATTGCCTTTCATAGAGCAGGTTTGAAACGCTCTTTTCGTAGTATATGGAAGTGGACGTTTCGGACGGTTTGAGGCCCATGGTGATAAAGCGAATATCTTCCCCTACCAGCTAGAAGGAAGCATTCTGTGAAACTTGTTTGTGATGTGTGTACTCAACTAACAGAGTTGAACCTTTCTTTTTACAGAGCAGTTTTGAAACACTCTTTTTGTAGAATCTGCGAGGGGATATTTGGATAGATTTCAGGATTTCGTCGGAAACGGGAATATCTTCATATAAAATCTCGACAGAAGCATCCTCAGAAACTACTTTGTGATGTGTGCATTCAAGTCACAGAGTTGAACATTCCCTTTCGTACAGCAGTTTTGAAACACTCTTTTTGTAGTATCTGGAAGTGGACATTTGGAGCGCCTTGACACCTACGGTGAAAAGGGAAATATCTTCCCATAAAAACTAGACAGAAGCAATCTCAGAATCTTTTTTGGGATATATGCACGCAGTTAACAGAGTTGAACCTTTCTATTGACAGAGCAGTTTTGAAACAGTCTTTCTGTGGAATCTGCAAGTGGATATTTGGATAGCTTGGAGGATTTCGTTGGAAACGGGATTACGTATAAAAAGTAGACAGCAGCATCCTCAGAAACTTCTTTGTGATGTGTACATTCAAGTCACAGAGTTGAACATTCCCTTTCGTACAGCAGTTTTGAAACACTCTTTCTGTAGTATCTGGAAGTGAACATTAGGACAGCTTTCAGGTCTATGGTGAGAAAGGAAATATCTTCAAATAAAAACTAGACAGAAGCATTCTCATAAACTTGTTTGTGATGTGTGAACTAAGCTAACAGAGGTGGATCTTTCTTTTGATAGAGCAGTTCTGAAAAACACTTTTTGTTGAATCTGCAAGTGGATATTTGGATAGATTTGAAGATTTCGTTGGAAACGGGAATATCTTCATATCAAATCTAGACAGAAGCATTCTCAGAAACGTCTTTGTGATGTTTGCATTCAACTCATAGAGTTGAACATTCCCTTTCAGAGAGCAGCTTTGAAGCACTCTTTTTGTAGCATGTGCAAGTGGACATTTGGAGCGCCCAGAGGCCTACGGGGAAAAAGCAAATATCTTCCCATAACCACTAGACAGAAGCATTCTCAGAAACTCCTTTATGACGTATGCACTCACCTAACAGAAAAGAACCTTCCTTTTGACAGAGCAGTTTTGATACACTCTTTTCGTAGAATCTGCAAGTGGATATTTGGATAGCTGTGAAGATTTCGTTGGAAACGGGAATATCTTCCTATAAAATCTAGACAGAAGCATTCTCAGAAACTGCTCTGTGATGTCTGCATTCAAGTCACAGAGTTGAACATTGCCTTTCATAGAGCAGGTTTGAAACGCTCTTTTTGTAGTATATGGAAGTGGACTTATCGGACGATTTGAGGCCCATGGTGATAAAGGGAATATCTTCCCCTACAAGCTAGAAAGAAGCATTCTGTGAAACTTGTTTGTGATGTGTGTACTCAACTAACAGAGTTGAACCTTTCATTTTACAGAGCAGTTTTGAAACACTCTTTTTGTAGAATCTGTGAGGGGATATTTGGATAGATTTCAGGATTTCGTTGGAAACGGGAATATCTTCATATAAAATCTCGACAGAAGCATTCTCAGCAAACTTCTTTGTGATATGTGCATTCAAGTCACAGAGTTGAATATTCCCTTTCACAGAGCAGGTTTGAAACACTCTTTTTGTACTATCTGGAAGTGGACATTTGGAGCGCCTTGACGCCTACGGTGAAAAGGGAAATATCTTCCCATAAAAACTAGACAGAAGCAATCACAGAATCTTCTTTGGGATATATGCACGCAGCTAACAGAGTTGAACCTTTCTATTGACAGAGCAGTTTTGAAACAGTCTTTCTGTGGAATCTGCAAGTGGATATTTGGATAGCTTGGAGGATTTCGTTGGAAACGGGATTACGTATAAAAAGTAGACAGCAGCATCCTCAGAAACTTCTTTGTGATGTGTGCATTCAAGTCACAGAGTTGAACATTCCCTTTCGTACAGCAGTTTTGAAACACTCTTTCTGTAGTATCTGGAAGTGAACATTAGGTCAGCTTTCATGTCTATGGTGAGAAAGGCAATATCTTCAAATAAAAACTAGACAGAAGCATTCTCATAAACTTGTTCGTGATGTGTGAACTCAGCTAACACACGTGGATCTTTCTTTTGATAGAGCAGTGCTGAAAAACAGTTTTTGTTGAATCTGCAAGAGGACATTTGGATGGATTTGAAGATTTCGTTGGAAACGGGAATATCTTCATATCAAATCTAGACAGAAGCATTCTCAGAAACGTCTTTGCGATGTTTGCATTCAACTCATAGAGTTGAACATTCCGTTTCAGAGAGCAGCTTTGAGGCACTCTTTTTGTAGTATGTGCAAGTGGATATTTGGAGCGCTCTGAGGCCTACGGTGGAAAAAGCAAATATCTTCCCATAACCACTAGACAGAAACATTCTCAGAAACTCCTTTATGACGTATGCACTCACCTAACAGAGAAGAACCTTCCTTTTGACAGAGCAGTTTTGATACAATCTTTTTGTAGAATCTGCAAGTGGATATTTGGATAGCTGTGAAGATTTCGTTGGAAACGGGAATATCTTCCTATAAAATCTATACAGAAGCATTCTCAGAAACTGCTCTGTGATGTCTGCATTCAAGTCACAGAGTTGAACATTGCGTTTCATAGAGCAGGTTTGAAACGCTCTTTTTGTAGTATATGGAAGTGGACTTTTCGGACGGTTTGAGGCCCATGGTGATAAAGGGAATATCTTCCCCTACAAGCTAGAAAGAAGCATTCTGTGAAACTTGTTTGTGATGTGTGTACACAACTAACAGAGTTGAACCTTTCTTTTTACAGAGCAGTTTTGAAACACTCTTTTTGTAGAATCTGCGAGGGGATATTTGGATAGATTTCAGGATTTCGTTGGAAACGGGAGTATCTTCATATAAAATCTCGACAGAAGCATTCTCAGAAACTTCTTTGTGATATCTGCCTTCAAGTCACAGAGTTGAATATTCCCTTTCACAGAGTAGGTTTGAAACACTCTTTTTGTAGTATCTGAGAGTGGACATTTGGAGCGCCTTGACGCCTACGGTGAAAAGGGAAATATCTTCCCATAAAAACTAGACAGAAGCAATCTCAGAATCTTCTTTGGGATATATGCACGCAGCTAACAGAGTTGAACCTTTCTATTGACAGAGCAGTTTTGAAACAGTCTTTCTGTGGAATCTGCAAGTGGATATTTGGATAGCTTGGAGGATTTCGTTGGAAACGGGATTACGTATAACAAGTAGACAGCAGCGTCCTCAGGAACTTCTTTGTGATGTGTGCATTCAAGTCACAGAGTTGAACATTCCCTTCCATACAGCAGTTTTGAAACACTCTTTCTGTAGTATCTGGAAGTGAACATTAGGACAGCTTTCAGGTCTATGGTGAGAAAGGAAATATCTTCAAATAAAAACTAGACAGAAGCATTCTAATAAACTTGTTTGTGATGTGTGAACTCAGCTAACAGAGGTGGATCTTTCTTTTGATAGAGCAGTTCTGAAAAACACTTTTTGTTGAATCTGCAAGTGGACATTTGGATAGATTTGAAGATTTCGTTGGAAACGGGAATATCGTCATATCAAATCTAGACAGAAGCATTCTCTGAAACGTCTTTGTGATGTTTGCATTCAACTCATAGAGTTGAACATTTCGTTTCAGAGAGCAGCTTTGAGGCACTCTTTTTGTAGTATGTGCAAGTGGATATTTGGAGCGCTCTGAGGCCTACGGTGAAAAAGCAAATATCTTCCCATAACCACTAGACAGAAAACATTCTCAGTAAACTCCTTTATGACGTATGCACTCACCTAACAGAAAAGAACCTTCCTTTTGACAGAGCAGTTTTGATACACTCTTTTTGTAGAATCTGCAAGTGGATATTTGGATAGCTGTGAAGATTTCGTTGGAAACGGGAATATCTTCCTATAAAATCTAGACAGAAGCATTCTCAGAAACTGCTCTGTGATGTCTGCATTCAAGTCACAGAGTTGAACATTGCCTTTCATAGAGCAGGTTTGAAACGCTCTTTTTGTAGTATATGGAAGTGGACGTTTCGGACGGTTTGAGGCCCATGGTGTTAAAGGGAATATCTTCCCCTACAAGGTAGAAAGAAGCATTCTGTGAAACTTGTTTGTGATGTTTGTACTCAACTAACAGAGTTGAACCTTTCTTTTTGCAGAGCAGTTTTGAAACACTCTTTTTGTAGAATCTGCGAGGGGATATTTGGATAGATTTCAGGATTTCGTTGGAAACGGGAATATCTTCATATAAAATCTCGACAGAAGCATTCTCAGAAACTTCATTGTGATATCTGCATTCAAGTCACAGAGTTGAATATTCCCTTTCACAGAGTAGGTTTGAAACAGTCTTTTTGTAGTATCTGGAAGTGGATATTTGGAGCGCCTTGACACCTACGGTGAAAAGGGAAATATCTTCCCATAAAAACTAGACAGAAGCAATCTCAGAATCTTCTTTGGGATATATGCACGCAGCTAACAGAGTTGAACCTTTCTATTGACAGAGCAGTTTTGAAACAGTCCTTCTGTGGAATCTGCAAGTGGATATTTGGATAGCTTGGAGGATTTCGTTGGAAACGGGATTACGTATAAAAAGTAGACAGCAGCATCCTCAGAAACTTCTTTGTGATGTGTGCATTCAAGTCACAGAGTTGAACCTTCCCTTTCGTACAGCAGTTTTGAAACACTCTTTCTGTAGTATCTGGAAGTGAACATTAGGACAGCTTTCAGGTCTATGGTGAGAAAGGAAATATCTTCAAATAAAAACTAGACAGAAGCATTCTCATAAACTTGTTTGTGATGTGTGAACTCAGCTAGCAGAGGTGGATCTTTCTTTTGATAGAGCAGTTCGGAAAAACACTTTTTGTTGAATCTCCAAGTGGACATTTGGATTGATTTGAAGATTTCGTTGGAAACGGGAATATCTTTATATCAAATCTAGACAGAAACATTGTCAGAAACTCCTTTATGACGTATGCACTCACCTAACAGCAGAAGAACCTTCCTTTTGACAGAGCAGTTTTGATACACTCTTTTTGTAGAATCTGCAAGTGGATATTTGGATAGCTGCGAAGATTTCGTTGGAAACGGGAATATCTTCCTATAAAATCTAGACAGAAGCATTCTCAGAAACTGCTCTGTGATGTCTGCATTCAAGTCACAGAGTTGAACATTGCCTTTCATAGAGCAGGTTTGAAACGCTCTTTTTGTAGTATATGGAAGTGGACGTTTCAGACGGTTTGAGGCCCATGGTGATAAAGGGAATATCTTCCCCTACAAGCTAGAAAGAAGCATTCTGTGAAACTTGTTTGTGATGTGTGTACTCAACTAACAGAGTTGAACCTTTCTTTTTACAGAGCAGTTTTGAAACACTCTTTTTGTAGAATCTGCGAGGGGATATTTGGGATAGATTTCAGGATTTCGTTGGAAAGGGGAATATCTTCATATAAAATCTCGACAGAAGCATTCTCAGAAACTTCTTTGTGATATGTGCATTCAAGTCACAGAGTTGAATATTCCCTTTCACAGAGTAGGTTTGAAACACTGTTTTTGTAGTATCTGGAAGTGGACATTTGGAGCGCCTTGACGCCTACGGTGAAAAGGGAAATATCTTCCCATAAAAACTAGACAGAAGCAATCTCAGAATCTTCTTTGGGATATATGCACGCAGCTAATAGAGTTGAACTTTTCTATTGACAGAGCAGATTTGAAACAGTCTTTCTGTGGAATCTGCAAGTGGATATTTGGATAGCCTGGAGGATTACGTTGGAAACGGGATTACGTATAAAAAGTAAACAGCAGCATCCTCAGAAACATCCTTGTGATGTGTGCATTCAAGTCACAGAGATGAACATTCCCTTTCTTACAGCAGTTTTGAAACACTCTTTCTGTAGTATCTGGAAGTGAACTTTAGGAGAGCTTTCAGGTCTATAGTGAGAAAGGATATATCTTCAAATAAAAACTAGACAGAAGCATTCTGATAAACTTGTTTGTGAAGTGTGAACTCAGCTAACAGAGGTGGATCTTTCTTTTGATAGAGCAGTTCTGAAAAACACTTTTTGTTGAATCTGCAAGTGGACATTTTGATAGATTTGAAGATTTCGTTGGAAACGGGAATATCTTCATATCAAATCTAGACAGAAGCATTCTCGGAAACGTCTTTGTGATGTTTGCATTCAACTCACAAAGTTGAACATTCCGTTTCAGAGAGCAGCTTTGAGGCACTCTTTTTGTAGTATGTGCAAGTGGATATTTGGAGCGCTCTGAGGCCTTCTGTGAAAAAGCAAATATCTTCCCATAACCACTAGACAGAAACATTCTCAGAAACTCCTTTATGACGTATGTACTCAACTAGCAGAGAAGAACTTTCCTTTTGACAGAGCATTTTTGATACATTCTTTTTGTAGTATCTGCAAGTGGATATTTGGATAGCTGTGAAGATTTCGTTGGAAACGGGAATATCTTCCTATAAAGTCTGGACAGAAGCATTCTCAGAAACTGCTACTGTGATGTCTGCATTCAAGTCACAGAGTTGAACATTGCCTTTCATAGAGCAGGTTTCAAACACTCTTTTTTTAGTATATGGAAGTGGACGTTTCGGATGGTTTGAGGCCCATGGTGATAAAGGAAATATCTTCCCCTACAAGCTAGAAAGAAGCATTGTGTGAAACTTGTTTGTGATATGTGTACTCAACTAACAGAGTTGAACCTTTCTTTTTACAGAGCAGTTTTGAAACACTCTTTTTGTAGAATCTGCGAGGGGATATTTGGATAGATTTCAGGATTTCGTTGGAAACGGGAATATCTTCATATAAAATCTCGATAGAAGCATCCTCAGAAACTTCTTTGTGTTGTGTGCATTCAAGTCACAGAGTTGAATATTCCCTTTCACAGAGTTGGTTTGAAACACTCTTTTTGTAGTATCTGGAAGTGGACATTTGGAGCGCCTTGACACCTACGGTGAAAAGGGAAATATCTTCCCATAAAAACTAGACAGAAGCAATCTCAGAATCTTCTTTGGGATATATGTACGCAGCTAATAGAGTTGAACCTTTCTATTGACAGAGCAGTTTTGAAACAGTCTTTCTGTGGAATCTGCAAGTGGATATTTGGATAGCTTGGAGGATTTCGTTGGAAACGGGAATACGTATAAAAAGTAGACAGCAGCATCCTCAGAAAACTTCTTTCTGATGTGTGCATTCAAGTCACAGAGTTGAACATTCCCTTTCGTACAGCAGTTTTGAAACACTCTTTCTGTAGTATCTGGAAGTGAACATTAGGACAGCTTTCAGGTCTATGGTGAGAAAGGAAATATCTTCAAATAAAAACTAGACAGAAGCATTCTGATAAACTTGTTTGTGAAGTGTGAACTCAGCTAACAGAGGTGGATCTTTCTTTTGATAGAGCAGTTCTGATAAACACTTTTTGTTGAATCTGCAAGTGGACATTTGGATAGATTTGAAGATTTCGTTGGAAACGGGAATATCTTCATATCAAATCTAGACAGATAAGCATTCTCGGAAACGTCTTTGTCATGTTTGCATTCAACTCATAGAGTTGAACATTCCGTTTCAGAGAGCAGCTTTGAAGCACTCTTTTTGTAGTATGTGCAAGGGGATATTTGGAGTGCTCTGAGGCCTAAGGTGAAAAAGCAAATATCTTCCCATAACCACTAGACAGAAACATTCTCAGAAACTCCTTTATGACGTATGCACTCACCTAACAGAGAAGAACCTTCCTTTTGACAGAGCAGTTTTGATACACTCTTTTTGTAGAATCTGCAAGTGGATATTTGGATACCTGTGAAGATTTCGATGGAAACGGGAATAACTTCCTATAAAATCTAGACAGAAGCATTCTCAGAAACTGCTCTGTGATGTCTGCATTCAAGTCACAGAGTTGAACATTGCCTTTCCTAGAGCAGGTTTGAAACGCTCTTTTTGTAGTATATGTAAGTGGACGTTTCGGACGGTTTGAGGCCCATGGTGATAAAGGGAATATCTTCCCCTACAAGCTAGAAAGAAAGCATTCTGTGAAACTTGTTTGTGATGTGTGTACTCAACTAACAGAGTTGAACCTTTCTTTTTACAGAGCAGTTTTGAAACACTCTTTTTGTAGAATCTGCGAGGGGATATTTGGATAGATTTCAGGATTTCGTTGGAAAGGGGAATATCTTCATATAAAATCTCGACAGAAGCATTCTCAGAAACTTCTTTGTGATATCTGCATTCAAGTCACAGTGTTCAATATTCCCTTTCACAGAGTAGGTTTGAAACACTCTTTTTGTAGTATCTGGAAGTGGACATTTGGACCGCCTTGACACCTACGGTGAAAAGGGAAATATCTTCCCATAAAAACTAGACAGAAGCAATCTCAGAATCTTCTTTGGGATATATGCACGCAGCTAACAGAGTTGAACCTTTCTATTGACAGAGCAGTTTTGAAACAGTCTTTCTGTGGAATCTGCAAGTGGATATTTGGATAGCTTGGAGGATTTCTTTGGAAACGGGATTAAGTATAAAAAGTAGACAGCAGCATCCTCAGAAACTTCTTTGTGATGTGTGCATTCAAGTCACAGAGTTGAACATTCCCTTTCATACAGCAGTTTTGAAACACTCTTTCTGTAGTGTCTGGAAGTGAACATTAGGAGAGCTTTCAGGTCTATGGTGAGAAAGGAAATATCTTCAAATAAAAACTAGACAGAAGCATTCTCATAAACTTGTTTGTGATGTCTGAACTCAGCTAACAGAGGTGGATCATTCTTTTGATAGAGCAGTTCTGAAAAACACTTTTTGTTGAATCTGCAAGTGGACATTTGGATAGATTTGAAGATTTCGTTGGAAACGGGAATATCTTCATATCAAATCTAGACAGAAGCATTCTCAGAAACGTCTTTGTGATGTTTGCATTCAACTCATAGAGTTGAACATTCCGTTTCAGAGAGCAGCTTTGAGGCACTCTTTTTCTAGTATGTGCAAGTGGATATTTGGAGCGCTCTGAGGCCTACGGTGAAAAAGCAAATATCTTCCCATAACCACTAGACAGAAACATTCTCAGAAACTCCTTTATGACGTATGCACTCACCTAACAGAAAAGAACCTTCCTTTTGACAGAGCAGTTTTGATACACTCTTTTTGTTGAATCTGCAAGTGGATATTTGGATAGCTGTGAAGATTTCGTTGGAAACGGGAATATCTTCCTATAAAATCTAGACAGAAGCATTCTCAGAAACTGCTCTGTGATGTCTGCATTCAAGTCACAGAGTTGAACATTGCCTTTCATAGAGCAGGTTTGAAACGCTCTTTTTGTAGTATATGGAAGTGGACTTATCGGACGGTTTGAGGCCCATGGTGATAAAGGGAATATCTTTCCCTACAAGCTAGAAAGAAGCATTCTGTGAAACTTGTTTGTGATGTGTGTACTCAACTAACAGAGTTGAACCTTTCTTTTTACAGAGCAGTTTTGAAACACTCTTTTTGTAGAATCTGTGAGGGGATATTTGGATAGATTTCAGGATTTCGTTGGAAACGGGAATATCTTAATATAAAATCTCGACAGAAGCATTCTCAGAAACTTCTTTGTGATATGTGCATTCAAGTCACAGAGTTGAATATTCCCTTTCACAGAGTAGGTTTGAAACACTCTTTTTGTAGTATCTGGAAGTGGACATTTGGAGCGCCTTGACGCCTACCGTGAAAAGGGAAATATCTTCCCATAAAAACTAGACAGAAGCAACCTCAGAATCTTCTTTGGGATATATGCACGCAGCTAACAGAGTTGAACCTTTCTATTGACAGAGCAGTTTTGAAAGAGTCTTTCTGTGGAATCTGCAAGTGGATATTTGGATAGCTTGGAGGATTTCGTTGGAAACGGGATTACGTATAATAAGTAGACAGCAGCATCCTCAGAACCTCCTTTTGATGTGTGCATTCAAGTCACAGAGTTGAACATTCCCTTTTGTACAGCAGTATTGAAACACTCTTTCTGTAGTATCTGGAAGTGAACATTAGGACAGCTTTCAGGTCTATGGTGAGAAAGGAAATATCTTCAAATAAAAACTAGACAGAAGCATTCTCATAAACTTGTTTGTGATGTGTGAACTCAGCTAACAGAGGTGGATCGTTCTTTTGATAGAGCAGTTCTGAAAAACACATTTTGTTGAATCTGCAAGTGGACATTTGGATAGATTTGAAGATTTCGTTGGAAACGGGAATATCTTCATATCAAATCTAGACAGAAGCATTCTTGGAAACGTCTTTGTGATGTTTGCATTCAACTCATAGAGTTGAACATTCCGTTTCAGAGAGCAGCTTTGAAGCACTCTTTTTGTAGTATGTGCAAGTGGATATTTGGAGCGCTCTGAGGCCTACGGTGAAAAAGCAAATATCTTCCCATAACCACTAGACAGAAACATTCTCAGAAACTCCTTTATGACGTATGCACTCACCTAACAGAGAAGAACCTTCCTTTTGACAGAGCAGTTTTGATACACTCTTTTTGTAGAATCTGCAAGTGGATATTCGATAGCTGTGAAGTTTTCGTTGGAAACGGGAATATCTTCCTATAAAATCTAGACAGAAGCATTCTCAGAAACTGCTCTGTGATGTCTGCATTCAAGTCACAGAGTTGAACATTGCCTTTCATAGAGCAGGTTTGAAACGCTCTTTTTGTAGTATATGGAAGTGGACGTTTCGGACGGTTTGAGGCCCATGGTGATAAAGGGAATATCTTCACCTACAAGCTAGAAAGAAGCATTGTGTGAAACTTATTTGTGATGTGTGTACTCAACTAACAGAGTTGAACCTTTCTTTTTACAGAGCAGTTTTGAAACACTCTTTTTGTAGAATCTGCGAGGGGATATTTGGATACATTTCAGCATTTCGTTGGAAACGGGAATATCTTCATATAAAATCTCGACAGAAGCATTCTCAGAAACTTCTTTGTGATATCTGCATTCAAGTCACAGAGTTGAATATTCCCTTTCACAGAGTAGGTTTGAAACACTCTTTTTGTAGTATCTGGAAGTGGACATTTGGAGCACCTTGACACCTACGGTGAAAAGGGAAATATCTTCCAATAAAAACTAGACAGAAGCAATCTCAGAATCTTCTTTGGGATATATGCACGCAGCTAACAGAGTTGAACCTTTCTATTGACAGAGCAGTTTTGAAACAGTCTTTCTGTGGAATCTGCAAGTGGATATTTGGATAGCTTGGAGGATTTCGTTTGAAACGGGATTACGTATAAAAAGTAGACAGCAGCCTCCTCTGAAACTTCTTTGTGATGTGTGCATTCAAGTCACAGAGTTGAACATTCCCTTTCGTACAGCAGTTTTGAAACACTCTTTCTGTAGTATCTGGAAGTGAACATTAGGACAGCTTTCAGGTCTATGGTGAGAAAGGCAATATCTTCAAATAAAAACTAGACAGAAGCATTCTCATAAACTTGTTTGTGATGTGTGAACTCAGCTAACAGAGGTGGATCTTTCTTTTGATAGAGCAGTTCTGAAAAACACTTTTTGTTGAATCTGCAAGTGGACATTTGTATAGATTTGAAGATTTCGTTGGAAACGGGAATATCTTCATATCAAATCTAGACAGAAGCATTCTCAGAAACGTCTTTGTGATGTTTGCATTCAACTCATAGAGTTGAACATTCCGTTTCAGAGAGCAGCATTGAAGCACTCTTTTTGTAGTATGTGCAAGTGGATATTTGGAGCGCTCTGAGGCCTACGGTGAGAAAGCAAATATCTCCCCATAACCACTAGACAGAAACATTCTCAGAAACTTCTTTATGACGTATGTACTCAACTAGCAGAGAAGAACTTTCCTTTTGACAGAGAACTTTTGATACACTCTTTTTGTAGTATCTGCAAGTGGATATTTGGATAGCTGTGAAGATTTCGTTGGAATCGGGAATATCTTCCTATAAAGTCTGGACAGAAGCATTCTCAGAAACTGCTCTGTGATGTCTGCATTCAAGTCACAGAGTTGAACATTGCCTTTCATAGAGCAGGTTTGAAATGCTCTTTTTGTAGTATATGGAAGTGGACTTTTCGGACGGTTGGAGGCCCATGGTGATAAAGGGAATATCTTCCCCTACAAGCTAGAAAGAAGCATTCTGTGAAACTTGTTTGTGATGTGTGTACTCAACTAACAGAGTTGAACCTTTCTTTTTACAGAGCAGTTTTGAAACACTCTTTTTGTAGAATCTGCGAGGGGAAATTTGGATAGATTTCAGGATTTCATTGGAAACGGGAATATCTTCATACAAAATCTCGACAGAAGCATTCTCAGAAACTTCTTTGTGATATCTGCATTCAAGTCACAGAGTTGAATATTCCCTTTCACAGAGTAGGTTTGAAACACTCTTTTTGTAGCATCTGGAAGTGGACATTTGGAGCGCATTGACGCCTACGGTGAAAAGGGAAATATCTTCCCATAAAAACTAGACAGAAGCAATCTCAGAATCTTCTTTGGGATATATGCACGCAGCTAACAGAGTTGTACCTTTCTATTGACAGAGCAGTTTTGAAACAGTCTTTCTGTGGAATCTGCAAGTGGATATTTGGATAGCTTGGAGGATTTCGTTGGAAACGGGATTACGCATAAAAAGTAGACAGCAGCATCCTCAGAAACTTCTTTGTGATGTGTGCATTCAAGTCACAGAGTTCAACATTCCCTTTCGTACAGCAGTTTTGAAACACTCTTTCTGTAGTAACTGGAAGTGAACATTAGGACAGCTTTCAGGTCTATGGTGAGAAAGGAAATATCTTCTAATAAAAACTAGACAGAAGCATTCTCATAAACTTGTTTGTGATGTCTGAACTCAGCTAACAGAGGTGGATCTTTCTTTTGATAGAGCAGTTCTGAAAAACACTTTTTGTTGAATCTGCAAGTGGACATTTGGATAGATTTGAAGATTTCGTTGTAAACGGGAATATCTTCATATCAAATCTAGACAGAAGCATTCTCAGAAACGTCTTTGCGATGTTTGCATTCAACTCATAGAGTTGAACATTCCCTTTCAGAGACCAGCTTTGAAGCACTCTTTTTGTAGTATGTGCAAGTGGATATTTGGAGCGCTCTGAGGCCTACGGTGAAAAAGCAAATATCTTCCCATAACCACTACACAGAAACATTCTCAGAAACTCCTTTATGACGTATGCACTCACCTAACACAGTAAGAACCTTCCTTTTGACAGAGCATTTTTGATACACTCTTTTTGTAGCATCTGCAAGTGGATATTTGGATATCTGTGAAGATTTCGTTGGAAACGGGAATATCTTCCTATAAAATCTAGACAGAAGCATTCTCAGAAACTGCTCTGTGATGTCTGCATTCAACTCACAGAGTTGAACATTGCCTTTCATAGAGCAGGTTTGAAACGCTCTTTTTGTAGTATATGGAAGTGGATGTTTCGGACGGTTGGAGGCCCATGGTGATAAAGGGAATATCTTCCCCTACAAGCTAGAAAGAAGCATTCTGTGAAACTTGTTTGTGATGTGTGTACTCAACTAACAGAGTTGAACCTTTCTTTTTACAGAGCAGTTTTGAAACACTCTTTTTGTAGAATCTGCGAGGGGATATTTGGATAGATTTCAGGATTTCGTTGGAAACGGGAATATCTTCATATAAAATCTGGACAGAAGCATTCTCAGAAACTTCTTTGTGATATCTGCATTCAAGTCACAGAGTTGAATATTCCCTTTCACAGAGTAGGTTTGAAACACTCTTTTTGTAGTATCTGGAAGTGGACATTTGGAGCGCCTTGACGCCTACGGTGAAAAGGGAAATATCCTCTCATAAAAAGTAGACAGAAAGCAATCTCAGAATCTTCTTTGGGATATATGTACGCAGCTAATAGAGTTGAACCTTTCTATTGACAGAGCAGTTTTGAAACAGTCTTTCTGTGGAATCTGCAAGTGGATATTTGGATAGCTTGGAGGATTTCGTTGGAAACGGGATTACGTATAAAAAGTAGACAGCAGCATCCTCAGAAACTTCTTTGTGATGTGTGCATTCAAGTCACAGAGTTGAACATTCCCTTTCGTACAGCAGTTTTGAATCACTCTTTCTGTAGTATCTGGAAGTGAACATTAGGACAGCTTTCAGGTCTATGGTGAGAAAGGAAATATCTTCAAATAAAAACTAGACAGAAGCATTCTCATAAACTTGTTTGTGATGTGTGAACTCATCTAACAGAGGTGGATCTTTCTTTTGATAGAGCAGTTCTGAAAAACACTTTTTGTTGAATCTGCAAGTGGACATTTGGAAAGATTTGAAGATTTCGTTGGAAACGGGAATATCTTCATATCAAATCTAGACAGAAGCATTCTCAGAAACGTCTTTGTGATGTTAGCATTCAACTCATAGAGTTGAACATTCCCTTTCAGAGAGCAGCTTTGAAGCACTCTTTTTGTAGTATGTGCAAGTGGACATTTGGAGCGCTTTGAGGCCTACGGGGAAAAAGCAAATATCTTCCCATAACCACTAGACAGAAACATTCTCAGAAACTTCTTTATGACGTATGTACTCAAGTAGCAGAGAAGAACTTTCCTTTTGACAGAGCACTTTGGATACACACTTTTTATAGTATCTGCAAGTGGATATTTGGATAGCTGTGAAGATTTCGTTGGAAACGGGAATATCTTCCTATAAAGTCTGGACAGAAGCATTCTCAGAAACTGCTCTGTGATGTCTGCATTCAAGTCACAGAGTTGAACATTGCCTTTCATAGAGCAGGTTTGAAACGCTTTTTTGTAGTATATGGAAGTGGACGTTTCGAACGGTTTGAGGCCCATGGTGATAAAGGGAATATCTTCCCCTACAAGCTAGAAAGAAGCATTCTGTGAAACTTGTTTGTGATGTGTGTACTCAACTAACAGAGTTGAACCTTTCGTTTTACAGAGCAGTTTTGAACCACTCTTTTTGTAGAATCTGCGAGTGGATATTTGGATAGATTTCAGGATTTCGTTGGAAACGGGAATATCTTCATATAAAATCTCGACAGAAGCATTCTCAGAAACTTCTTTGTGATATGTGCATTCAAGTCACAGAGTTGAATATTCCCTTTCACAGAGTAGATTTGAAACACTCTTTTTGTAGTATCTGGAAGTGGACATTTGGAGCGCCTTGACGCCTACGGTGAAAAGGGAAATATCTTCCCATAAAAACTAGACAGAAGCAATCTCAGAATCTTCTTTGGGATATATGCACGCAGCTAACAGAGTTGAACCTTTCTATTGACAGAGCAGTTTTGAAACAGTCTTTCTGTGGAATCTGCAAGTGGATATTTGGATATCTTGGAGGATTTCGTTGGAAACGGGATTACGTATAAAAAGTAGACAGCAGCATCCTCAGAAACTTCTTTGTGATGTGTGCATTCAAGTCACAGAGTTGAACATTCCCTTTCGTACAGCAGTTTTGAAACACTCTTTCTGTAGCATATGGAAGTGAACATTAGAACAGCTTTCAGGTCTATGGTGAGAAAGGAAATATCTTCAAATAAAAACTAGACAGAAGCATTCTGTGAAACTTGTTTGAGATGTGTGTACTCAACTAACAGTGTTGAACCTTTCTTTTTACAGAGCAGTTTTGAAACACTCTTTTGGTAGAATCTGCGAGGGGATATTTGGATAGATTTCAGGATTTCGTTGGAAACGGGAATATCTTCATATAAAATCTCGACAGAAGCATTCTCAGAAACGTCTTTGTGATGTTAGCATTCAACTCATAGAGTTGAACATTCCCTTTCAGAGAGCAGCTTTGAAGCACTCTTTTTGTAGTATGTGCAAGTGGATATTTGGAGCGCTCTGAGGCCTAAGGTGAAAAAGCAAATATCTTCCCGTAACCACTAGACAGAAACATTCTCAGAAACTCCTTTATGACGTATGCACTCACCTAACAGAGAAGAACTTACCTTTTGACAGAGCAGTTTTGATACACTCTTTTTGTAGAATCTTCAAGTGGATATTTGGATAGCTGTGAAGATTTCGTTGGAAACGGGAATATCTTCCTATAAAATCTAGACAGAAGCATTCTCAGAAACTGCTCTGTGATGTCTGCATTCAAGTCACAGAGTTGAACATTGCCTTTCCTAGAACAGGTTTGAAACGCTCTTTTTGTAGTATATGGAAGTGGACGTTTCGGACGGTTTGAGGCCCATGGTGATAAAGGGAATATCTTGCCCTACAAGCTAGAAAGAAGCATTCTGTGAAACTTGTTTGTGATGTGTGTACTCAACTAACAGAGTTGAACCTTTCTTTTTACAGAGCAGTTTTGAACCACTCTTTTTGTAGAATCTGCGAGGGAATATTTGGATAGAATTCAGGATTTCGTTGGAAACGGGAATATCTTCATATAAAATCTCGACAGAAGCATTCTCAAAAACTTCTTTGTGATATGTGCATTCAAGTCACAGAGTTGAATATTCCCTTTCACAGAGTAGGTTTGAAACACTCTTTTTGTAGTATCTGGAAGTGGACATTTGGAGCGCCTTGACACCTACGGTGAAAAGGGAAATATCTTCCCATAAAAACTAGACAGAAAGCAATCTCAGAATTTTCTTTGGGATATATGCACACAGCTAACAGAGTTGAACTTTTCTATTGACATAGCAGTTTTGAAACAGTCTTTCTGTGGAATCTGCAAGTGGATATTTGGATAGCTTGGAGGATTTCGTTGGAAACGGGATTACGTATAAAAAGTAGACAGCAGCATCCTCAGAAACTTATTTGTGATGTGTGCATTCAAGTCACAGAGTTGAACATTCCATTTCATACAGCAGTTTTGAAACACTCTTTCTGTAGTATCTGGAAGTGAACATTAGGACAGCTTTCAGGTCTATGGTGAGAAAGGAAATATCTTCAAATAAAAACTAGACAGAAGCATTCTCATAAACTTGTTTGTGATGTGTGAACTCAGCTAAAAGAGGTGGATCTTTCTTTTGATAGAGCAGTTCTGAAAAACACTTTTTGTTGAATCTGCAAGTGGACATTTGGATAGATTTGAAGATTTCGTTGGAAACGGGAATATCTTCATATCAAATCTAGACAGAAGCATTCTCAGAAACGTCTTTGTGATGTTTGCATTCAACCCATAGAGTTGAACATTCCCTTTCAGAGAGCAGCTTTGAAGCACTCTTTTTGTAGTATGTGCAAGGGGATATTTGGAGCGCTCTGAGGCCTAAGGTGAAGAAGCAAATATCTTCCCATAACCACTAGACAGAAACATTCTCAGAAACTCCTTTATGACGTATGCACTCACCTAACAGAGAAGAACCTTCCTTTTGACAGAGCAGTTTTGATACACTCTTTTTGTAGAATCTGCAAGTGGATATTTGGATAGCAGTGAAGATTTCGTTGGAAACGGGAATATCTTCCTATAAAATCTAGACAGAAGCATTCTAAGAAACTGCTCTGTGATGTCTGCATTCAAGTCACAGAGTTGAACATTGCCTTTCATAGAGCAGGTTTGAAATGCTCTTTTTGTAGTATATGGAAGTGGACGTTTCAGACGGTTTGAGGCCCATGGTGATAAAGGGAATATCTTCCCCTACAAGCTAGAAAGAAGCATTCTGTGAAACTTGTTTGTGATGTGTGTACTTAACTAACAGAGTTGAACCTTTCTTTTCACAGAGCAGTTTTGAAACACTCTTTTTGTAGAATCTGCGAGCGGATATTTGGATAGATTTCAGGATTTCGTTGGAAACGGGAATATCTTCATATAAAATCTCGACAGAAGCATTCTCAGAAACTTCTTTGTGATATCTGCCTTCAAGTCACAGAGTTGAATATTCCCTTTCACAGAGTAGGTTTGAAACACTCTTTTTGTAGTATCTGGAAGTGGACATTTGCAGCGCCTTGACGCCTACGGTGAAAAGGGAAATATCTTCCCATAAAAACTAGACAGAAGCAATCTCAGAATCTTCTTAGGGATATATGCACGCAGCTAACAGAGTTGAACCTTTCTATTGACAGAGCAGTTTTGAAACAGTCTTTCTGTGGAATCTGCAAGTGGATATTTGGATAGCTTGGAGGATTTCGTTGGAAACGGGATTACGTATAAAAAGTAGACAGCCAGCATCCTCAGAAACTTCTTTGTGATGTGTGCATTCAAGTCACAGTGTTGAACATTCCCTTTCGTACAGCAGTTTTGAAACACTCTTTCTGTAGTATCTGGAAGTGAACATTAGGACAGCTTTCAGGTCTATGGTGAGAAAGGAAATATCTTCAAATAAAAACTAGACAGAGCGTTCTCATAAACTTGTTTGTGATGTGTGAACTCAGCTAACAGAGGTGGATCTTTCTTTTGATAGAGCAGTTCTGAAAAACACTTTTTGTTGAATCTGCAAGTGGACATTTGGATAGATTTGAAGATTTCGTTGGAAACGGGAATATCTTCATATCAAATCTAGACAGAAGCATTCTCAGAAACGTCTTTGTGATGTTTGCATTCAACTCATAGAGTTGAACATTCCGTTTCAGAGAGCAGCTTTGAGGCACTCTTTTTGTAGTATGTGCAAGTGGATATTTGGAGCGCTCTGAGGCCTTCGGTGAAAAAGCAAATATCTTCCCATAACCACTAGACAGAATCATTCTCAGAAACTCCTTTATGACGTATGCACTCACCTAACAGAGAAGAACCTTCCTTTTGACAGAGCAGTTTTGATACACTCTTTTTGTAGAATCTGCAAGTGGATATTTGGATAGCTGTGAAGATTTCGTTGGAAACGGGAATATCTTCCTATAAAATCTAGACAGAAGCATTCTCAGAAACTCCTCTGTGATGTCTGCATTCAAGTCACAGAGTTGAACATTGCCTTTCATAGAGTAGGTTTGAAACGCTCTTTTTGTAGTATATGGAAGTGGACGTTTCGGACGGTTTGAGGCCCATGGTGATAAAGGGAATATCTTCCCCTACAAGCTAGAAAGAAGCATTCTGTGAAACTTGTTTGTGATGTGTGTACTCAACTAACAGAGTTGAACCTTTCTTTTTACAGAGCAGTTTTGAAACACTCTTTTTGTAGAATCTGTGAGGGGATATTTGGATAGATTTCAGGATTTCGTTGGGAACGGGAATATCTTCATATAAAATCTCGACAGAAGCATTCTCAGAAGCTTCTTTGTGATATGTGCATTCAAGTCACAGACTTGAATATTCCCTTTCACAGAGTAGGTTTGAAACACTCTTTTTGTAGTATCTGGAAGTGGACATTTGGAGCACCTTGACGCCTACGGTGAAAAGGGAAATATCTTCTCATAAAAAGTAGACAGAAGCAATCTCAGAATCTTCTTTGGGATATATGCACGCAGCTAACAGAGTTGAACCTTTCTATTGACAGAGCAGTTTTGAAACAGTCTTTCTGTGGAATCTGCAAGTGGATATTCGGATAGCTTGGAGGATTTCGTTGGAAACGGGATTAAGTATAAAAAGTAGACAGCAGCATCCTCAGAAACTTCTTTGTGATGTGTGCATTCAAGTCACAGAGTTGAACATTCCCTTTCGTACAGCAGTTTTGAAACACTCTTTCTGTAGTATCTGGAGGTGAACATTAGGACAGCTTTCAGCTCTATGGTGAGAAAGGAAATATCTTCAAATAAAAACTAGACAGAAGCATTCTCATAAACTTGTTTGTGATGTGTGAACTCAGCTAACACACGTGGATCTTTCTTTTGATAGAGCAGTTCTGAAAAACACTTTTTGTTGAATCTGCAAGTGGACATTTGGATAGATTTGAAGATTTCGTTGGAAACGGGAATATCTTCATATCAAATCTAGACAAAAGCATTCTCAGAAACGTCTTTGCGATGTTTGCATTCAACTCATAGAGTTGAACATTCCGTTTCAGAGAGCAGCTTTGAAGCACTCTTTTTGTAGTATGTGCAAGTGGATATTTGGAGTGCTCTGAGGCCTACGGTGAAAAAGCAAATATCTTCCCATAACCACTAGACAGAAACATTCTCAGAAACTCCTTTCTGACGTATGCACTCAGCCAACAGAGAAGAACCTTCCTTTTGACAGAGCAGTGTTGATACACTCTTTTTGTAGAATCTGCAAGTGGATATTTGGATAGCTGTGAAGATTTCGTTGGAAACGGGAATATCTTCCTATAAAATCTAGACAGAAGCATTCTCAGAAACTGCTCTGTGATGTCTGCATTCAAGTCACAGAGTTGAACATTGCCTTTCCTACAGCAGGTTTGAAACGCTCTTTTTGTAGTATATGGAAGTGGACGTTTCGGACGGTTTGAGGCCCATGGTGATAAAGGGATTATCTTCCCCTACAAGCTAGAAAGAAGCATTCTGTGAAACTTGTTTGTGATGTGTGTACTCAAATAACAGAGTTGAACCTTTCTTTTTACAGAGCAGTTTTGAAACACTCTTTTTGTAGAATCTGCGAGGGGATATTTGGATAGATTTCAGGATTTCGTTGGAAACGGGAATATCTTCATATAAAATCTCGACAGAAGCATTCTCAGAAGCTTCTTTGTGATATGTGCATTCAAGTCACAGAGTTGAATATTCCCTTTCACAGAGTAGGTTTGAAACACTCTTTTTGTAGTAACTGGAAGTGGACATTTTGAGCACCTTGACGCCTACGGTGAAAAGGGAAATATCTTCTCATAAAAAGTAGACAGAAGCAATCTCAGAATCTTCTTTGGGATATATGCACGCAGCTGACAGAGTTGAACCTTTCTATTGACAGAGCAGTTTTGAAACAGTCTTTCTGTGGAATCTGCAAGTGGATGTTTGGATAGATTGGAGGATTTCGTTGGAAACGGGATTAGGTATAAAAAGTAGACAGCAGCATCCTCAGAAACTTCCTTGTGATGTGTGCATTCAAGTCACAGAGATGAACATTCCCTTTCGTACAGCAGTTTTGAAACACTCTTTCTGTAGTATCTGGAAGTGAACATTAGGAGAGCTTTCATGTCTATAGTGAGAAAGGATATATCTTCAAATAAAAACTAGACAGAAGCATTCTCATAAACTTGTTTGTGATGTGTGAACTCAGCTAACAGAGGTGGATCTTTCTTTTGATAGAGCAGTTCTGAAAAACACTTTTTGTTGAATCTCCAAGTGGACATTTGGATAGATTTGAAGATTTCGTTGGAAACGGGAATATCTTCATATCAAATCTAGACAGAAGCATTCTCAGAAACGTCTTTGTGATGTTTCCATTCAACTCATAGAGTTGAACATTCACTTTCAGAGAGCAGCTTTGAAGCACTCTTTTTGTAGTATGTGCAAGTGGATATTTTGATCGCTCTGTGGCCTACGGTGAAAAAGCAAATATCTTCCCATAACCACTAGACAGAAACATTCTCAGAAACTCCTTTATGACGTATGCACTCACCTAACAGAGAAGAACCTTCCTTTTGACAGAGCAGGTTTGATACACTCTTTTTGTAGAATCTGCAAGTGGATATTTGGATAGCTGTGAAGATTTCGTTGGAAACGGGAATATCTTCCTATAAAATCCTAGACAGAAGCATTCTCAGTAAACTGCTCTGTGATGTCTGCATTCAAGTCACAGAGTTGAACATTGCCTTTCATAGAGCAGGTTTGAAATGCTCTTTTTGTAGTATATGGAAGTGGATGTTTCGGACGGTTGGAGGCCCATGGTGATAAAGGGAATATCTTCCCCTACAAGCTAGAAAGAAGCATTCTGTGAAACTTGTTTGTGATGTGTGTACTCAACTAACAGAGTTGAACCTTTCTTTTTACAGAGCAGTTTTGAAACACTCTTTTTGTAGAATCTGCGAGGGGATATTTGGATAGATTTCAGGATTTCGTTGGAAACTGGAATATCTTCATATAAAATGCTCGACAGAAGCATTCTCAGAAACTTCTTTGTGATACCTGCATTCAAGTCACAGAGTTGAATATTCCCTTTCACAGAGTAGGTTTGAAACACTCTTCTTGTAGTATCTGGAAGTGGACATTTGGAGCACCTTGACGCCTATGGTGAAAAGGGAAATATCTTCCCATAAAAACTAGACAGAAGGAATCTCAGAATCTTCTTTGGGATATATGCACGCAGCTAACAGAGTTGAACCTTTCTATTGACAGAGCAGTTTTGAAACAGTCTTTCTGTGGAATCTGCAAGTGCATATTTGGATAGCTTGGAGGATTTCGTTGTAAACGGGATTACGTATAAAAATTAGACAGCAGCATCCTCAGAAACTTCTTTGTGATGTGTGCATTCAACTCACAGAGTTGAACATTCCCTTTCGTACAGCAGTTTTGAAACACTCTGTAGTATCTGGAAGTGAACATTAGGACAGCTTTCAGCTCTATGGTGAGAAACGAAATATCTTCAAATAAAAACTAGACAGAAGCATTCTGATAAACTTGTTTGTGAAGTGTGATCTCAGCTAACAGAGGTGGATCTTTCTTTTGATAGAGCAGTTCTGAAAAACACTTTGTTGAATCTGCAAGTGGACATTTGGATAGATTTGAAGATTTTGTTGGAAACGGGAATATCTTCATATCAAATCTAGACAGAAGCATTCTCAGAAACGTCTTTGCGATGTTTGCATTCAACTCATAGAGTTGAACATTCCGTTTCAGAGAGCAGCTTTGAGGCGCTCTTTTTGTAGTATGTGCAAGTGGATATTTGGAGCGCTCTGAGGCCTTCGGTGAAAAAGCAAATATCTTCCCATAACCACTAGACGGAAACATTCTCAGAAACTTCTTTATGACGTATGTACTCAACTAACAGAGAAGAACCTTCCTTTTGACAGAGCAGTTTTGATACACTCTTCTTGGAGAATCTGCAAGTAGATATTTGGATATCTGTGAAGAATTCGTTGGAAAAGGGAATATCTTTCTATAAAATCTAAACAAAAGCATTCTCAGAAACTGCTCTGTGATGTCTGCATTCAAGTCACAGAGTTGAACATTGCCTTTCATAGAGCAGGTTTGAAACGCTCTTTTTGTACTATATGGAAGTGGATGTTTCGGACGGTTTGAGGCCCATGGTGATAAAGGGAATATCTTCCCCTACAAGCTAGAAAGAAGCATTCTGTGAAACTTGTTTGTGATGTGTGTACTCAACTAACAGAGTTGAACCTTTCTTTTTACAGAGCAGTTTTGAAACACTCTTTTTGTAGAATCTGCGAGGGGATATTTGGATAGATTTCAGGATTTCGTTGGAAACGGGAATATCTTCCTATAAAATCTCGACAGAAGCATTCTCAGAAGCTTCTTTGTGATATGTGCATTCAAGTCACAGAGTTGAATATTCCCTTTCACAGAGTAGGTTTGAAACATTCTTTTTGTAGTATCTGGAAGTGGACATTTGGAGCACCTTGACACCTACGGTGAAAAGGGAAATATCTTCTCATAAAAAGTAGACAGAAGCAATCTCAGAATTTTCTTTGGGATATACGCACACAGCTAACAGAGTTGAACTTTTCTATTGACATAGCAGTTTTGAAACAGTCTTTCTGTGGAATCTGCAAGTGGATATTTTGATAGCTTGGAGGATTTCGTTGGAAACGGGATTACGTATAAAAATTAGACAGCAGCATCCTCAGAAACTTCTTTGTGATGTGTGCATTCAAGTCACAGAGTTGAAAATTCCCTTTCGTACAGCAGTTTTGAAACACTCTTTCTGTAGTATGTGGAAGTGAACATTAGGACAGCTTTCAGGTCTATGGTGAGAAAGGAAATATCTTCAAATAAAAACTAGACAGAAGCAATCTCATAAACTTGTTTGTGATGTGTGAACTCAGCTAACAGAGGTGGATCTTTCTTTTGATAGAGCAGTTCTGAAAAACACTTTTTGTTGAATCTGCAAGTGGACATTTGGATAGATTTGAAGATTTCGTTGGAAACGGGAATATCTTCATATCAAATCTAGACAGAAGGCATTCTCAGAAACGTCTTTGTGATGTTTGCATTCAACTCATAGAGTTGAACATTCCGTTTCAGAGAGCAGCTTTGAGGCACTCTTTTTGTAGTATGTGCAAGTGGATATTTGGAGCGCTCTGAGGCCTACGGTGAAAAAGCAAATATCTTCCCATAACCACTAGACAGAAACATTCTCAGAAACTCCTTTATGACGTATGCACTCACCTAACAGAGAAGAACCTTCCTTTTGACAGAGCAGTTTTGATACACTCTTTTTGTAGAATCTGCAAGTGGATATTTGGATAGCTGTGAAGATTTCGTTGGAAACGGGAATATCTTCCTATAAAATCTAGACAGGAGCATTGTCAGAAACTGCTCTGTGATGTCTGCATTCAAGTCACAGAGTTGAACATTGCCTTTCATAGAGCAGGTTTGAAACGCTCTTTTTGTAGTATATGGAAGTGGATGTTTCGGACGGTTGGAGGCCCATGGTGATAAAGGGAATATCTTCCCCTACAAGCTAGAAAGAAGCATTCTGTGAAAGTTGTTTGTGATGTGTGTACTCAACTAACAGAGTTGAACCTTTCTTTTTACAGAGCAGTTTTGAAACACTCTTTTTGTAGAATCTGCGAGGGGATATTTGGATAGATTTCAGGATTTCGTTGGAAACGGGAATATCTTCATATAAAATCTCGACAGAAGCATTCTCAGGAAACTTCTTTGTGATATCTGCATTCAAGTCACAGAGTTGAATATTCCCTTTCACAGAGTAGGTTTGAAACACTCTTTTTGTAGTATCTGGAAGTGGACATTTTGAGCGCCTTGACACCTACGGTAAAAAGGGAAATATCTTCCCATAAAAACTAGACAGAAGCAATCTCAGAATCGTCTTTGGGATATATGCACGCAGCTAACAGAGTTGAACCTTTCTATACACAGAGCAGTTTTGAAACAGTCTTTCTGTGGAATCTGCAAGTGGATATTTGGATAGCTTGGAGGATTTCGTTGGAAACGGGATTACGTATAAAAAGTAGACAGCAGCATCCTCAGAAACATCCTTGTGATGTGTGCATTCAAGTCACAGAGTTGAACATTCCCTTTCGTACAGCAGTTTTGAAACACTCTTTCTGTAGTATCTGGAAGTGAACTTTAGGACAGCTTTCAGGTCTATGGTGAGAAAGGATATATCTTCAAATAAAAACTAGACGGAAGCATTCTCATAAACTTGATTGTGATGTGTGAACTCAGCTAACAGAGGTGGATCTTTCTTTTGATAGAGCAGTTCTGAAAAACACTTTTTGTTGAATCTGCAAGTGGACATTTGGATAGATTTGAAGATTTCGTTGGAAACGGGAATATCTTCATATCAAATCTAGACAGAAGCATTCTCAGAAACGTCTTTGTGATGTTTGCATTCAACTCATAGAGTTGAACATTCCGTTTCAGAGACCAGATTTGAAGCACTCTTTTTGTAGTATGTGCAAGTGGATATTTGGAGCGCTCTGAGGCCTACGGTGAAAAAGCAAATATCTTCCCATAACCACTAGACTAGAAACATTCTGAGAAACTCCTTTATGACGTATGCACTCACCTAACAGAGAAGAACCTTCCTTTTGACAGAGCATTTTTGATACACTCTTTTTGTAGAATCTGAAAGTGGATATTTGGATAGCTGTGAAGATTTCGTTGGAAATGGGAATATCTTCCTATAAAATCTAGACAGAAGCATTCTCAGAAACTGCTCTGTGATGTCTGCATTCAAGTCACAGAGTTGAACATTGCCTTTCATAGAGCAGGTTTGAAACGCTCTTTTTGTAGTATATGGAAGTGGACTTTTCGGACGGTTGGAGGCCCATGGTGATAAAGGAAATATCTTCCCCTACAAGCTAGAAAGAAGCATTCTGTGAAACTTGTTTGTGAGGTGTGTACTCAACTAACAGAGTTGAACTTTTCTTTTTACAGAGCAGTTTTGAAACACTCTTTTTGTAGAATCTGCGAGGGGATATTTGGATAGATTTCAGGATTTCGTTGGAAAGGGGAATATCTTCATATAAAATCTCGACAGAAGCATTCTCAGAAACTTCTTTGTGATATGTGCATTCAAGTCACACAGTTGAATATTCCCTTTCACAGAGTAGGTTTGAAACACTCTTTTTGTAGTATCTGGAAGTGGACATTTGGAGCGCCTTGACGCCCACGGTGAAAAGGGAAATATCTTCCCATAAAAACTAGACAGAAGCAATCTCAGAATCTTCTTTGGGATATATGTACGCAGCTAATAGAGTTGAACCTTTCTATTGACAGAGCAGTTTTGAAACAGTCTTTCTGTGGAATCTGCAAGTGGATATTTGGATAGCTTGGAGGATTTTGTTGGAAACGAGATTACGTATAAAAAGTAGACAGCAGCATCCTCAGAAACTTCTTTGTGATGTGTGCATTCAAGTCACAGTGTTGAACATTCCCTTTTGTACAGCAGTTTTGAAACACTCTTTCTGTAGTATCTGGAAGTGAACATTAGGACAGCTTTCAGGTCTATGGTGAGAAAGGAAATATCTTCAAATAAAAACTAGACAGAAGCATTCTCATAAACTTGTTCGTGATGTGTGAACTCAGCTAAGAGCCGTGGATCTTTCTTTTGATAGAGCAGTTCTGAAAAACACTTTTTGTTGAATACGCAAGTGGACATTTGGATAGATTTGAAGATTTCGTTGGAAACGGGAATATCTTCATATCAAATCTAGACAGAAGCATTCTCAGAAACGTCTTTGTGATGTTTGCATTCAACTCATAGAGTTGAACATTCCGTTTCAGAGACCAGCTTTGAGGCACTCTTTTTGTAGTATGTGCAAGTGGATATTTGGAGCGCTCTGAGGCCTACGGTGAAAAAGCAAATATCTTCCCATAACCACTAGACAGAAACATTCTCAGAAACTCCTTTATGACGTATGTACTCAACTAACAGAGAAGAACCTTCCTTTTGACAGAGCAGTTTTGATGCACTCTTTTTGTAGAATCTGCAAGTGGATATTTGGATAGCTGTGAAGATTTCGTTGGAAACGGGAATATCTTCCTATAAAATCTAGAGAGAAGCATTCTCAGAAACTGCTCTGTGATGTCTGCATTACAAGTCACAGAGTTGAACATTGCCTTTCATAGAGCAGGTTTGAAACGCTCTTTTTGTAGTATATGGAAGTAAACGTTTCGGACGGTTTGAGGCCCATGGTGATAAAGGGAATATCTTCCCCTACAAGCTAGAAAGAAGCATTCTGTGAAACTTGTTTGTGATGTGTGTACTCAACTAACAGAGTTGAACCTTTCTTTTTACAGAGCAGTTTTGAAACACTCTTTTTGTAGAATCTGCGAGGGGATATTTGGAGAGATTTCAGGATTTCGTTGGAAACGGGAATATCTTCATATAAAATACTCGACAGAAGCATTCTCAGAAACTTCTTTGTGATATCTGCATTCAAGTCACAGAGTTGAATGTTCCCTTTCACAGAGTAGGTTTGAAACACTCTTTTTGTAGTATCTGGAAGTGGACATTTGGAGCGCCTTGACACCTACGGTGAAAAGGGAAATATCTTCCGATAAAAACTAGACAGAAGCAATCTCAGAATCTTCTTTGGGATATATGCACGCAGCTAACAGAGTTGAACCTTTCTATTGACAGAGCAGTTTTGAAACAGTCTTTCTGTGAAATCTGCAAGTGGATATTTGGATAGCTTGGAGGATTTCGTTGGAAACGGGATTAAGTATAAAAAGTAGACAGCAGCATCCTCAGAATCTTCTTTGTGATGTGTGCATTCAAGTCACAGAGTTGAACATTCCCTTTCGTACAGCAGTTTTGAAACACTCTTTCTGTAGTACCTGGAAGTGAACATTAGGACAGCTTTCAGGTCTATGGTGAGAAAGGAAATATCTTCAAATAAAAACTAGACAGAAGCATTCTCATAAACTTGTTTGTGATGTCTGAACTCAGCTAACAGAGGTGGATCTTTCTTTTGATAGAGCAGTTCTGAAAAACACTTTTTGTTGAATCTGCAAGTGGACATTTGGATAGATTTGAAGATTTCGTTGGAAACGGGAATATCTTCCTATCAAATCTAGACAGAAGCATTCTCAGAAACGTCTTTGTGATGTTTGCATTCAACTCATAGAGTTGAACATTCCCTTTCAGAGAGCAGCTTTGAAGCACTCTTTTTGAAGCATGTGCAAGTGGACATTTGGAGCGCCCTGAGGCCTACGGGGAAAAAGCAAATATCTTCCCATAACCACTAGACAGAAACATTCTCAGAAACTCCTTTATGACGTATGTACTCAACTAACAGAGAAGAACCTTCCTTTTGACAGAGCAGTTTTGATACACTCTTTTTGTAGAATCTGCAAGTGGATATTTGGATAGCTGTGAAGATTTCGTTGGAAACTGGAATATCTTCCTATAAAATCTAGACAGAAGCATTCTCAGAAACTGCTCTGTGATGTCTGCATTCAAGTCACAGAGTTGAACATTGTCTTTCATAGAGCAGATTTGAAGCGCTCTTTTTGTAGTATATGGAAGTGGACGTTTCGGACGGTTTGAGGCCCATGGTGATAAAGGGAATATCTTCCCCTACAAGCTAGAAAGAAGCATTCTGTGAAACTTGTTTGTGATGTGTGTACTCAACTAACGGAGTTGAACCTTTCTTTTTACAGTGCAGTTTTGAAACACTCTTTTTGTAGAATCTGCGAGGGGATATTTGGATAGATTTCAGGATTTCGTTGGAAACGGGAGTATCTTCATATAAAATCTCGACAGAAGCATTCTCAGAAACTTCTTTGTGATATGTGTATTCAAGTCACAGAGTTGAATACTCCCTTTCACAGAGTAGGTTTGAAACACTCTTTTTGTAGTATCTGGATGTGGACATTTGGAGCGCCTTGACGCCTACGGTGAAAAGGGAAATATCTTCCCATAAAAACTAGACAGTAGCAATCTCAGAATCTTCTTTGGGATATATGCACGCAGCTAACAGAGTTGAATCTTTCTATTGACAGAGCAGATTTGAAACAGTCTTTCTGTGGAATCTGCAAGTGGATATTTGGATAGATTGGAGGATTTCGTTGGAAACGGGATTATGTATAAAAAGTAGACAGCAGCATCCTCAGAAACTTCTTTGTGATGTGTGCATTCAAGTCACAGAGTTGAACATTCCCTTTCGTACAGCAGTTTTGAAACACTCTTTCTGTAGTATATGGAAGTGAACATTAGGACAGCTTTCAGGTCTATGGTGAGAAAGGAAATATCTTCAAATAAAAACTAGACAGAAGCATTCTCATAAACTTGTTTGTGATGTGTGAACTCAGCTATCAACGGTGGATCTTTCTTTTGATAGAGCAGTTCTGAAAAACACTTTTTGTTGAATCTGCAAGTGGACATTTGGATAGTTTTGAAGATTTCCTTGGAAACGGGAATATCTTCATATCAAATCTAGACAGAAGCATTCTCGGAAACGTCTTTGTGATGTTTGCATTCAACTCATAAAGTTGAACATTCCGTTTCAGAGAGCAGCTTTGAGGCATTCTTTTTGTAGTATGTGCAAGTGGATATTTGGAGCGCTCTGAGGCCTTCTGTGAAAAAGCAAATATCTTCCCATAACCACTAGACAGAAACATTCTCAGAAACCCCTTTATGACGTATGCACTCACCTAACAGAAAAGAACCTTCCTTTTGACAGAGCAGTTTTGATACACTCTTTTTGTAGAATCTGCAAGTGGATATTTGGATAGCTGTGAAGATTTCGTTGGAAACGGGAATATCTTCCTATAAAATCTAGACAGATGCATTCTCAGAAACAGCTCTGTGATGTCTGCATTCAAGTCACAGAGTTGAACATTGCCTTTCATAGAGCAGGTTTGAAACGCTCTTTTTGTATTATATGGAAGTGGACGTTTCGGACGCTTTGAGACCCATGGTGATAAAGGGAATATATTCCCCTACAAGCTAGAAAGAAGCATTCTGTGAAACTTGTTTGTGATGTGTGTACTCAAGTAACAGAGTTGAACCTTTCTTTTTACAGAGCAGTTTTGAAACACTCTTTCTGTAGAATCTGCGAGGGGATATTTGGATAGACTTCAGGATTTCATTGGAAACGGGAATATCTTCATATAAAATCTCGACAGAAGCATTCTCAGAAACTTCTTTGTGATATGTGCATTCAAGTCACAGAGTTGAATATTCCCTTTCACAGAGTAGGTTTGAAACACTCTTTTTGTTGTATCTGGAAGTGGACATTTGGAGCGCCTTGACGCCTACGGTGAAAAGGGAAATATCTTCCCATAAAAACTAGACAGAAGCAATCTCAGAATCTTGTTTGGGATATATGCACGCAGCTAACACAGTTGAACCTTTCTATTGACAGAGCAGTTTTGAAACATTCTTTCTGTGGAATCTGCAAGTGGATATTTGGATAGCTTGGAGGATTTCGTTGGAAACGGGATTACGTATCAAAAGTAGACAGCGGCATCCTCAGAAACTTCTTTGTGATGTGTGCATTCAAGTCACAGAGTTGAACATTCCCTTTCGTACAGCAGTTTTGAAACACTCTTTCTGTAGTATCTGGAAGTGAACATTAGGACAGCTTTCAGGTCTATGGTGAGAAAGGAAATACCTTCAAATAAAAACTAGACAGAAGCATTCTCATATACTTGTTTGTGATGTGTGAACTCAGCTAACAGAGGTGGATCTTTCTTTTGATAGAGCAGTTCTGAAAAACACTTTTTGTTGAATCTGCAAGTGGACATTTCGATAGATTTGAAGATTTCGTTGGAAACGGGAATATCTTCATATCAAATCTAGACAGAAGCATTCTCAGACACGTCTTTGCGATGTTTGCATTCAACTCATAGAGTTGAACATTCCGTTTCAGAGAGCAGCTTTGAGGCACTCTTTTTGTAGTATGTGCAAGTGGATATTTGGAGCGCTCTGAGGCCTACGGTGAAAAAGCAAATATCTTCCCATAACCACTAGACAGAAACATTCTCAGAAACTCATTTATGACGTATGCACTCACCTAACAGAAAAGAACCTTCCTTTTGACAGAGCAGTTTTGATACACTCTTTTTGTAGAATCTGCAAGTGGATATTTGGATAGCTGTGAAGATTTCGTTGGAAACGGGAATATCTTCCTATAAAATCTAGACAGAAGCATTCTCAGAAACTGCTCTGTGATGTCTGCATTCAAGTCACAGAGTTGAACATTGCCTTTCATAGAGCAGGTTTGAAACGCTCTTTTTGTAGTATATGGAAGTGGATGTTTCGGACGGTTGGAGGCCCAAGGTGATAAAGGGAATATCTTCCCCTACAAGCTAGAAAGAAGCATTCTGTGAAACTTGTTTGTGATGTGTGTACTCAACTAACAGAGTTGAACCTTTCTTTTTACAGAGCAGTTTTGAAACACTCTTTTTGTAGAACCTGCGAGGGGATATTTGGATAGATTTCAGGATTTCGTTGGAAACGGGAATATCTTCATATAAAATCTCGACAGAAGCATTCTCAGAAACTTCTTTGTGATATCTGCATTCAAGTCACAGAGTTGAATATTCCTTTTCACAGAGTAGGATTGAAACACTCTTTTTGTAGTATCAGGAAGTGGACATTTGGAGCGCCTTGACGCCTACGGTGAAAAGGGAAATATCTTCCCATAAAAACTAGACAGAAGCAATCTCAGAATCTTCTTTGGGATATATGCACGCAGCTAACAGAGTTGAACCTTTCTATTGACAGAGCAGTTTTGAAACAGTCTTTCTGTGGAATCTGCAAGTGGATATTTGTATAGCTTGGAGGATTTCGTTGGAAACGGGATTACGTATAAAAAGTAGACAGCAGCATCCTCAGAAAACTTCTTTGTGATGTGTGCATTCAAGTCACAGAGTTGTACATTCCCTTTCGTACAGCAGTTTTGAAACACTCTTTCTGTAGTATCTGGAAGTGAACATTAGGACAGCTTTCAGGTCTATGGTGAGAAAGGAAATATCTTCAAATAAAAACTAGACGGAAGCATTCTCATAAACTTGTTTGTGATGTGTGAACTCAGCTAACAGAGGTGGATCTTTCTTTTGATACAGCAGTTTTGAAAAACACATTTTGTTGAATCTGCAAGTGGACATTTGGATAGATTTGAAGATTTCGTTGGAAACGGGAATATCTTCATATCAAATCTAGACAGAAGAATTCTCAGAAACGTCTTTGTGATGTTTGCATTCAACTCATAGAGTTGAACATTCCCTTTCAGAGAACAGCTTTGAAGCACTCTTTTTGTAGTATGTGCAAGGGGATATTTGGAGCGCTCTGAGGCCTAAGGTGAAAAAGCAAATATCTTCCCATAACCACTAGACAGAAACATTCTCAGAAACTGCTTTATGACGTATGCACTCACCTAACAGAGAAGAACCTTCCTTTTGACAGAGCAGTTTTGATACACTCTTTTTGTAGAATCTGCAAGTGGATATTTGGATAGCTGTGAAGATTTCGTTGGAAACGAGAATATCTTCCTATAAAATCTAGACAGAAGCATTCTCAGAAACTGCTCTGTGATATCTGTATTCAAGTCACAGAGTTGAACATTGCCTTTCATAGAGCAGGTTTGAAACGCTCTTTTTGTAGTATATGTAAGTGGATGTTTCGGACGGTTGGAGGCCCATGGTGATAAAGGGAATATCTTCTCCTACAAGCTAGAAAGAAAGCATTCTGTGAAACTTGTTTGTGATGTGTGTACTCAACTAACAGCAGTTGAACCTTTCTTTTTACAGAGCAGTTTTGAAACACTCTTTTTGTAGAATCTGCGAGGGGATATTTGGATAGATTTCAGGATTTCGTTGGAAAGGGGAATATCTTCATATAAAATCTCGACAGAAGCATTTTCAGAAACTTCTTTGTGATATCTGCATTCAAGTCACAGAGTTCAATATTCCCTTCCACAGAGAAGGTTTGAAACACTCTTTTTGTAGTATCTGGAAGTGGATATTTGGAGCGCCTTGACACCTACGGTGAAAAGGGAAATATCTTCCCATAAAAACTAGACAGAAGCAATCTCAGAATCTTCCTTGGGATATATGCACACAGCTAACTGAGTTGAACTTTTCTATTGACATAGCAGTTTTGAAACAGTCTTTCTGTGGAATCTGCAAGTGGATATTTGGATAGCTTGGAGGATTTCGTTGGAAATGGGATTACGTATAAAAAGTAGACAGCAGCATCCTCAGAAACTTCTTTGTGATGTGTGCATTCAAGTCACAGAGTTGAACATTCCCTTTCGTACAGCAGTTTTGAAACACTCTTTCTGTAGTATCTGGAAGTGAAAATTAGGACAGCTTTCAGGTCTATGGTGAGAAAGGAAATATCTTCAAATAAAAACTAGACAGAAGCATTCTCATAAACTTGATTGTGATGTCTGAACTCAGCTAACAGAGGTGGATCTTTCTTTTGATAGAGCAGTTCTGAAAAACACTTTTTGTTGAATCTGCAAGTGGACATTTGGATAGATTTGAAGATTTCGTTGGAAACGGGAATATCTTCATATCAAATCTAGACAGAAGCATTCTCAGAAACGTCTTTGTGATGTTTGCATTCAACTCATAGAGTTGAACATTCCATTTCAGAGAGCAGCTTTGAAGCACTCTTTTTGTAGTATGTGCAAGTGGATATTTGGAGCGCTCTGAGGCCTACGGTGAAAAAGCAAATATCTTCCCATAACCACTATACAGAAACATTCTCAGAAACTCCTTTATGACGTATGCACTCAACTAACAGAGAAAAACCTTCCTTTTGACAGAGCAGTTTTGATACACTCTTTTTGTAGAATCTGCAAGTGGATATTTGGATAGCTGTGAAGATTTCGTTGGAAACGGGAATATCTTCCTATAAAATCTAGACAGGAGCATTCTCAGAAACTGCTCTGTGATGTCTGCATTCAAGTCACAGAGTTGAACATTGCCTTTCATAGAGCAGGTTTGAAACGCTCTTTTTGTAGTATATGGAACTGGATGTTTCGGACGGTTTGAGGCCCATGGTGATAAAGGGAATATCTTCCCCTACAAGCTAGAAAGAAGCATTCTGTGAAACTTGTTTGTGATGTGTGTACTCAACTAACAGAGTTGAACCTTTCGTTTTACAGAGCAGTTTTGAACCACTCTTTTTGTAGAATCTGCGAGGGGATATTTGGATAGATTTCAGGATTTCGTTGGAAACGGGAATATCTTCATATAAAATCTCGACAGAAGCATTCTCAGTAAACTTCTTTGTGATATGTGCATTCAAGTCACAGAGTTGAATATTCCCTTTCACAGAGTAGGTTTGAAACACTCTTTTTGTAGTATCTGGAAGTGGACATTTGGAGCGCCTTGAGGCCTACGGTGAAAAGGGAAATATCTTCTCATAAAAAGTAGACAGAAGCAATCTCAGAATCTTCTTTGGGATATATGCATGCAGCTAACAGAGTTGAACCTTTCTATTGACAGAGCAGTTTTGAAACAGTCTTTCTCTGGAATCTGCAAGTGGATATTTGGATAGCTTGGAGGATTTCGTTGGAAACGGGATTACGTATAAAAAGTAGACAGCAGCATCCTCAGAAACTTCTTTGTGATGTGTGCATTCAAGTCACAGAGTTGAACATTCCCTTTCGTACAGCAGTTTTGAAACACTCTTTCTGTAGTATCTGGAAGTGAACATTAGGACAGCTTTCAGCTCTATGGAGAGAAAGGAAATATCTTCAAATAAAAACTAGACAGAAGCATCTTATAAACTTGTTTGTGATGTGTGAACTCAGCTAACAGAGGTGGATCTTTCTTTTGATAGAGCAGTTCTGAAAAACACTTTTTGTTGAATCTGCAAGTGGACATTTGGATAGATTTGAAGATTTCGTTGGAAACGGGAATATCTTCATATCAAATCTAGACAGAAGCATTCTCAGAAACGTCTTTGTGATGTTTGCATTCAACTCATAGAGTTGAACATTCCCTTCCAGAGAGTAGCTTTGAAGCACTCTTTTTGTAGCATGTGCAAGTGGACATTTGGAGCGCCCTGAGGCCTACGGGGAAAAGCAAATATCTTCCCATAACCACTAGACAGAAACATTCTCAGAAACTCCTTTATGACAGTATGCACTCACCTAACAGAAAAGAACCTTCCTTTTGACAGAGCAGTTTTGATACACTCTTTTTGTGGAATCTGCAAGTGGATATTTGGATAGCTGTGAAGATTTCGTTGAAAACGGGAATATATTCCTATAAAATCTAGACAGAAGCATTCTCAGAAACTGCTCTGTGGTGTCTGCATTCAAGTCACAGAGTTGAACATTGCCTTTCATAGAGCAGGTTTGAAACACTCTTTTTGTAGTATATGGAAGTGGACGTTTCGGACGGTTTGAGGCCCATGGTGATTTAGGGAATATCTTCCCCTACAAGCTAGAAAGAAGCATTCTGTGAAACTTGTTTGTGATGTGTGTACTCAACTAACAGAGTTGAACGTTTCTTTTTACAGAGCAGTTTTGAAACACTCCTTTTGTAGAATCTGCGAGGGGATATTTGGATAGATTTCAGGATTTCGTTGGAAACGGGAATATCTTCATATAAAATCTCGACAGAAGCATTCTCAGAAACTTCTTTGTGATATCTGCATTCAAGTCACAGAGTTGAATATTCCCTTTCACAGAGTAGGTTTGAAACACTCTTTTTGTAGTATCTGGAAGTGGACATTTTGAGCGCCTTGACACCTACGGTAAAAAGGGAAATATCTTCCCATAAAAACTACACAGAAGGCAATCTCAGAATCTTCTTTGGGATATATGCACGCAGCTAACAGAGTTGAATCTTTCTGTTGACAGAGCAGATTTGAAACAGTCTTTCTGTGGAATCTGCAAGTGGATATTTGGATAGATTGGAGGATTTCGTTGGAAACGGGATTACGTATAAAAAGTAGACAGCAGCATCCTCAGAAACATCCTTGTGATGTGTGCATTCATGTCACAGAGTTGAACATTCCCTTTCGTACAGCAGTTTTGAAACACTCTTTCTGTAGTATCTGTTAGTGAACTTTAGGACAGCTTTCAGGTCTATAGTGAGAAAGGATATATCTTCAAATAAAAACTAGACAGAAGCATTCTCATAAACTTGTTTGTGATGTGTGAACTCAGCTAACAGAGGTGGATCTTTCTTTTGATAGAGAAGTTTTGAAAAACACTTTCTGTTGAATCTGCAAGTGGACATTTGGATAGATATGAAGATTTCGTTGGAAACGGGAATATCTTCATATCAAATCTAGACAGAAGGATTCTCGGAAACGTCTTTGTGATGTTTGCATTCAACTCATAGAGTTGAACATTCCGTTTCAGAGAGCAGCTTTGAAGCACTCTTTTTGTAGTATGTGCAAGTGGATATTTGGAGCGCTCTGAGGCCTACGGTGAAAAAGCAAATATCTTCCCATAACCACTATACAGAAACATTCTCAGAAACTCCTTTATGACGTATGTACTCAACTAACAGAGAAGAACATTCTTTCTTTTGATACAGCAGTTTTGATACACTCTTTTTGTAGAATCTGCAAGTGCATATTTGGATAGCTGTGAAGATTTCGTTGGAAACGGGAATATCTTCCTATAAAATCTAGACAGAAGCATTCTCAGAAACTGCTCTGTGATGTCTGCATTCAAGTCACAGAGTTGAACATTGCCTTTCATAGAGCAGGTTTGAAACGCTCTTTTTGTAGTATAGGGAAGTGGATGTTTCGGACGGTTGGAGGCCCATGGTGATAAAGGGAATATCTTCCCCTACAAGCTATAAAGAAGCATTCTGTGAAACTTGTTTGTGATGTGTGTACTCAACTAACAGAGCCTTTCTTTTTACAGAGCAGTTTTGAAAAACTCTTTTTGTAGAATCTGCGAGGGGATATTTGGATAGATTTCAGGATTTCGTTGGAAACGGGAATATCTTCATATAAAATCTCGACAGAAGCATTCTCAGAAACTTCTTTGTGATATGTGCATTCAAGTCACAGAGTTGAATATTCCCTTTCACAGAGTAGGTTGGAAACACTCTTTTTGTAGTATCTGGAAGTGGACATTTGGAGCGCCTTGACACCTACGGTGAAAAGGGAAATATCTTCCCATTAAAAACTAAACAAAAGCAATCTCAGAATCTTCTTTGGGATATATGCACGCAGCTAACAGAGATGAACCTTTCTATTGACAGAGCAGTTTTGAAACAGTCTTTCTGTGGAATCTGCAAGTGGATATTTGGATAGATTGGAGGATTTCGTTGGAAACGGGATTACGTATAAAAAGTAGACAGCAGCATCCTCAGAAACTTCTTTGTGATGTGTGCATTCAAGTCACAGAGTTGAACATTCCCTTTCGTACAGCAGTTTTGAAACACTCTTTCTGTAGTATCTGGAAGTGAACATTAGGACAGCCTTCAGGTCTATGTTGAGAAAGGAAATATCTTCAAATAAAAACTAGACAGAAGCATTCTCATAAACTTGTTTGTGATGTGTGAACTCAGCTAACACAGGTGGATCTTTCTTTTGATTGAGCAGTTCTGAAAAACACTTTTTGTTGAATCTGCAAGTGGACATTTGGATAGATTTGAAGATTTCGTTGGAAACGGGAATATCTTCATATCAAATCTAGACAGAAGCATTCTCAGAAACGTCTTTGCGATGTTTGCATTCAACTCATAGAGTTGAACATTCCGTTTCAGAGAGCAGCTTTGAGGCACTCTTTTTGTAGTATGTCCAAGTGGATATTTGGAGCGCTCTGAGGCCTACGGTGAAAAAGCAAATATCTTCCCATAACCACTAGACAGAAACATTCTCAGAAACTCCTTTATAACGTATGCACTCACCTAACAGAGAAGAACCTTCCTTTTGACAGAGCAGTTTTGATACACTCTTTTTGTAGAATCTGCAAGTGGATATTTGGATATCTGTGAAGATTTCGTTGGAAACGGGAATATCTTCCTATAAAATCTAGACAGAAGCATTCTCAGAAACTGCTCTGTGATGTCTGCATTCAAGTCACAGAGCTGAACATTGCCTTTCATAGAGCAGGTTTGAAACGCTCTTTTTGTAGTATATGGAAGTGGACGTTTCTGACAGTTTGAGGCCCATGGTGATAAAGGGAATATCTTCCCCTACAAGCTAGAAAGAAGCATTCTGTGAAACTTGGTTGTGATGTGTGTACTCAACTAACAGAGTTGAACCTTTCTTTTTACAGAGCAGTTTTGAAACACTCTTTTTGTAGAATCTGCGAGGGGATATTTGGATAGATTTCAGGATTTCGTTGGAAACGGGAATATCTTCATATAAAATCTCGACAGAAGCATTCTCAGAAACTTCTTTGTGATATCTGCCTTTAAGTCACAGAGTTGAATATTCCCTTTCACAGAGTAGGTTTGAAACACTCTTTTTGTAGTATCTGGAAGTGGACATTTGGAGCGCCTTGACGCCTACAGTGAAAAGGGAAATATCTTCCCATAAAAACTAGACAGAAGCAATCTCAGAATCTTCTTTGGGATATATGTACGCAGCTAATAGAGTTGAACCTTTCTATTGACAGAGCAGTTTTGAAACAGTCTTTCTGTGGAATCTGCAAGTGGATATTTGGATAGCTTGGAGGATTTTGTTGGAAACGGGATTACGTATAAAAAGTAGACAGCAGCATCCTCAGAATCTTCTTTGTGATGTGTGCATTCAAGTCATAGAGTTGAACATTCCCTTTCGTACAGCAGTTTTGAAACACTCTTTCTGTAGTATCTGGGAGTGAACATTAGGACAGCTTTCAGGTCTATGGTGAGAAAGGAAATATCTTCAAATAAAAAGTAGACAGATAAGCATTCTCATAAACTTGTTTGTGATGTGTGAACTCAGCTAACAGAGGTGGATCTTTCTTTTGATAGAGCAGTTCTGAAAAACACTTTTTGTTGAATCTGCAAGTGGACCTTTGGATAGATTTGAAGATTTCGTTGGAAACGGGAATATCTTCATATCAAATCTAGACAGAAGCATTCTCAGAAACGTCTTTGTGATGTTTGCATTCAACTCGTAGAGTTGAACATTCCGTTTCAGAGAGCAGCTTTGAAGCACTCTTTTTGTAGTATGTGCAAGTGGATATTTGGAGCGCTCTGAGGCCTACGGTGAAAAAGCAAATATCTTCCCATAACCACTAGACAGAAACATTCTCAGAAACTCCTTTATGACGTATGCACTCACCTAACAGAGAAGAACCTTCCTTTTGACAGAGCAGTTTTGATACACTCTTTTTGTAGAATCTGCAAGTGGATATTTGGATAGCTGTGAATATTTCGTTGGAAACGGGAATATCTTCCTATAAAATCTAGACAGAAGCATTCTCAGAAACTGCTCTGTGATGTCTGCATTCAAGTCACAGAGTTGAACATTGCCTTTCATAGAGCAGGTTTGAAACGCTCTTTTTGTAGTATATGGAAGAGGACGTTTCGGACGGTTTGAGGCCCATGGTGATAAAGGGAATATCTTCCCCTACAAGCTAGAAAGAAGCATTCTGTGAAACTTGTTTGTGATGTGTGTACTCAACTAACAGAGTTGAACCTTTCTTTTTACAGAGCAGTTTTGAAACACTCTTTTTGTAGAATCTGCGAGGGGATATTTGGATAGATTTCAGGATTTCGTTGGAAACGGGAACATCTTCATAGAAAATCTCGACAGAAGCATTCTCAGAAACTTCTTTGTGATATCTTCCTTCAAGTCACAGAGTTGAATATTCCCTTTCACAGAGTAGGTTTGAAACACTCTTTTTGTAGTATCTGGAAGTGGACATTTGGAGCGCCTTGACGCCTACGGTGAAAAGGGAAATATCTTCCCATAAAAACTAGACAGAAGCAATCTCAGAATCTTCTTTGGGATATATGCACGCAGCTAACAGAGTTGAACCTTTCTATTGACAGAGCAGTTTTGAAACAGTCTTTCTGTGGAATCTGCAAGTGGATATTTGGATAGCTTGGAGGATTTCGTTGGAAACGGGATTACGTATAAAAGGTAGACAGCAGCATCCTCAGAAACTTCTTTGTGATGTGTGCATTCAAGTCACAGAGTTGAACATTCCCTTTCGTACAGCAGTTTTGAAACACTCTTTCTGTAGTATCTGGAAGTGAACATTAGGACCGCTTTCAGGTCTATGGTGAGAAAGGAAATATCTTCAAATAAAAATTAGACAGAAGCATTCTCATAAACCTGTTAGTGATGTGTGAACTCAGCTAACAGAGGTGGATCTTTCTTTTGATAGAGCAGTTCTGAAAAACACTTTTTGTTGAATCTGCAAGTGGACATTTGGATAGATTTGAAGATTTCGTTGGAAACGGGAATATCTTCATATCAAATCTAGACAGAAGCATTCTCAGAAACGTCTTTGTGATGTTCGCATTCAACTCATAGAGTTGAACATTCCCTTTCAGAGAGCAGCTTTGAAGCACTCTTTTTGTAGTATGTGCAAGTGGATATTTGGAGCGCTCTGAGGCCTACGGTGAAAAAGCAAATATCTTCCCATAACCACTAGACAGAAACATTCTCAGAAACTCCTTTATGACGTATGCACTCACCTAACAGAAAAGAACCTTCCTTTTGACAGAGCAGTTTTGATACACTCTTTTTGTAGAATCTGCAAGTGGATATTTGGATAGCTGTGAAGATTTCGTTGGAAACGGGAATAACTTCCTATAAAATCTAGACAGAAGCATTCTCAGAAACTGCTCTGTGATGTCTGCATTCAAGTCACAGAGTTGAACATTGCCTTTCATAGAGCAGGTTTGAAACGCTCTTTTTGTAGTATATGAAAGTGGATGTTTCGGACGGTTGGAGGCCCATGGTGATAAAGGGCATATCTTCCCCTACAAGCTAGAAAGAAGCATTGTGTGAAACTTGTTTGTGATGTGTGTACTCAACTAACAGAGTTGAACCTCTCTTTTTACAGAGCAGTTTTGAAACACTCTTTTTGTAGAATCTGCGAGGGGATATTTGGATACATTTCAGCATTTCGTTGGAAACGGGAATATCTTCATATAAAATCTCGACAGAAGCATTCTCAGAAACTTCTTTGTGATATCTGCACTCAAGTCACAGAGTTGAATATTCCCTTTCACAGAGTAGGTTTGAAACACTCTTTTTGTAGTATCTGGAAGTGGACATTTGGAGCGCCTTGACGCCTACGGTGAAAAGGGAAATATCTTCCCATAAAAACTAGACAGAAGCAATCTCAGAATCTTCTTTGGGATATATGCACGCAGCTAACAGAGTTGAACCTTTCTATTGACAGAGCAGTTTTGAAACAGTCTTTCTGTGGAATCTGCAAGTGGATATTTGGATAGCTTGGAGGATTTCGTTGGAAACGGGATTACGTATAAAAAGTATACAGCAGCATCCTCAGAATCTTCCTTGTGATGTGTGCTTTCAAGTCACAGAGTTGAACATTCCCTTTCGTACAGCAGTTTTGAAAAACTCTTTCTGTAGTATCTGGAAGTGAACTTTAGGAGAGCTTTCACGTCTATAGTGAGAAAGGATATATCTTCAAATAAAAACTAGACAGAAGCATTCTCATAAACTTGTTTGTGATGTGTGAACTCAGCTAACAGAGGTGGATCTTTCTTTTGATAGAGCAGTTCTGAAAAACACTTTTTGTTGAATCTGCAAGTGGACATTTGGATAGATTTGAAGATTTCGTTGGAAACCGGAATATCTTCATGTCAAATCTAGACAGAAGCATTCTCAGAAACGTCGTTGCGATGTTTGCATTCAACTCATAGAGTTGAACATTCCGTTTCAGAGAGCAGCTTTGAGGCACTCTTTTTGTAGTATGTGCAAGTGGATATTTGGAGCGCTCTGAGGCCTTCGGTGAAAAAGCAAATATCTTCCCATAACCACTAGATGGAAACATTCTCAGAAACTCCTTTATGACGTATGCACTCACCTAACAGAGAAGAACCTTCCTTTTGACAGAGCAGTTTTGATACACTCTTTTTGTAGAATCTGCAAGTGGATATTTGGATAGCTGTGAAGATTTCGTCGGAAACGGGAATATCTTCCCATAAAATCTAGAGAGAAGCATTCTCAGAAACTGCTCTGTGATGTCTGCATTCAAGTCACAGAGTTGAACATTCCCTTTCCTAGAGCAGGTTTGAAACGCTCTTTTTGTAGTATATTGAAGTGGACATTTCGGATGGTTTGAGGCCCATGGTGATAAAGGGAATATCTTCCCCTACAAGCTAGAAAGAAGCATTCTGTGAAACTTGTTTGTGATGTGTGTACTCAACTAACAGAGTTGAACCTTTCTTTTTACAGAACAGTGTTGAAACACTCTTTTTGTAGAATCTGCGAGGGGATATTTGGATAGATTTCAGGATTTCGTTGGAAACGGGAATATCTTCATATAAAATCTCGACGGAAGCATTCTCAGAAACTTCTTTGTGATATGTGCATTCAGGTCACAGAGTTGAATATTCCCTTTCACAGAGTAGGTTTGAAACACTCTTTTTGTAGTATCTGGAAGTGGACATTTGGAGCGCCTTGACGCCTACGGTGAAAAGGGAAATATCTTCCCATAAAAACTAGACAGAAGCAATCTCAGAATCTTCTTTGGGATATATGCACGCAGCTCACAGAGTTGAACCTTTCTATTGACAGAGCAGTTTAGAAACAGTCCTTCTGTGGAATCTGCAAGTGGATATTTGGATAGCTTGGAGGATTTCTTTGGAAACGGGATTACGTATAAAAAGTAGACAGCAGCATCCTCAGAAACTTCTTTGTGATGATTGAATTCAAGTCACAGAGTTGAACATTCCCTTTCGTACAGCAGTTTTGAAACACTCTTTCTGTAGTATCTGGAAGTGAACATTAGGACAGCTTTCAGGTCTATGGTGAGAAAGGAAATATCTTCAAATAAAAACTAGACAGAAGCATTCTCATAAACTTGTGTGTGATGTGTGAACTCAGCTAACAGAGGTGGATCTTTCTTTTGATAGAGCAGTTCTGAAAAACACTTTTTGATGAATCTGCAAGTGGACATTTGGATAGATTTGAAGATTTCTTTGGAAACGGGAATATCTTCATATCAAATCTAGACAGAAGCATTCCCAGAAACGTCTTTGTGATGTTTGCATTCAACTCATAGAGTTGAACATTCTCTTTCAGAGAGCAGCTTTGAAGCACTCTTTTTGTAGTATGTGCAAGGGGATATTTGGAGCGCTCTGAGGCCTAAGGTGAAAAAGCAAATATCTTCCCATAACCACTAGACAGAAAACATTCTCAGAAACTCCTTTATGACGTATGCACTCACCTAACAGAAAAGAACCTTCCTTTTGACAGAGCAGTTTTGATACACTCTTTTTGTAGAATCTGCAAGTGGATATTTGGATAGCTGTGAAGATTTCGTTGGAAACGGGAATATCTTCCTATAAAATCTAGACAGAAGCATTCTCAGAAACTGCTCTGTGATGTCTGCATTCAAGTCACAGAGTTGAACATTGCCTTTCCTAGAACAGGTTTGAAACGCTCTTTCTGTAGTATATGGAAGTGGACGTTTCGGACGGTTTGAGGCCCATGGTGATAAAGGGAATATCTTCCCCTACAAGCTAGAAAGAAGCATTCTGTGAAACTTGTTTGTGATGTGTGTACTCAACTAACAGAGTTGCACCTTTCTTTTTACAGAGCAGTTTTGAAACACTCTTTTTGTAGAATCTGCGAGGGGATATTTGGATAGATTTCAGGATTTCGTTGGAAACGGGAATATCTTCATATAAAATCTCAACAGAAGCCTTCTCAGAAACTTCTTTGTGATATCTGCATTGAAGTCACAGAGTTGAATATTCCCTTTCACATAGTAGGTTTGAAACACTCTTTTTGTAGTATCTGGAAGTGGACATTTGGAGCGCCTTCACGCCTACGGTGAAAAGGGAAATATCTTCCCATAAAAACTAGACAGAAGCAATCTCAGAATCTTCTTTGGGATATATGCACGTAGCTAGCAGAGTTGAACCTTTCTATTGACAGAGCAGTTTTGAAACAGTCTTTCTGTGGAATCTGCAAGTGGATATTTGGATAGCTTGGAGGATTTCGTTGGAAACGCGATTACGTATAAAAAGTAGACAGCAGCATCCTCAGAAACTTCTTTGTGATGTGTGCATTCAAGTCACAGAGTTGAACATTCCCTTTCGTACAGCAGTTTTGAAACACTCTTTCTGTAGTATCTGCAAGTGAACATTAGGACAGCTTTCAGGTCTGTGGTGAGAAAGGAAATATCTTCAAATAAAAACTAGACAGAAGCAGTCTGATAAACTTGTTTGTGAAGTGTGAACTCAGCTAACAGAGGTGGATCTTTCTTTTGATACAGCAGTTTTGAAAAACACTTTGTTGAATCTGCAAGTGGACATTTGTATAGATTTGAAAATTTCGTTGGAAACGGGAATATCTTCATATAAAATCTCGACAGAAGCATTCTCAGAAACGTCTTTGTGATGTTTGCATTCAACTCATAGAGTTGAACATTCCGTTTCAGAGAGCAGCTTTGAAGCACTCTTTTTGTAGTATGTGCAAGTGGATATTTGGAGCGCTCTGAGGCCTACGGGGAAAAAGCAAATATCTTCCCATAACCACTAGACTGAAACATTCTCAGAAACTCCTTTATGACGTATGTACTCAACTAACAGAGAAGAACCTTCCTTTTGACAGAGCAGTTTTGATACACTCTTTTTGTAGAATCTGCAAGTGGATATTTGGATAGCTGTGAAGATTTCGTTGGAATCGGGAATATCTTCCTATAAAATCTAGACAGAAGCATTCTCAGAAACTGCTCTGTGATGTCTGCATTCAAGTCACAGAGTTGAACATTGCCGTTCATAGAGCAGGTTTGAAACACTCTTTTTGTACTATATGGAAGTGGACGTTTCGGACGGTTTGAGGCCCATGGTGATAAAGGGAATATCTTCCCCTACAAGCTAGAAAGAAGCATTCTGTGAAACTTGTTTGTGATGTGTGTACTCAACTAACAGGGTTGAACCTTTCTTTTTACAGAGCAGTTTTGCAACACTCTTTTTGTAGAATCTGCGAGGGGATATTTGGATAGATTTCAGGATTTCGTTGGAAACGGGAATATCTTCATATAAAATCTCGACAGAAGCATTCTCAGAAACTTCTTTGTGATATCTGCATTCAAGTCACAGAGTTGAATATTCCCTTTCACAGAGTAGGTTTGAAACACTCTTTTTGTAGTATCTGGAAGTGGACATTTGGAGCGCCTTGACACCTACGGTGAAAAGGTAAATATCTTCCCATAAAAACGAGACAGAAGCAATCTCCGAATCTTCTTTGGGATATATGCACGCAGCTAACAGAGTTGAACCTTTCTATTGACAGAGCAGTTTTGAAACAGTCTTTCTGTGGAATCTGCAAGTGGATATTTGGATAGCTTGGAGGATTTCGTTGGAAAAGGGATTATGTATAAAAATTAGACAGCAGCATCCTCAGAAACTTCTTTGTGATGTGTGCATTCAAGTCACAGAGTTGAACATTCCCTTTCGTACAGCAGTTTTGAAAAACTCTTTCTGTAGTATCTGGAAGTGAACATTAGGACAGCTTTCAGGTCTATGGTGAGAAAGGCAATATCTTCAAATAAAAACTAGACAGAAGCATTCTCATAAACTTGTTTGTGATGTGTGAACTCAGCTAACAGGCGTGGATCTTTCTTTTGATACAGCAGTTTTGAAAAACACTTTTTGTTGAATCTGCAAGTGGACATTTGGATAGATTTGAAGATTTCGTTGGAAACGGGAATATCTTCATATCAAATCTAGACAGAAGCATTCTCAGAAACGTCTTTGTGATGTTTGCATTCAACTCATAGAGTTGAACATTCCGTTTCAGAGAGCAGCTTTGAAGCACTCTTTTTGTAGTATGTGCAAGTGGATATTTGGAGCGATCTGAGGCCTACGGTGAAAAAGCAAATATCTTCCAATAACCACTAGACAGAAACATTCTCAGAAACTCCTTTATGACGTATGCACTCACCTAACAGAAAAGAACCTTCCTTTTGACAGAGCAGTTTTGATACACTCTTTTTGTAGAATCTGCAAGTGGATATTTGGATAGCTGTGAAGATTTCGTTGGAAACGGGAATATACTTCCTATAAAATCTAGACAGAAGCATTCTCAGAAACTGCTCTGTGATGTCTGCATTCAAGTCACAGAGTTGAACATTGCCGTTCATAGAGCAGGTTTGAAACACTCTTTTTGTAGTATATGGAAGTGGACGTTTCGGACGGTTTGAGGCCCATGGTGATAAAGGGAATATCTTCCCCAACAAGCTAGAAAGAAGCATTCTGTGAAACTTCTTTGTGATGTGTGTACTCAACTAACAGAGTTGAACCTTTCTTTTTACAGAGCAGTTTTGAAACACTCTTTTTGTAGAATCTGCGAGGGGACATTTGGATAGATTTCAGGATTTCGTTGGAAACGGGAATATCTTCATATAAAATCTCGACAGAAGCATTCTCAGAAACTTCTTTGTGATATGTGCATTCAAGTCACAGAGTTGAATATTCCCTTTCACAGAGTAGGTTTGAAACACTCTTTTTGTAGTATCTGGAAGTGGACATTTGGAGCGCCTTGACGCCTAAGGTGAAAAGGGAAATATCTTCCCATAAAAACTAGACAGAAGCAATCTCAGAATCTTCTTTGGGATATATGCACGCAGCTAACAGAGTTGAAACTTTCTATTGACAGAGCAGTTTTGAAACAGTCTTTCTGTGGAATCTGCAAATGGATATTTGGATAGCTTGGAGGATTTCGTTGGAAACGGGATTACGTATAAAAAGTAGACAGCAGCATCCTCAGAAACTTCTTTGTGATGTGTGCATTCAAGTCACAGAGTTGAACATTCCCTTTCGTACAGCAGTTTTGAAACACTCTTTCTGTAGTATCTCGAAGTGAACATTAGGACAGCTTTCAGGTCTATGGTGAGAAAGGAAATATCTTCAAATAAAAACTAGACAGAAGCATTCTCATAAACTTGTTTGTGATGTGTGAACTCAGCTAACAGAGGTGGATCTTTCTTTTGATAGAGCAGTTCTGAAAAACACGTTTTGTTGAATCTGCAAGTGGACATTTGGATAGATTTGAAGATTTCGTTGTAAACGGGAATATCGTCATATCAAATCTAGACAGAAGCATTCTCGGAAACGTCTTTGTGATGTTTGCATTCAACCCATAGAGTTGAACATTCCGTTTCAGAGAGCAGCTTTGAAGCACTCTTTTTGTAGTATGTGCAAGGGGATATTTTGAGCGCTCTGAGGCCTAAGGTGAAAAAGCAAATATCTTCCCATAACCACTAGACAGAAACATTCTCAGAAACTCCTTTATGACGTATGCACTCACCTGACAGAAAAGAACCTTCCTTTTGACAGAGCAGTTTTGATACACTCTTTTTGTAGAATCTGCAAGTGGATATTTGGATAGCTGTGAAGATTTCGTTGGAAACGGGAATATCTTCCTATAAAATCTAGACAGAAGCATTCTCAGAAACTGCTGTGTGATGTCTGCATTCAAGTCACAGAGTTGAACATTGCCTTTCACAGAGCAGGTTTGAAATGCTCTTTTTGTAGTATATGGAAGTGGACGTTTCAGACGGTTTGAGGCCCATGGTGATAAAGGGAATATCTTCCCCTACAAGCTAGAAAGAAGCATTCTGTGAAACTTGTTTGTGATGTGTGTACTCAACTAACAGAGATGAACCTTTCTTTTCACAGAGCAGTTTTGAAACACTCTTTTTGTAGAATCTGCGAGGGGATATTTGGATAGATTTCAGCATTTCGTTGGAAACGGGAATATCTTCATATAAAATCTCGGCAGAAGCATTCTCAGAAACTTCTTTGTGATATGTGCATTGAAGTCACAGAGTTGAATATTCCCTTTCACAGAGTAGGTTTGAAACACTCTTTTTGTAGTATCTGGAAGTGGACATTTGGAGCGCCTTGACACCTACGGTGAAAAGGGAAATATCTTCCCCTAAAAACTAGACAGAAGCAATCTCAGAATCTTCTTTGGGATATATGCACGCAGCTAACAGAGTTGAACCTTTCTATTGACAGAGCAGTTTTGAAACAGCCTTTCTGTGGAATCTGCAAGTGGATATTTGGATAGCTTGGAGGACTTCGTTGGAAACGGGATTAAGTATAAAAAGTAGACAGCAGCATCCTCAGAAACTTCTTTGTGATGTGTGCATTCAAGTGACAGAGTTGAACATTCCCTTTCGTACAGCAGTTTTGAAACACTCTTTCTGTAGTATCTGGAAGTGAACATTAGGACAGCTTTCAGCTCTATGGTGAGAAAGGAAATATCTTCAAACAAAAACTAGACAGAAGCATTCTCATAAACTTGTTTGTGATGTGTGAACTCAGCTAACAGAGGTGGATCTTTCTCTTGATAGAGCAGTTCTGAAAAACACTTTTTGTAGAATCTGCAAGTGGACATTTGGATAGATTTGAAGATTTCGTTGGAAACGGGAATATCTTCATATCAAATCTAGACAGAAGCATTCGCGGAAACGTCTTTGTGACGTTTGCATTCAACTCACAGAGTTGAACATTCCGTTTCAGAGAGCAGCTTTGAAGCACTCTTTTTGTCGTATGTGCAAGTGGATATTTGGAGCGCTCTGAGGCCTACGGTGAAAAAGCAAATATCTTCCCATAACCACTAGACAGAAACATTCTCAGAAACTCCTTTATGACGTATGCACTCACCTAACAGAAAAGAACCTTCCTTTTGCCAGAGCAGTTTTGATACACTCTTTTTGTAGAATCTGCAAGTGGATATTTGGATAGCTGTGAAGATTTCGTTGGAAACGGGAATATCTTCCTATAAAATCTAGACAGAAGCCTTCTCAGAAAGTGCTCTGTGATGTCTGCATTCAAGTCACAGAGTTGAACATTGCCTTTCATAGAGCAGGTTTGAAACGCTCTTTTTGTAGTATATGGAAGTGGACGTTTCGGACGGTTTGAGGCCCATGGTGATAAAGGGAATATCTTCCCCTACAAGCTAGAAAGAATCATTCTGTGAAATTTGTTTGTGATGTGTGTACTCAACTAACAGAGTTGAACCTTTCTTTTTACACAGCAGTTTTGAAACACTCTTTTTGTAGAATCTGCGAGGGGATATTTGGATAGATTTCAGGATTTCGTTGGAAACGGGAATATCTTCATATAAAATCTCGACAGAAGCATTCTCAGAAACTTCTTTGTGATATCTGCATTCAAGTCACAGAGTTGAATATTCCCTTTCACAGAGTAGGTTTGAAACACTCTTTTTGTAGTATCTGGAAGTGGACATTTGGAGCGCCTTGACACCTAAAGTGAAAAGGTAAATATCTTCCCATAAAAACTAGACAGAAGCAATCTCAGAATCTCCTTTGGGATATATGCACGCAGCTAACAGAGTTGAACCTTTCTATTGACAGAGCAGTTTTGAAACAGTCTTTCTGTGGAATCTGCAAGTGGATATTTGGATAGCTTGGAGGATTTCGTTGGAAACGGGATTACGTGTAAAAAGTAGACAGCAGCATCCTCAGAAACTTCTTTGTGATGTTTGCATTGAAGTCACAGAGTTGAACATTCCCTTTCGTACAGCAGTTTTGAAACACTCTTTCTGTAGTATCTGGAAGTGAACATTAGGACAGCTTTCAGGTCTACGGTGAGAAAGGAAATATCTTCAAATAAAAACTAGACAGAAAGCATTCTCATAAACTTGTTTGTGATGTGTGAACTCAGCTAACAGAGGTGGATCTTTCTTTTGATAGAGCAGTTCTGAAAAACACTTTTTGTTGAATCTGCAAGTGGACATTTGGATAGATTTGAAGATTTCGTTGGAAACGGGAATATCTTCATATCAAATCTAGACCGAAGCATTCTCAGAAACGTCTTTGTGATGTTTGCATTCAACTCATAGAGTTGAACATTCCGTTTCAGAGAGCAGCTGTGAAGCACTCTTTTTGTAGTATGTGCAAGGGGATATTTGGAGCGCTCTGAGGCCTAAGGTGAAAAAGCAAATATCTTCCCATAACCACTAGACAGAAACATTCTCAGAAACTCCTTTATGACGTATGTACTCACCTAAGAGAGAAGAACCTTCCTTTTGACAGAGCAGTTTTGATACACACATTTTGTAGAATCTGCAAGTGGATATTTGGATAGCTGTGAAGATTTCGTTGGAAACGGGAATATCTTCCTATAAAATCTAGACAGAAGCATTCTCAGAAAGTGCTCTGTGATGTCTGCATTCAAGTCACAGAGTTGAACATTGCCTTTCATAGAGCAGGTTTGAAACACTCTTTTTGTAGTATTTGGAAGTGGACGTTTCGGACGGTTTGAGGCCCATGGTGATAAAGGGAATATCTTCCCCTACAAGCTAGAAAGAAGCATTGTGTGAAACTTGTTTGTGATGTGTGTACTCAACTAACAGAGTTGAACCTTTCTTTTTACAGAGCAGTTTTGAAACACTCTTTTTGTAGAATCTGCGAGGGGATATTTGGATAGATTTCAGCATTTCGTTGGAAACGGGAATATCTTCATATAAAATCTCGACAGAAGCATTCTCAGAAACTTCCCTTGTGATATGTGCATTCAAGTCACAGAGTTGAATATTCCCTTTCACAGAGTAGGTTTGAAACACTCTTTTTGTAGTATCTGGAAGTGGACATTTGGAGCGCCTGGACGCCTACGGTGAAAAGGGAAATATCTTCCCATAAAAACTAGACAGAAGCAATCTCAGAATCTTCTTTGGGATATATGCACGCAGCTAACAGAGTTGAACCTTTCTATTGACAGAGCAGTTTTGAAACAGTCTTTCTGTGGAATCTGGAAGTGGATATTCGGATAGCTTGGAGGATTTCGTTGGAAACGGGATTAAGTATAAAAAGTAGACAGCAGCATCCTCAGAAACTTCTTTGTGATGTGTGCATTCAAGTCACAGAGTTGAACATTCCCTTTTGTACAGCAGTTTTGAAACACTCTTTCTGTAGTATCTGGAAGTGAACTTTAGGAGAGCTTTCAGGTCTATAGTGAGAAAGGTTATATCTTCAAATAAAAACTAGACAGAAGCATTCTCATAAACTTGTTTGTGATGTGTGAACTCAGCTAACAGAGGTGGATCTTTCTTTTGATAGAGCAGTTCTGAAAAACACGTTTTGTTGAATCTGCAAGTGGACATTTGGATAGATTTGAAGATTTCGTTGGAAACGGGAATATCTTCATATCAAATCTAGACAGAGCATTCTCAGAAACGTCTTTGTGATGTTTGCATTCAACTCATAGAGTTGAACATTCCGTTTCAGAGACCAGCTTTGAAGCACTCTTTTTGTAGTATGTGCAAGTGGATATTTGGAGCGCTCTGAGGCCTACGGTGAAAAAGCAAATATCTTCCCATAACCACTAGACAGAAACATTCTCAGAAACTTCTTTATGATGTATGTACACAACTAACAGAGTTGAACCTTCCTTTTGACACAACAGTTTTGATACACTCTTTTTGTAGAATCTGCAATTGGATATTTGGATATCTTTGAAGATTTCATTGGAAATGGGAATATCTTCATATAAAATCTAGACAGAAGCATTCTCAGAAACTGCTCTGTGATGTCTGCATTCAAGTCACAGAGTTGAACATTGCCTTTCATAGAGCAGGTTTGAAACGCTCTTTTTGTAGTGTATGGAAGTGGACGTTTCGGACGGTTTGAGGCCCATGGTGATAAAGGGAATATCTTCCCCTACAAGCTAGAAAGAAGCATTCTGTGAAACTTGTTTGTGCTGTGTGTACTCAACTAACAGAGTTGAACCTTTCTTTTTACAGAGCAGTTTTGAAACACTCTTTTTGTAGAATCTGCGAGGGGATATTTGGATAGATTTCAGGATTTCGTTGGAAACGGGAATATCTTCATATAAAATCTCGACAGAAGACCGAAGCATTCGCAGAAACTTCTTCGTGATATGTGCATTCAAGTCACAGAGTTGAATATTCCCTTTCACAGAGTAGGTTTGAAACACTCTTTTTGTAGTATCTGGAAGTGGACATTTGGAGCGCCTTGACGCCTATGGTGAAAAGGGAAATATCTTCCCATAAAAACTAGACAGAAGCAATCTCAGAATCTTCTTTGGGATATATGTACGCAGCTAACAGAGTTGAACCTTTCTATTGACAGAGCAGTTTTGAAAGAGTCTTTCTGTGGAATCTGCAAGTGGATATTTGGATAGCTTGGAGGATTTCGTTGGAAACGGGATTACGTATAAAAAGTAGACAGCAGCATCCTCCGAAACTTCTTTGTGATGTGTGCATTCAAGTCACAGAGTTGAACATTCCCTTTCATACAGCAGTTTTGAAACACTCTTTCTGTAGTATCTGGAAGTGAACATTAGGACAGCTTTCAGCTCTATGGTGAGAAAGGAAATATCTTCAAATAAAAACTAGACAGAAAGCATTCTCAAAAACTTGTTTGTGATGTGTGAACTCAGCTAACAGAGGTGGATCTTTCTTTTGATAGAGCAGTTCTGAAAAACACTTTTTGTTGAATCTGCAAGTGGACATTTGGATAGATTTGAAGATTTCGTTGGAAACGGGAATACCTTCATATCAAATCTAGACAGAAGCATTCTCAGAAACGTCTTTGCGATGTTTGCATTCAACTCATAGAGTTGAACATTCCTTTTCAGAGAGCAGCTTTGAGGCACTCTTTTTGTAGTATGTGCAAGTGGATATTTGGAGCGCTCTGAGGCCTACGGTGAAAAAGCAAATATCTTCCCATAACCACTAGACAGAAACATTCTCAGAAACTCCTTTATGACGTATGCACTCAACTAACAGGGAAGAACCTTCCTTTTGACAGAGCAGTTTTGATACACTCTTTTTGTAGAATCTGCAAGTGGATATTTGGATAGCTGTGAAGATTTCTTTGGAAACGGGAATATCTTCCTATAAAGTCTGGACAGAAGCATTCTCAGAAACTGCTCTGTGATGTCTGCATTCAAGTCACAGAGTTGAACATTGCCTTTCATAGAGCAGGTTTGAAACGCTCTTTTTGTAGTATATGGAAGTGGACTTATCGGACGTTTTGAGGCCCATGGTGATAAAGGGAATATCTTCCCCTACAAGCTAGAAAGAAGCATTGTGTGAAACCTGTTTGTGATGTGTGTACTCAACTAACAGAGTTGAACCTTTCTTTTTACAGAGCAGTTTTGAAACACTCTTTTTGTAGAATCTGCAAGGGGATATTTGGATAGATTTCAGGATTTCGTTGGAAACGGGAATATCTTCATATAAAATCTCGACAGAAGCATTCTCAGAAACTTCTTTGTGATACGTGCATTCTAGTCACACAGTTGAATATTCCCTTTCACAGAGTAGGTTTGAAACACTCTTTTTGTAGTATCTGGAAGTGGCCATTTGGAGCGCCTTGACACCTACGGTGAAAAGGGAAATATCTTCCCATAAAAACTAGACAGAAGCAATCTCAGAATCTTCTTTGGGATATATGCACGCAGCTAACAGAGTTGAACCTTTCTATTGACAGAGCAGTTTTGAAACAGTCTTTCTGTGGAATCTGCAAGTGGATATTTGGATAGATTGGAGGATTTCGCTGGAAACGGGATTACGTATAAAAAGTAGACAGCAGCATCCTCAGAAACTTCTTTGTGATGTGTGCATTCAAGTCACAGAGTTGAACATTCCCTTTCGTACAGCAGTTTTGAAACACTCTTTCTGTAGTATCTGGAAGTGAACATTAGGACAGCTTTCAGGTCTATGGTGCGAAAGGAAATATCTTCAAATAAAAACTAGACAGAAGCATTCTCATAAACTTGTTTGTGATGTGTGAACTCAGCTAACAGACGTGGATCTTTCTTTTGATACAGAAGTTTTGAAAAACACTTTTTGTTGAATCTGCAAGTGGACATTTGGATAGATATGAAGATTTCGTTGGAAACGGGAATATCTTCATATCAAATCTAGACAGAAGCATTCTCAGAAACGTCTTTGCGATGTTTGCATTCAACTCATAGAGTTGAACATTCCGTTTCAGAGAACAGCTTTGAAGCACTCTTTTTGTAGTATGTGCAAGTGGATATTTGGAGCGCTCTGAGGCCTACGGTGAGAAAGCAAATATCTTCCCATAACCACTAGACGGAAACATTCTCAGAAACTCCTTTATGACGTATGCACTCACCTAACAGAGAAGAACCTTCCTTTTGACAGAGCAGTTTTGATACACTCTTTTTGTAGAATCTGCAAGTGGATATTTGGATACCTGTGAAGATTTCGATTGGAAACGGGAATATCTTCCTATAAAATCTAGACAGAAGCATTCTCAGAAACTGCTCTGTGATGTCTGCATTCAAGTCACAGAGTTGAACATTGCCTTTCCTAGAGCAGGTTTGAAATGCTCTTTTTGTAGTATATGGAAGTAGACGTTTCGGACGGTTTGAGGCCCATGGTGATAAAGGGAATATCTTCCCCTACAAGCTAGAAAGAAGCATTCTGTGAAACTTGTTTGTGATGTGTGTACTCAACTAACAGAGTTGAAACTTTCTTTTTACAGAGCAGTTTTGAAACACTCTTTTTGTAGAATCTACGAGGGGATATTTGGATAGATTTCAGGATTTCATTGGAAACGGGAATATCTTCATATAAAATCTCGACAGAAGCATTCTCAGAAACATCTTTGTGATATCTGCATTCCAGTCACAGAGTTGAATATTCCCTTTCACAGAGTAGGTTTGAAACACTCTTTTTATAGTATCTGGAATTGGACATTTGGAGCGCCTTGACGCCTACGGTGAAAAGGGAAATATCTTCCGATAAAAACTAGACAGAAGCAATCTCAGAATCTTCTTTGGGATATATGCCACGCAGCTAACAGAGTTGAACCTTTCTATTGACAGAGCAGTTTTGAAACAGTCTTTCTGTGGAATCTGCAAGTGGATATTTGGATAGCTTGGAGGATTTCGTTGGAAACGGGATTACGTATAAAAAGTAGACAGCAGCATCCTCAGGAAACTTCTTTGTGATGTGTGCATTCAAGTCACAGAGTTGAACATTCCCTTTCGTACAGCAGTTTTGAAACACTCTTTCTGTAGTATCTGGAAGTGAACATTAGGACAGCTTTCAGGTCTATGGTGAGAAAGGAAATATCTTCAAATAAAAACTAGACGGAAGCATTCTCATAAACTTGTTTGTGATGTGTGAACTCAGCTAACAGAGGTGGATCTTTCTTTTGATAGAGCAGTTCTGAAAAACACTTTTTGTTGAATCTGCTAGTGGACATTTGGATAGATTTGAAGATTTCGTTGGAAACGGGAATATCTTCATATCAAATCTAGACAGAAGCATTCTCAGTAAACGTCTTTGCGATGTTTGCATTCAACTCATAGAGTTGAACATTCCCTTTGAGAGAGCAGCTTTGAAGCACTCTTTTTGTAGCATGTGCAAGTGGACATTTGGAGCGCCCTGAGGCCTACGGGGAAAAAGCAAATATCTTCCCATAACCACTAGACAGAAACATTCTCAGAAACTCCTTTATGACGTATGTACTCACCTAACAGAGAAGAACCTTCCTTTTGACAGAGCAGTTTTGATACACTCTTTTTGTAGAATCTGCAAGTGGATATTTGGATAGCTGTGAAGATTTCCCTGGAAACGGGAATATCTTCCTATAAAATCTAGACAGAAGCATTCTCAGAAACTGCTCTGTGATGTCTGCATTCAAGTCACAGAGTTGAACATTGCCTTTCATAGAGCAGGTTTGAAACGCTCTTTTTGTAGTATATGGAAGTGGATGTTTCCGACGGTTTGAGGCCCATGGTGATAAAGGGAATATCTTCCCCTACAAGCTAGAAAGAAGCATTGTGTGAAACTTGTTTGTGATGTGTGTACTCAACTAACAGAGTTGAACCTTTCTTTTTACAGAGCAGTTTTGAAACACTCTTTTTGTAGAATCTGTGAGGGGATATTTGGATAGATTTCAGGATTTCGTTGGAAACGAGAATATCTTCATATAAAATCTCGACAGAAGCATTCTCAGAAACTTCTTTGTGATATCTGCATTCAAGTCACAGAGTTGAATATTGCCTTTCACAGAGTAGGTTTGAAACACTCTTCTTGTAGTATCTGGAAGTGGACATTTTGAGCGCCTTGACACCTACGGTGAAAAGGGAAATATCTTCCCATAAAAACTAGACAGAAGCAATCTCAGAATCTTCTTTGGGATATATGCACGCAGCTAACAGAGTTGAACCTTTCTATTGACAGAGCAGTTTTGAAACAGTCTTTCTGTGGAATCTGCAAGTGGATATTTGGATAGCTTGGAGGATTTCGTTGGAAACGGGATACGTATAAAAAGTAGACAGCAGCATCCTCAGAAACTTCTTTGTGATGTGTGCATTCAAGTCACAGAGTTGAACATTCCCTTTCGTACAGCAGTTTTGAAACACTCTTTCTGTAGTATCTGGAAGTGAACACTAGGAGAGCTTTCAGGTCTATGGTGAGAAAGGAAATATCTTCAAATAAAAACTAGACAGAAGCATTCTCATAAACTTGTTTGTGATGTGTGAACTCAGCTTACAGAGGTGGATCTTTCTTTTGATAGAGCAGTTCTGAAAAACACATTTTGTTGAATCTGCAAGTGGACATTTGGATAGATTTTAAGATTTCGTTGGAAACGGGAATATCTTCATATCAAATCTAGACAGAAGCATTCTCAGAAACGTCTTTGTGATGTTTGCATTCAACTCATAGAGTTGAACATTCCGTTTCAGAGAGCAGCTTTGAAGCACTCTTTTTGTAGCATGTGCAAGTGGATATTTGGAGCGCTCTGAGGCCTACGGTGAAAAAGCAAATATCTTCCCATAACCACTAGACAGAAACATTCTCAGAAACTCCTTTATGACGTATGCACTCACCTAACAGAGAAGAACCTTCCTTTTGACAGAGCAGTTTTGATACACTCTTTTTGTAGAATCGGCAAGTGGATATTTGGATAGCTGTGAAGATTTCGTTGGAAACGGGAATATCTTCCTATAAAATCTAGACAGAAGCATTCTCAGAAACAGCTCTGTGATGTCTGCATTCAAGTCACAGAGTTGAACATTGCCTTTCATAGAGCAGGTTTGAAACGCTCTTTTTGTAGTATATGGAAGTGGACGTTTCGGACGGTTTGAGACCCATGGTGATAAAGGGAATATATTCCCCTACAAGCTAGAAAGAAGCATTCTGTGAAACCTGTTTGTGATGTGTGTACTCAACTAACAGAGTTGAACCTTTCTTTTTACAGAGCAGTTTTGAAACACTCTTTTTGTAGAATCTGCGAGGGGATATTTGGATAGATTTCAGGATTTCGTTCGAAACGGGAATATCTTCATATAAAATCTCGACAGAAGCATTCTCAGAAACTTCTTTGTGATATGTGCATTCAAGTCACAGAGTTGAATATTCCCTTTCACAGAGTAGGTTAGAAACACTCTTTTTGTAGTATCTGGAAGTGGACATTTGGAGCGCCTTGACACCTACGGTGAAAAGGGAAATATCTTCCCATAAAAAGTAGACAGAAGCAATCTCAGAATCTTCTTTGGGATATATGCACGCAGCTAACAGAGTTGAACCTTTCTATTGACAGAGCAGTTTTGAAACAGTCTTTCTGTGGAATCTGCAAGTGGATATTTGGATAGCTTAGAGGATTTCGTTGGAAACGGGATTACGCATAAAAAGTAGACAGCAGCATCCTCAGAAACTTCTTTGTGATGTGTGCATTCAAGTCACAGAGTTGAACATTCCCTTTCGTACAGCAGTTTTGAAACACTCTTTCTGTAGTATCTGGAAGTGAACACTAGGACAGCTTTCAGGTCTATGGTGAGAAAGGAAGTATCTTCAAATAAAAACTAGACAGAAGCATTCTCATAAACTTGCTTGTGATGTGTGAACTCAGCTAACAGAGGTGAATCTTTCTTTTGATAGAGCAGTTCTGAAAAACACTTTTTGTTGAATCTGCAAGTGGACATTTGGATAGATTTGAAGATTTCGTTGGAAACGGGAATATCTTCATATCAAATCTAGACAGAAGCATTCTCAGAAACGTCTTTGTGATGATTGCATTCAACTCATAGAGTTGAACATTCCCTTTCAGAGAGCAGCTTTGAAGCACTCTTTTTGTAGTATGTGCAAGTGGATATTTGGAGCGCTCTGGGGCCTACGGTGAAAAAGCAAATATCTTCCCATAACCACTAGACAGAAACATTCTCAGAAACTCCTTTATGAAGTATGCACTCACCTAAGAGAGAAGAACCTTCCTTTTGACAGAGCAGTTTTGATACACTCTTTTTGTAGAATCTGCAAGTGGATATTTTGATAGCTGTGAAGATTTCGTTGGAAACGGGAATATCTTCCTATAAAATCTAGACAGAAGCATTCTCAGAAACTGCTGTGTGATGTCTGCATTCAAGACACAGAGTTGAACATTGCCTTTCATAGAGCAGGTTTGAAACGCTCTTTTTGTAGTATATGGAAGTGGACGTTTCGGACGTTTTGAGGCCCATGGTGATACAGCGAATATCTTCCCCTACCAGCTAGAAAGAAGCATTCTGTGAAACTTGTTTGTGATGTGTGTACTCAACTAACAGAGTTGAACCTTTCTTTTTACAGAGCAGTTTTGAAACACTCTTTTTGTAGAATCTGCGAGGGGATATTTGGATAGATTTCAGGATTTCGTTGGAAACAGGAATATCTTCATATAAAATCTCGACAGAAGCATTCTCAGAAGCTTCTTTGTGATATGTGCATTCAAGTCACAGAGTTGAATATTCCCTTTCACAGAGTAGGTTTGAAACACTCTTTTTGTAGTATCTGGAAGTGGACATTTGGAGCGCCTTGACGCCTGCGGTGAAAAGGGAAATATCTTCTCATAAAAAGTAGACAGAAGCAATCTCAGAATCTTCTTTGGGATATATGCACGCAGCTAACAGAGTTGAACCTTTCTATTGACAGAGCAGTTTTGAAACAGTCTTTCTGTGGAATCTGCAAGTGGATATTTGGATAGCTTGGAGGATTTCGTTGGAAACGGGATTACGTATATAAAGTAGACCGCAGCATCCTCAGAAACTTCTTTGTGATGTGTGCATTCAAGTCACAGAGTTGAACATTCCCTTTCGTACAGCAGTTTTGAAACACTCTTTCTGTAGTATCTGGAAGTGAACATTAGGACAGCTTTCAGGTCTATGGTTAGAAAGGAAATATCTTCAAATAAAAACTAGACAGAAGCATTCTCATAAACTTGTTTGTGATGTGTGAACTCAGCTAACAGAGGTGGATCTTTCTTTTGATAGAGCAGTTCTGAAAAACACTTTTTGTTGAATCTGCAAGTGGACATTTGGATAGATTTGAAGATTTCGTTGAAAACGGGAATATCTTCATATCAAATCTAGACAGAAGCATTCTCAGAAACGTCTTTGTGATGTTTGCATTCAACTCATAGAGTTGAACATTCCGTTTCAGAGAGCAGCTTTGAAGCACTCTTCTTGTAGTATGTGCAAGTGGATATTTGGAGCGCTCTGAGGCCTACGGTGAAAAAGCAAATATCTTCCCATAACCACTAGACAGAAACATTCTCAGAAACTCCTTTATGACGTATGCACTCACCTAACAGGGAAGAACCTTCCTTTTGACAGAGCAGTTTTGATACACTCTTTTTGTAGAATCTGCAAGTGGATATTTGGATAGCTGTGAAGATTTCGTTGGAAACGGGAATATCTTCCTATAAAATCTAGACAGAAGCATTCTCAGAAACTGCTCTGTGATGTCTGCATTCAAGTCACAGAGTTGAACATTGCCTTTCATAGAGCAGGTTTGAAAGGCTCTTTTTGTACTATATGGAACAGGACGTTTCGACGGTTTGAGGACCATGGTGATAAAGGGAATATCTTCCCCTACAAGCTAGAAAGAAAGCATTGTGTGAAACTTGTTTGTGATGTGTGTACTCAACTAACAGAGTTGAACCTTTCTTTTTACAGAGCAGTTTTGAAACACTCTTTTTGTAGAATCTGCAAGGGGATATTTGGATAGATTTCAGGATTTCGTTGGAAACGGGAATATCTTCATATAAAATCTCGACAGAAGCATTCTCAGAAACTTCTTTGTGATATCTGCCTTTAAGTCACAGAGTTGAATATTCCCTTTCACAGAGTAGGTTTGAAACACTCTTTTTGTAGTATCTGGAAGTGGACATTTGGAGCGCCTTGAGGCCTACGGTGAAAAGGGAAATATCTTCTCATAAAAACTAGACAGAAGCAATCTCAGAATCTTCTTTGGGATATATGCATGCAGCTAACAGAGTTGAACCTTTCTATTGACAGAGCAGATTTGAAACAGTCTTTCTGTGGAATCTGCAAGTGGATATTTGGATAGCTTGGAGGATTTCGTTGGAAACGGGATTACGTATAAAAAGTAGACAGCAGCATCCTCAGAAACATCCTTGTGATGTGTGCATTCAAGTCACAGAGTTGAACATTCCCTTTCGTACAGCAGTTTTGAAACACACTTTCTGTAGTATCTGGAAGTGAACTTTAGGACAGCTTTCAGGTCTATAGTGAGAAAGGATATATCTTCAAATAAAAACTAGACGGAAGCATTCTGATAAACTTGTTTGTGAAGTTTGATCTCAGCTAACAGAGGTGGATCTTTCTTTTGATAGAGCAGTTCTGAAAAACACTTTGTTGAATCTGCAAGTGGACATTTGGATAGATTTGAAGATTTCGTTGGAAACGGGAATATCTTCATATCAAATCTAGACAGAAGCATTCTCAGAAACGTCTTTGTGATGTTTGCATTCAACTCATAGAGTTGAACATTCCGTTTCAGAGAGCAGCTTTGAAGCACTCTTTTTGTAGTATGTGCAAGTGGATATTTGGAGCGCTCTGAGGCCTACGGTGAAAAAGCAAATATCTTCCCATAACCACTAGACGGAAACATTCTCAGAAACTCCTTTATGACGTATGCACTCACCTAACAGAGAAGAACCTTCCTTTTGACAGAGCACTTTTGATACACTCTTTTTGTAGAATCTGCAAGTGGATATTTAGATAGCTGTGAAGATTTCTTTGGAAACGGGAATATCTTCCTATAAAATCTAGACAGAAGTATACTCAGAAACTGCTCTGTGATGTCTGCATTCAAGTCACAGAGTTGAACATTGCCTTTCATAGAGCAGGTTTGAAACGCTCTTTTTGTAGTATATGGAAGTGGACGTTTCGGACAGTTTGAGGCCCATGGTGATAAAGGAAATATCTTCCCCTACAAGCTAGAAAGAAGCATTCTGTGAAACTTGTTTGTGATGTGTGTACTCAACTAACAGGGTTGAACCTTTCCTTTTACAGAGCAGTTTTGCAACACTCTTTTTGTAGAATCTGCGAGGGGATATTTGGATAGCTGTGAAGATTTCGTTGGAAACGGGAATATCTTCCTATAAAATCTAGACAGAAGCATTCTCAGAAACTTCTTTGTGATATGTGCATCCAAGTCACAGAGTTGAATATTCCCTTTCACAGAGTAGGTTTGAAACACCCTTTTTGTAGTATCTGGAAGTGGACATTTGGAGCGCCTTGACACCTACGGTGAAAAGGGAAATATCTTCCCATAAAAACTAGACAGAAGCAATCTCAGAATCTTCTTTGTGATATATGCACGCAGCTAACAGAGTTGAACCTTTCTATTGACAGAGCAGTTTTGAAACAGTCTTTCTGTGGAATCTGCAAGTGGATATTTGGATAGCTTGGAGGACTTCGTTGGAAACGGGATTACGTATAAAAAGTAGACAGCAGCATTCTCAGAAACTTCTTTGTGATGTGTGCATTCAAGTCAAAGAGTTGAACATTCCCTTTCGTACAGCAGGTTTGAAAAACTCTTTCTCTAGTACCTGGAAGTGAACGTTTCGAGACCTTTCAGGTCTATGGTGAGAAAGGAAATATCTTCAAATAAAAACTAGACAGAAGCATTCTCATAAACCTGTTTGTGATGTGTGAACTCAGCTAACCGAGGTGGATCTTTCTTTTGATAGAGCAGTTCTGAAAAACACTTTTTGTTGAATCTGCAAGGGGACATTTGGATAGATTTGAAGATTTCGTTGGAAACGGGAATATCTTCATATCAAATCTAGACAGAAGCATTCTCAGAAACGTCTTTGTGATGTTTGCATTCAACTCCTAGAGTTGAACATTCCGTTTCAGAGAGCAGCTTTGAGGCACTCTTTTTGTAGTATGTGCAAGTGGATATTTGGAGCGCACTGAGGCCTACGGTGAAAAAGCAAATATCTTCCCATAACCACTAGACAGAAACATTCTCAGAAACTTCTTTATGACGTATGTACTCAACTAGCAGAGAAGAACTTTCCTTTTGACAGAGCATTTCTGATACACTCTTGTTGTACTATCTGCAAGTGGATATTTGGATAGCTGTGAAGATTTCGTTGGAAACGGGAATATCTTCCTATAAAGTCTGGACAGAAGCATTCTCAGAAAGTGCTCTGTGATGTCTGCATTCAAGTCACAGAGTTGAACATTGCCTTTCATAGAGCAGGTTTGAAACGCTCTTTTTGTAGTATATGGAAGTGGACGTTTCGGACGGTTTGAGGCCCATGGTGATAAAGGGAATATCTTCCCCTACAAGCTAGAAAGAAGCATTCTGTGAAACTTGTTTGTGATATGTGTACTCAACTAACAGAGTTGAACCTTTCTTTTTACAGAGCAGTTTTGAAACACTCTTTTTGTAGAATCTGCGAGGGGATATTTGGATACATTTCAGCATTTCGTTGGAAACGGGAATATCTTCATATAAAATCTCGACAGAAGCATTCTCAGAAACTTCTTTGTGGTATGTGCATTCAAGTCACAGAGTTGAATATTCCCTTTCACAGAGTATGTTTGAAACACTCTTTTTGTAGTATCTGGAAGTGTACATTTGGAGCGCCTTGACGCCTACGGTGAAAAGCGAAATATCTTCCCATAAAAACTAGACAGAAGCAATCTCAGAATCTTCTTTGGGATATATGCACGCAGCTAAGAGAGTTGAATCTTTCTATTGACAGAGCAGATTTGAAACAGTCTTTCTGTGGAATCTGCAAGTGGATATTTGGATAGATTGGAGGATTTCGTTGGAAACGGGATTACGTATAAAAAGTAGACAGCAGCATCCTCAGAAACTTCTTTGTGATGTGTGCATTCAAGTCACAGAGTTGAACATTCCCTTTCGTACAGCAGTTTTGAAACCCTCTTTCTGTAGTATCTGGAAGTGAACATTAGGACAGCTTTCAGCTCTATGGTGAGAAAGGAAATATCTTCAAATAAAAACTAGACAGAAGCATTCTCATAAACTTGTTTGTGATGTGTGAACTCAGCTAACAGAGGTGGATCTATCTTTTGATAGAGCAGTTCTGAAAAACACTTTTTGTAGAATCTGCAAGTGGACATTTGGATAGATTTGAAGATGTCGTTGGAAACGGGAATATCTTCATATCAAGTCTAGACAGAAGCATTCTCAGAAACGTCTTTGTGATGTTTGCATTCAACTCATAGAGTTGAACATTCCGTTTCAGAGAGCAGCTTTGAAGCACTCTTTTTGTAGTATGTGCCAGTGGATATTTGGAGCGCTCTGAGGCCTACGGTGAAAAAGCAAATATCTTCCCATAACCACTAGACAGAAACATTCTCAGAAACTCCTTTATGACGTATGCACTCACGTAACAGAGAAGAACCTTCCTTTTGACTGAGCAGTTTTGATACACTCTTTTTGTAGAATCTGCAAGTGGATATTTGGATAGCTGTGAAGATTTCGTTGGAAACGGGAATATCTTCCTATAAAATCTAGACAGAAGCATTCTCAGAAACTGCTCTGTGATGTCTGCATTCAAGTCACAGAGTTGAACATTGCCTTTCATAGAGCAGGTTTGAAACGCTCTTTTTGTACTATATGGAAGAGGACGTTTCGAACGGTTTGAGGCCCATGGTGATAAAGGGTATATCTTCCCCTACAAGCTAGAAAGAAGCATTCTGTGAAACTTGTTTGTGATGTGTGTACTCAAGTAACAGAGTTGAACCTTTCTTTTTACAGAGCAGTTTTGAAACACTCTTTCTGTAGAATCTGCGAGGGGATATTTGGATAGATTTCAGGGTTTCGTTGGAAACGGGAACATCTTCATATAAAATCTCGACAGAAGCATTCTCAGAAACTTCTTTGTGATATCTGCCTTCAAGTCACAGAGTTGAATATTCCCTTTCACAGAGTAGGTTTGAAACACTCTTTTTGTAGTATCTTGAAGTGGACATTTGGAGCGCCTTGACGCCTACGGTGAAAAGGGAAATATCTTCCCATAAAAACTAGACAGAATCAATCTCAGAATCTTCTTTGGGATATATGCACGCAGCTAACAGAGTTGAACCTTTCTATTGACAGAGCAGTTTTGAAACAGTCTTTCTGTGGAATCTGCAAGTGGATATTTGGATAGCTTGGAGGATTTCGTTGGAAACGGGATTACGTATAAAAAGTAGACAGCAGCATCCTCAGAAACTTCTTTGTGATGTGTGCATTCAAGTCACAGAGTTGAACATTCCCTTTCGTACAGCAGTTTTGAAACACTCTTTCTGTAATATCTGGAAGTGAACATTAGGACAGCTTTCAGGTCTATGGTGAGAAAGGAAATATCTTCAAATAAAAACTAGACAGAAGCATTCTCATAAACTTGTTTGTGATGTGTGAACTCAGCTAACAGAGGTGGATCTTTCTTTTGATAGAGCAGTTCTGAAAAACACTTTTTGTTGAATCTGCAAGTGGACATTTGGATAGATTTGAATATTTCGTTGGAAACGGGAATATCGTCATATCAAATCTAGACAGAAGCATTCTCAGAAACGTCTTTGTGATGTTTGCATTCAACTCGTAGAGTTGAACATTCCGTTTCAGAGAGCAGCTTTGAGGCACTCTTTTTGTAGTATGTGCAAGTGGATATTTGGAGCGCTCTGAGGCCTACGGTGAAAAAGCAAATATCTTCCCATAACCACTAGACAGAAACATTCTCAGAAACTGCTTTATGACGTATGCACTCACCTAACAGAGAAGAACCTTCCTTTTGACAGAGCAGTTTTGACACACTCTTTTTGTAGAAACTGCAAGTGGATATTGGGATAGCTGTGAAGATTTCGTTGGAAACGGGAATATCTTCCTATAAAATCTAGACAGAAGCATTCTCAGAAACTGCTCTGTGATGTCTGCATTCAAGTCACAGAGTTGAACATTGCCTTTCATAGAGCAGGTTTGAAAAGCTCTTTTTGTAGTATATGGAAGTGGACGTTTCACACGGTTTGAGGCCGATGGTGATAAAGGGAATATCTTCCCCTACAAGCTAGAAAGAAGCATTCTGTGAAACTTCTTTGTGATGTGTGTACTCAACTAACAGAGTTGAACCTTTCTTTTTACAGAGCAGTTTTGAAACACTCTTTTTGTAGAATCTGCGAGGGGATATTTGGATACATTTCAGGATTTCGTTGGAAACAGGAATATCTTCATATAAAATCTCGACAGAAGCATTCTCAGAAACTTCTTTGTGATATGTGCATTCAAGTCACAGAGTTGAATATTCCCTTTCACAGAGTAGGTTTGCAACACTCTTTTTGTAGTATCTGGAAGTGGACATTTGGAGCGCCTTGACACCTACGGTGAAAAGGGAAATATCTTCCCATAAAAACTAGACAGAAGCAATCTCAGAATCTTCTTTGGGATATATGCACGCAGCTAACAGAGTTGAACCTTTCTATTGACAGAGTAGTTTTGAAACAGTCTTTTTGTGGAATCTCCAAGTGGATATTTGGATAGCTTGGAGGATTTCGTTGGAAACGGGATTACGTATAAAAAGTAGACAGCAGCATCCTCAGAAACCTTCTTTGTGATGTGTGCATTCAAGACACAGAGTTGAACATTCCCTTTCGTACAGCAGTTTTGAAACGCTCTTTCTGTAGTATCTGGAAGTGAACATTAGGACAGCTTTCAGGTCTATCGTGAGTAAGGAAATATCTTCAAATAAAAACTAGACAGAAGCATTCTCATAAACTTGTTTGTGATGTGTGAACTCAGCTAACAGAGGTGGATCTTTCTTTTGATAGAGCAGTTCTGAAAAACACTTTTTGTTGAATCTGCAAGTGGACATTTGGATAGATTTGAAGATTTCATTGGAAACGGGAATATCTTCATATCAAATCTAGACAGAAGCATTCTCAGAAACGTCTTTGTGATGTTAGCATTCAACTCATAGAGTTGAACATTCCCTTTCAGAGAGCAGCTTTGAAGCACTCTTTTTGTAGTATGTGCAAGTGGACATTTGGAGCGCTTTGAGGCCTACGGTGAAAAAGCAAATATCTTCCCATAACCACTAGACAGAAACATTCTCAGAAACTCCTTTATGACGTATGTACTCAACTAACAGAGAAGAACCTTCCTTTTGACAGAGCAGTTTTGATACACTCTTTTTGTAGAATCTGGAAGTGGATATTTGGATAGCTGTGAAGATTTCGTTGGATACGGGAATATCTTCCTATAAAATCTAGACAGAAGCATTCTCAGAAACTGCTCTGTGATGTCTGCATTCAAGTCACAGAGTTGAACATTGCCTTTCATAGAGCAGGTTTGAAACACTCTTTTTTTAGTATATGGAAGTGGACGTTTCGGACGGTTTGAGGCCCATGGTATTAAAGGGAATATCTTCCCCTACAAGCTAGAAAGAAGCATTCTGTGAAACTTGTTTGTGATGTGTGTACTCAATTAACAGAGTTGAACCTTTCTTTTTACAGAGCAGTTTTGAAACACTCTTTTTGTAGAATCTGCGAGGGGATATTTGGATAGATTTCAGGATTTCGTTGGAAACGGGAATATCTTCATATAAAATCTCGACAGAAGCATTCTCAGAAACTTCTTTGTGATATCTGCATTCAAGTCACAGAGTTCAATATTCCCTTTCACAGAGTAGGTTTGAAACACTCTTTTTGTAGTATCTGGAAGTGGACATTTGGAGCGCCTTGACACCTACGGTGAAAAGGGAAATATCTTCCCATAAAAACTAGACAGAAGCAATCTCAGAATCCTCTTTGGGATATATGCACGCAGCTAACAGAGTTGAACCTTTCTATTGACAGAGCAGTTTTGAAACAGTCTTTCTGTGGTATCTGCAAGTGGATATTTGGATAGCTTGGAGGATTTCGTTGGAAACGGGATTACGTATAAAAAGTAGACAGCAGCATCCTCAGAAACTTCCTTGTGATGTGTGCATTCAAGTCACAGAGTTGAACATTCCCTTTCGTACAGCAGTTCTGAAACACTCTTTCTGTAGTATCTGGAAGTAAACAGCACAGCTTTCAGGTCTATGGTGAGAAAGGAAATATCTTCAAATAAAAACTAGACAGAAGCATTCTCATAAACTTGTTTGTGATGTGTGAACTCAGCTAATAGAGGTGGATCTTTCTTTTGATAGAGCAGTTCTGAAAAACACTTTTTGTTGAATCTGCAAGTGGACATTTGGATAGATTTGAAGATTTCGTTGGAAACGGGAATATCTTCATATCAAATCTAGACAGAAGCATTCTCAGAAACGTCTTTGTCATGTTTGCATTCAACTCATAGAGTTGAACATTCCGTTTCAGAGAGCAGCTTTGAAGCACTCTTTTTGTAGTATATGCAAGTGGATATTTGGAGCGCTCTGAGGCCTACGGTGAAAAAGCAAATATCTTCCCATAACCACTAGACAGAAACATTCTCAGAAACTCCTTTATGACGTATGCACTCACCTAACAGAAAAGAACCTTCCTTTTGACAGAGCAGTTTTGATACACTCTTTTTGTAGAATCTGCAAGTGGATATTTGGATAGCTGTGAAGATTTCGTTGGAAACGGGAATATCTTCATATCAAATCTAGACAGAAGCATTCTCAGAAACTGCTCTGTGATGTCTGGATTCAAGTCACAGAGTTGAACATTGCCTTTCATAGAGCAGGTTTGAAACGCTCTTTTTGTAGTATATGGAAGTGGACGTTTCGGACGGTTTGAGGCCCATGGTGATAAAGGGAATATCTTCCCCTACAAGCTAGAAAGAAGCATTCTGTGAAACTTGTTTGTGATGTGTGTACTCAACTAACAGAGTTGAACCTTTCTTTTTACAGAGCAGTTTTGAAACACTCTTTTTGTAGAATCTGCGAGGGAATATTTGGATAGATTTCAGGATTTCGTTGGAAACGGGAATATCTTCATATAAAATCTCGACAGAAGCATTCTCAGAAACTTCATTGTGATATCTGCATTCAAGTCACAGAGTTGAATATTCCCTTTCACAGAGTAGGTTTGAAACACTCTTTTTGTAGTATCTGGAAGTGGACATTTGGAGCGCCTTGACACCTACGGTGAAAAGGGAAATATCTTCCCCTAAAAACTAGACAGAAGCAATCTCAGCAATCTTGTTTGGGATATATGCACGCAGCTAACACAGTTGAACCTTTCTATTGACAGAGCAGTTTTGAAACATTCTTTCTGTGGAATCTGCAAGTGGATATTTGGATAGCTTGGAGGATTTCGTTGGAAACGGGATTACGTATCAAAAGTAGACAGCAGCATCCTCAGAAACTACTTTGTGATGTGTGCATTCAAGTCACAGAGTTGAAAATTCCCTTTCCTACAGCAGTTTTGAAACACTCTTTCTGTAGTATCTGGAAGTGAACATTAGGACAGCTTTCAGGTCTATAGTGAGAAAGGATATATCTTCAAATAAAAACTAGACAGAAGCTTTCTCATAAACTTGTTTGTGATGTGTGAACTCAGCTAACAGAGGTGGATCTTTCTTTTGATACAGCAGTTTTGAAAAACACTTTTTGTTGAATCTGCAAGTGGACATTTGGATAGATATGAAGATTTCGTTGGAAACGGGAATATCTTCATATCAAATCTAGACAGAAGCATTCTCAGAAACGTCTTTGTGATGTCTGCATTCAACTCATAGAGTTGAACATTCCCTTTCAGAGAGCAGCTTTGAAGCACTCTTTTTGTAGCATGTGCAAGTGGACATTTGGAGCGCCCTGAGGCCTACGGGGAAAAAGCAAATATCTTCCCATAACCACTAGAGAGAAACATTCTCAGAAACTCCTTTATGAGGTATGCACTCACCTAACAGAGAAGAACCTTCCTTTTGACAGAGCAGTTTTGATACACTCTTTTTGTAGAATCTGCAAGTGGATATTTGGATACCTGTGAAGATTTCGTTGGAAACGGGAATATCTTCCTATAAAATCTAGACAGAAGCATTCTCAGAAACTGCTCTGTGATGTCTGTATTCAAGTCACAGAGTTGAACATTGCCTTTGATAGAGCAGGTTTGAAACGCTCTTTTTGTAGTATATGGAAGTGGATGTTTCGGACGGTTGGAGGCCCATGGTGATAAAGGGAATATCTTCCCCTACAAGCTAGAAAGAAGCATTCTGTGAAACTTGTTTGTGATGTGTGTACTCAACTAACAGAGTTGAACCTTTCTTTTTACAGAGCAGTTTTGAAACACTCTTTTTGTAGAATCTGCCAGGGGATATTTGGATACATTTCAGGATTTCGTTGGAAACGGGAATATCTTCATATAAAATCTCGACAGAAGCATTCTCAGAAACTTCTTTGTGTTATCTGCATTCAAGTCACAGAGTTGAATATTCCCTTTCACAGAGTAGGTTTGAAACACTCTTTTTGTAGTGTCTGAAAGTGGACATTTGGAGCACATTGACACCTACGGTGAAAAGGGAAATATCTTCCCATAATAACTAGACAGAAGCAATCTCAGAATCTTCTTTGGGATATATCCACGCAGCTAACAGAGTTGAACCTTTCTATTGACAGAGCAGTTTTGAAACAGTCTTTCTGTGGAATCTGCAAGTGGATATTTGGATAGCTTGGAGGATTTCGTTGGAAACGGGATTACGTATAAAAAGTAGACAGCAGCATCCTCAGAAACTTCTTTGTGATGTGTGCATTCAAGTCACAGAGTTGAACATTCCCTTTCGTACAGCAGTTTTGAAACGCTCTTTCTGTAGTATATGGAAGTGAACATTAGGACAGCTTTCAGGTCTATGGTGAGAAAGGAAATATCTTCAAATAAAAACTAGACAGAAGCATTCTGATAAACTTGTTTGTGAAGTGTGAACTCAGCTAACAGAGGTGGATCTTTCTTTCGACACAGCAGTTTTGAAAAACACTTTTTGTTGAATCTGCAAGTAGACATTTGGATAGATTTGAAGATTTCGTTGAAAACGAGAATATGTTCATTTCAAATCTAGACAGAAGCATTCTCAGAAACGTCTTTGTGATGTTTGCATTCAACTCATAGTGTTGAACATTCCCTTTCAGAGAGCAGCTTTGAAGCACTGTTTTTGTAGTATGTGCAAGTGGACATTTGGAGCGCTTTGAGCCCTACGGGGAAAAAGCAAATATCTTCCCGTAACCACTAGACAGAAACATTCTCAGAAACCCCTTTATGACGTATGCACTCACCTAACAGGAGAAGAACCTTCCTTTTGACTGAGCAGTTTTGATACACTCTTTTTGTAGAATCTGCAAGTGGATATTTGGATAGCTGTGAAGATTTCGTTGGAAACGGGAATATCTTCCTATAAAATCTAGACAGAAGCATTCTCAGAAACTGGTCTGTGATGTCTGCATTCAAGTCACAGAGTTGAACATTGCCTTTCCTAGAGCAGGTTTGAAATGCTCTTTTTGTAGTATATGGAAGTGGACGTTTCGGACGGTTTGAGGCCCATGGTGATAAAGGGAATATCTTCCCCTACAAGCTAGAAAGAAGCATTTTGTGAAACTTGTTTGTGATGTGTGTACTCAACTAACAGAGTTGAACCTTTCTTTTTACAGAGCAGTTTTGAAACACTCTTTTTGTAGAATCTGCGAGGGGATATTTGGATAGATTTCAGGATTTCGTTGGAAACGGGAATATCTTCATATAAAATCTCGACAGAAGCATTCTCAGAAGCTTCTTTGTGATATGTGCATTCAAGTCACAGAGTTGAATATTCCCTTTCACAGAGTAGGTTTGAAACACTCTTTTTGTAGTATCTGGAAGTGGACATTTGGAGCGCCTTGACGCCTACGGTGAAAAGGGAAATATCTTCTCATAAAAACTAGACAGAAGCAATCTCAGAATCTTCTTTGGGATATATGCACGCAGCTAGCAGAGTTGAACCTTTCTATTGACAGAGCAGTTTTGAAACAGTCTTTCTGTGGAATCTGCAAGTGGATATTTGGATAGCTTGGAGGATTTCGTTGGAAACGGGATTACGTATAATAAGTAGACAGCAGCATCCTCAGAAACTTCTTTGTGATGTGTGCATTCAAGTCACAGTGTTGAACATTCCCTTTCGTACAGCAGTTTTGAAACACTCTTTCTGTAGTATCTGGAAGTGAACATTAGGACTGCTTTCAGGTCTATGGTGAGAAAGGAAATATCTTCAAATAAAAACTAGACAGAAGCATTCTCATAAACTTGTTTGTGATGTGTGAACTCAGCTAACAGACGTGGATCTTTCTTTTGATACAGCAGTTTTGAAAAACACTTTTTGTAGAATCTGCAAGTGGACATTTGGATAGATTTGAAGATTTCGTTGGAAACGGGAATATCTTCATATCAAATCTAGACAAAAGCATTCTCAGAAACGTCTTTGTGATGTTTGCATTCAACTCATAGAGTTGAACATTCCGTTTCAGAGACCAGCTTTGAAGCACTCTTTTTGTAGTATGCGCAAGTGGATATTTGGAGCGCTCTGAGGCCTACGGTGAAAAAGCAAATATCTTCCCATAACCACTAGACAGAAACATTCTCAGAAACTCCTTTATGACGTATGCACTCACCTAACAGAGAAGAACCTTACTTTTGACAGAGCAGTTTTGATACACTCTTTTTGTAGAATCTGCAAGTGGATATTTGGATAGCTGTGAAGATTTCGTTGGAAACGGGAATATCTTCCTATAAAATCTAGACAGAAGCATTCTCAGAAACTGCTCTGTGATGTCTGCATTCAAGTCACAGAGTTGAACATTGCCTTTCTTAGAACAGGTTTCAAACGCTCTTTTTGTAGTATATGGAAGTGGACGTTTCAGACGGTTTGAGGCCCATGGTGATAAAGGGAATATCTTCCCCTACAAGCTAGAAAGAAGCATTCTGTGAAACTTGTTTGTGAGGTGTGTACTCAACTAACAGAGTTGAACCTTTCTTTTCACAGAGCAGTTTTGAAACACTCTTTTTGCAGAATCTGCGAGGGGATATTTGGATAGATTTCAGGATTTCGTTGGAAACGGGAATATCTTCATATAAAATCTCGACAGAAGCATTCTCAGAAACTTCTTTGTGATATGTGCATTCAAGTCACAGAGTTGAATATTCCCTTTCACCAAGTAGGTTTGAAACACTCTTTTTGTAGTATCTGGAAGTGGACATTTGGAGCGCCTTGACGCCTACGGTGAAAAGGGAAATATCTTCCCATAAAAACTAGACAGAAGCAATCTCAGAATCTTCTTTGGGATATATGCACGCAGCTAACAGAGTTGAACCTTTCTATTGACAGAGCAGTTTTGAAACAGTCTTTCTGTGGAATCTGCAAGTGGATGTTTGGATAGCTTGGAGGATTTCGTTGGAAACGGGATTACGTATAAAAAGTAGACAGCGGCATCCTCAGAAACTTCTTTGTGATGTGTGCATTCAAGTCAGAGAGTTGAACATTCCCTTTCGTACAGCAGTTTTGAAACACTCTTTCTGTAGTATCTGGAAGTGAACATTAGGACAGCTTTCAGGTCTATGGTGAGAAAGGAAATACCTTCAAATAAAAACTAGACAGAAGCATTCTCATAAACTTGTTTGTGATGTGTGAACTCAGCTAACAGAGGTGGATCTTTCTTTTGATAGAGCAGTTCTGAAAAACACTTTTTGTTGAATCTGCAAGTGGACATTCGGATAGATTTCAAGATTTCGTTGGAAACGGGAATATCTTCATATCAAATCTAGACAGAAGCATTCTCAGAAACGTCTTTGTGATGTTGGCATTCAACTCATAGAGTTGAACATTCCGTTTCAGAGAGCAGCTTTGAGGCACTCTTTTTGTAGTATGTGCAAGTGGATATTTGGAGCGCTCTGAGGCCTACGGTGAAAAAGCAAATATCTTCCCATAAACACTAGACAGAAACATTCTCAGAAACTCCTTTATGACGTAATGCACTCACCTAACAGAGAAGAACCTTCCTTTTGACAGAGCAGTTTTGATACACTCTTTTTGTAGAGTCTGCAAGTGGATATTTGGATAGCTGTGAAGATTTCGTTGGAAACGGGAATATCTTCCTATAAAATCTAGACAGATAAGCATTCTCAGAAACTGCTCTGTGATGTCTGCATTCAAGTCACAGAGTTGAACATTGCCTTTCATAGAGCAGGTTTGAAACGCTCTTTTTGTAGTATATGGAAGTGGACGTTTCGGACGGTTTGAGGCCCATGGTGATAAAGGGAATATCTTCCCCTACAAGCTAGAAAGAAGCATTCTGTGAAACTTGTTTGTGATGTGTGTACTCAACTAACAGAGTTGAACCTTTCTTTTCACAGAGCAGTTTTGAAACACTCTTTTTGTAGAATCTGCGAGGGGATATTTGGATAGATTTCAGCATTTCGTTGGAAACGGGAATATCTTCAAATAAAATCTCGACAGAAGCATTCTCAGAAACGTCTTTGTGATATCTGCATTCAAGTCACAGAGTTGAATATTCCCTTTCACAGAGTAGGTTTGAAACACTCTTTTTGTAGTATCTGGAAGTGGACATTTGGAGCGCCTTGACGCCTACGATGAAAAGGGAAATATCTTCCCATAAAAACTAGACAGACAAGCAATCTCCGAATCTTCTTTGGGATATATGCACGCAGCTAACAGAGTTGAACCTTTCTATTGACAGAGCAGTTTTGAAACAGTCTTTCTGTGGAATCTGCAAGTGGATATTTGGATAGCTTGGAGGATTTCGTTGGAAAAGGGATTATGTATAAAAAGTAGACAGCAGCATCCTCAGAAACTTCCTTGTGATGTGTGCATTCAAGACACACAGTTGAACATTCCCTTTCGTACAGCAGTTTTGAAACACTCTTTCTGTAGTATCTGGAAGTGAACATTAGGAGAGCTTTGAGGTCTATAGTGAGAAAAGGTATATCTTCAAATAAAAACTAGACAGAAGCATTCTCATAAACTTGTTTGTGATGTGTGAACTCAGCTAACAGAGTTGGATCTTTCTTTTGATAGAGCAGTTCTGAAAAACACTTTTTGTTGAATCTGCAAGTGGACATTTGTATAGATTTGAAGATTTCGTTGGAAACGGGAATATCTTCATATCAAATCTAGACAGAAGCATTCTCAGAAACGTCTTTGTGATGTTTGCATTCAACTCATAGAGTTGAACATTCCCTTTCAGAGAGCAGCTTTGAAGCACTCTTTTTGTAGTATGTGCAAGTGGATACTTGGAGCGCTCTGAGGCCTACGGTGAAAAAGCAAATATCTTCCCATAACCACTAGACAGAAACATTCTCAGAAACTCCTTTATGACGTATGTACTCAACTAACAGAGAAGAACCTTCCTTTTGACAGAGCAGTTTTGATACACTCTTTTTGTAGAATCTACAAGTGGATATTTGGATAGCTGTGAAGATTTCGTTGGAAACGGGAATATCTTCCTATAAAATCTAGACAGAAGCATTCTCAGAAACTGCTCTGTGATGTCTGCATTCAAGTCACAGAGTTGAACATTGCCTTTCCTAGAGCAGGTTTGAAACGCTCTTTTTGTAGTATATAGAAGTGGACGTTTCGGACGGTTTGAGGCCCATGGTGATAAAGGGAATATCTTCCCCTACAAGCTAGAAAGAAGCATTCTGTGAAACTTGTTTGTGATGTGTGTACTCAACTAACAGAGTTGAACCTTTCTTTTTACAGAGCAGTTTTGAAACACTCTTTTTGTAGAATCTGCGAGGGGATATTTGGATAGATTTCAGGATTTTGTTGGAAACCGGAATATCTTTATATAAAATCTCGACAGAAGCATTCTCAGAAGCTTCTTTGTGATATGTGCATTCAAGTCACAGAGTTGAATATTCCCTTTCACAGAGTAGGTTTGAAACACTCTTTTTCTAGTATCTGGAAGTGGACATTTGGAGCGCCTTGACACCTACGGTGAAAAGGGAAATATCTTCTCATAAAAAGTAGACAGAAGCAATCTGAGAATCTTCTTTGGGATATATGCACGCAGCTAACAGAGTTGAACCTTTCTATTGACAGAGCAGTTTTGAAACAGTCTTTCTGTGGAATCTGCAAGTGGATATTTGGATAGCTTGGAGGATTTCGTTGGAAACGGGATTACCTATACAAAGTAGCCAGCAGCATCCTCAGAAACTTCTTTGTGATGTGTGCATTCAAGTCACAGAGTTGAACATTCCCTTTCGTACAGCAGTTTTGAAACACTCTTTCTGTAGTATCTGGAAGTGAATATTAGGACAGCTTTCAGGTCTATGGTGATAAAGGAAATATCTTCAAATAAAAACTAGACAGAAGCATTCTCATAAACTTGTTTGTGATGTGTGAACTCAGCTAACAGACGTGGATCTTTCTTTTGATACAGCAGTTTTGAAAAACACTTTTTGTTGAATCTGCAAGTGGACATTGGATAGATATGAAGATTTCATTGGAAACGGGAATATCTTCATATCAAATCTATACAGAAGCATTCTCAGAAACGTCTTTGCGATGTTTGCATTCAACTCATAGAGTTGAACATTCCGTTTCAGAGAGCAGCTTTCAGGCACTCTTTTTGTAGTATGTGCAAGTGGATATTTGGAGCGCTCTGAGGCCTACGGTGAAAAAGCAAATATCTTCCCATAACCACTAGACAGAAACATTCTCAGAAACTTCTTTCTGACGTATGTACTCAACTAACAGAGAAGAACCTACCTTTTGACAGAGCATTTTTGATACACTCTTTTTGTAGAATCTGCAAGTGGATATTTGGATAGCTCTGAAGATTTCTTTGGAAACGGGAATATCTTCATATCAAATCTAGACAGAAGCATTCTCAGAAACTGCTCTGTGATGTCTGCATTCAAGTCACAGAGTTGAAGATTGCCTTTCATAGAGCAGGTTTGAAATGCTCTTTTTGTAGTATATGGAAGTGGACGTTTCAGACGGTTTGAGGCCCATGGTGATAAAGGGAATATCTTCCCCTACAAGCTAGAAAGAAGCATTCTGTGAAACTTGTTTTTGATGTGTGTACTCAACTAACAGAGTTGAACCTTTCTTTTTACAGAGCAGTTTTGAAACACTCTTTTTGTAGAATCTGCGAGGGGATATTTGGATAGATTTCAGGATTTCGTTGGAAACGGGAATATCTTAATATAAAATCTCGACAGAAGCATTCTCAGAAACTTCTTTGTGATATGTGCATTCAAGTCACAGAGTTGAATATTCCCTTTCACAGAGTAGGTTTGAAACACTCTCTTTGTAGTATCTGGAAGTGGACATTTGGAGCGCCTTGACACCTACGGTGAAAAGGGAAATATCTTCCCATAAAAACTAGACAGAAGCAATCTCAGAATCTTCTTTGGGATATATGCACGCAGCTAACAGAGTTCAACCTTCCTATTGACAGAGCAGTTTTGAAACAGTCTTTCTGTGGAATCTGCAAGTGGATATTTGGATGGATTGGAGGATTTCGTTGGAAACGGGATTACGTATAAAAAGTAGACAGCAGCATCCTCAGAAACTTCTTTGTGATGTCTGCATTCAAGTCACAGAGTTGAACATTCCCTTTCGTACAGCAGTTTTGAAACACTCTTTCTGTAGTATCTGGAAGTGAACATTAGGACAGCTTTCAGGTCTATGGTGAGAAAGGAAATATCTTCAAATAAAAACTAGACAGAAGCATTCTCATAAACTTGTTCGTGATGTGTGAACTCAGCTAACACACGGTGGATCTTTCTTTTGATAGAGCAGTTCTGAAAAACACTTTTTGTTGAATCTGCAAGAGGACAGTTGGATAGATTTGAAGGTTTCGTTGGAAACGGGAATATCTTCATATCAAATCTAGACAGAAGCATTCTCAGAAACGTCTTTGTGATGTTTGCATTCAACTCATAGAGTTGAACATTCCCTTCCAGAGAGCAGCTTTGAAGCACTCTTTTTGTAGCATGTGCAAGTGGACATTTGGAGCGCCCTGAGGCCTACGGGGAAAAAGCAAATATCTTCCCATAACCACTAGACAGAAACATTCTCAGAAACTCCTTTATGACGTATGCACTCACCTAACAGAGAAGAACCTTCCTTTTGACAGAGCAGTTTTGATACACTCTTTTTGTAGAATCTGCAAGTGGATATTTGGATAGCTGTGAAGATTTCGTTGGAAACGGGAATAGCTTCCTATAAAATCTAGACAGAAGCATTCTCAGAAACTGCTCTGTGATGTCTGCATTCAAGTCACAGAGTTGAACATTGCCTTTCATAGAGCAGTTTTGAAACGCTCTTTTTGTAGTATATGGAAGTGGACGTTTCGGACGGTTTGAGGCCCATGGTGATAAAGGGAATATCTTCCCCTACAAGCTAGAAAGAAGCATTCTGTGAAACTTGTTTGTGATGTGTGTACTCAACTAACAGAGTTGAACCTTTCTTTTTACAGAGCAGTTTTGAAACATTCTTTTTGTAGAATCTGCGAGGGTATATTTGGATTGATTTCAGGATTTCGTTGGAAACGGGAATATCTTCATATAAAATCTCGACAGAAGCATTCTCAGAAACTTCTTTGTGATATGTGCATTCAAGTCACAGGGTTGAATATTCCCTTTCACAGAGTAGGTTTGAAACACTCTTTTTGTAGTATCTGGAAGTGGACATTTGGAGCGCCTTGACACCTATGGTGAAAAGGGAAATATCTTCCCATAAAAACTAGACAGAAGCAATCTCAGAATCTTCTTTGGGATATATGCACGCAGCTAACAGAGTTGAACCTATCTATTGACAGAGCAGTTTTGAAACAGTCTTTCTGTGGAATCTGCAAGTGGATATTTGGATAGCTTGGAGGATTTCGTTGGAAACGGGATTAAGTATAAAAAGTAGACAGCAGCATCCTCAGAAACTTCTTTGTGATGTGTGCATTCAAGTCACAGAGTTGAACATTCCCTTTCGTACAGCAGTTTTGAAACACTCTTTCTGTAGTAACTGGAAATGAACATTAGGACAGCTTTCAGGTCTATGGTGAGAAAGGAAATATCTTCAAATAAAAACTAGACAGAAGCATTCTCATAAACTTGTTTGTGATGTGTGAACTCAGCTTACAGAGGTGGATCTTTCTTTTGATAGAGCAGTTCTGAAAAACACTTTTTGTTGAATCTGCAAGTGGACATTTGGATAGATTTGAAGATTTCGTTGGAAACGGGAATATCTTCATATTAAATCTAGACAGAAGCATTCTCAGAAACGTCTTTGTGATGTTTGCATTCAACTCATAGAGTTGAACATTCCCTTTCAGAGAGCAGATTTGAAGCACTCTTTTTGTAGCATGTGCAAGTGGACATTTGGAGCGCCCTGAGGCCTACGGGGAAAAAGCAAATATCTTCCCATAACCACTAGACAGAAACATTCTCAGAAACTCCTTTATGACGTATGCACTCACCTAACAGAGAAGAACCTTCCTTTTGACAGAGCAGTTTTGATACACTCCTTTTGTAGAATCTGCAAGTGGATATTTTGATAGCTGTGAAGATTTCGTTGGAAACGGGAATATCTTCCTATAAAACCTAGACAGAAGCATTCTCAGCAAACTGCTCTGTGATGTCTGCATTCAAGTCACAGAGTTGAACATTGCCTTTCATAGAGCAGGTTTGAAACGCTCTTTTTGTACTATATGGAAGAGGACGTTTCGGACGGTTTGAGGCCCATGGTGATAAAGGGAATATCTTCCCCTACAAGCTAGAAAGAAGCATTGTGTGAAACTTGTTTGTGATGTTTGTACTCAACTAACAGAGTTGAACCTTTCTTTTTACAGAGCAGTTTTGAAACACTCTTTTTGTAGAATCTGCGAGGGGATATTTGGATACATTTCAGGATTTCGTTGGAAACGGGAATATCTTCATATAAAATCTCGACAGAAGCATTCTCAGAAACTTCTTTGTGATATCTGCCTTTAAGTCACAGAGTTGAATATTCCCTTTCACAGAGTAGGTTTGAAACACTCTTTTTGTAGTATCTGGAAGTGGGCATTTGGAGCGCCTTGACACCTACGGTGAAAAGGGAAATATCTTCCCATAAAAACTAGACAGAAGCAATCTCAGAATCTTCTTTGGGATATATGCAGGCAGCTAACAGAGTTGAACCTTTCTATTGACAGAGCAGTTTTGAAACAGTCTTTCTGTGGAATCTGCAAGTGGATATTTGGATAGCTTGGAGGATTTCGTTGGAAACGGGATTACGTATAAAAAGTAGACACCAGCATCCTCAGTAAACTTCTTTGTGATGTGTGCATTCAAGTCACAGAGTTGAACATTCCCTTTCGTACAGCAGTTTTGAAACACTCTTTCTATAGTATCTGGAAGTGAACATTAGGACAGCTTTCAGCTCTATGGTGAGAAAGGAAATATCTTCAAATAAAAACTAGACAGAAGCATTCTCATAAACTTGTTTGTGATGTGTGAACTCAGCTAACAGACGTGGATCTTTCTTTTGATAGAGCAGTTCTGAAAAACACGTTTTGTTGAATCTGCAAGTGGACATTTGGATAGATTTGAAGATTTCGTTGGAAACGGGAATATCGTCATATCAAATCTAGACAGAAGCATTCTCAGAAACGTCTTTGTGATGTTTGCATTCAACTCATAGAGTTGAACATTCCGTTTCAGAGAGCAGCTTTGAAGCACTCTTTTTGTAGTATGTGCAAGGGGATATTTGGAGCGCTCTGAGGCCTACGGTGAAAAAGCAAATATCTTCCCATAACCACTAGACAGAAACATTCTCAGAAACTCCTTTATGACGTATGCACTCACCTAACAGAGAAGAACCTTCCTTTTGACAGAGCACTTTTGATACACTCTTTTTGTAGAATCTGAAAGTGGATATTTGGATAGCTGTGAAGATTTCTTTGGAAACGGGAATATCTTCCTATAAAATCTAGACAGAAGCATTCTCAGAAACTGCTCTGTGATGTCTGCATTCAAGTCACAGAGTTGAACATTGCCGTTCATAGAGCAGGTTTGAAACACTCTTTTTGTAGTATATGGAAGTGGACGTTTCGGACGGTTTGAGGCCCATGGTCATAAAGGGAATATCTTCCCCTACAAGCTAGAAAGAAGCATTCTCTGAAACTTGTTTGTGATGTGTGTACTCAAGTAACAGAGTTGAACCTTTCTTTTTACAGAGCAGTTTTGAAACACTCTTTTTGTAGAATCTGCGAGGGGATATTTGGATAGATTTCAGCATTTCGTTGGAAACGGGAATATCTTCATATAAAATCTCGACAGAAGCATTCTCAGAAACTTCTTTGTGATATCTGCCTTCAAGTCACAGAGTTGAATATTCCCTTTCACAGAGTAGGTTTGAAACACTCTTTTTGTAGTATCTGGAAGTGGACATTTGGAGCGCCTTTACGCCTACGGTGAAAAGGGAAATATCTTCCCATAAAAACTAGACAAAAGCAATCTCAGAATCTTCTTTGGGATATATGCACGCAGCTAACAGAGTTGAACCTTTCTATTGACAGAGCAGTTTTGAAACAGTCTTTCTGTGGAATCTGCAAGTGGATATTTGGATAGATTGGAGGATTTCGTTGGAAACGGGATTACCGTATAAAAAGTAGACAGCAGCATCCTCAGAAAACTTCTTTGTGATGTGTGCATTCAAGTCACAGAGTTGAACATTCCCTTTCGTACAGCAGTTTTGAAACACTCTTTCTGTAGTATCTGGAAGTGAACATTAGGACAGCTTTCAGGTCTATGGTGAGAAAGGAAACATCTTCAAATAAAAACTAGACAGAAGCATTCTCATAAACTTGTTTGTGATGTGTGAACTCAGCTAACAGAGGTGGATCTTTCTTTTGATAGAGCAGTTCTGAAAAACAATTTTTGTTGAATCTGCAAGTGGACATTTGGATAGATTTGAAGATTTCGTTGGAAACGGGAATATCTTCATATCAAATCTAGACAGAAGCATTCTCATAAACGTCTTTGTGATGTTTGCATTCAACTCCTAGAGTTGAACATTCCGTTTCAGAGAGCAGCTTTGAAGCACTCTTTTTGTAGTATGTGCAAGTGGATATTTGGAGCGCTCTGAGGCCTACGGTGAAAAAGCAAATATCTTCCCATAACCACTAGACAGAAACATTCTCAGAAACTCCTTTATGACGTATGCATTCACCTAACAGAGAAGAACCTTCCTTTTGACTGAGCACTTTTGATACACTCTTTTTGCAGAATCTGCAAGTGGATATTTGGATAGCTGTGAAGATTTCGTTGGAAACGGGAATATCTTCCTATAAAATCTAGACAGAAGCATTCTCAGAAACTGCTCTGTGATGTCTGCATTCAAGTCACAGAGTTGAACATTGCCTTTCATAGAGCAGGTTTGAAACGCTCTTTTTGTAGTATATGGAAATAGACGTTTCGGACGGTTTGAGGCCCATGGTGATAAAGGGAATATCTTCCCCTACAAGCTAGAAAGAAGCATTCTGTGAAACTTGTTTGTGATGTGTGTACTCAACTAAGAGAGTTGAACCTTTCTTTTTACAGAGCAGTTTTGAAACACTCTTTTTGTAGAATCTGCGAGGGGATATTTGGATAGATTTCAGGATTTCGTTGGAAACGGGAATATCTTCATATAAAATCTCGACAGAAGCATTCTCAGAAACTTCTTTGTGATATCTGCATTCAAGTCACAGAGTTGAATATTCCCTTTCACAGAGTAGGTTTGAAACACTCTTTTTGTAGTATCTGTAAGTGGACATTTGGAGCGCCTTGACGCCTATGGTGAAAAGGGAAATATCTTCTCATAAAAAGTAGACACAAGCAATCTCAGAATCTTCTTTGGGATATATGCAGGCAGCTAACAGAGTTGAACCTTTCTATTGACAGAGCAGTTTTGAAACAGTCTTTCTGTGGAATCTGCAAGTGGATATTTGGATAGCTTGGAGGATTTCGTTGGAAACGGGATTACGTATAAAAAGTAGACAGCAGCATCCTCAGAAACTTCTTTGTGATGTGTCCATTCAAGTCACAGAGTTGAACATTCCCTTTCGTACAGCAGTTTTGAAACACTCTTTCTGTAGTATCTGGAAGTGAACATTAGGACAGCTTTCAGCTCTATGGTGAGAAAGGAAATATCTTCAAATAAAAACTAGACAGAAAGCATTCTCATAAACTTGTTTGTGATGTGTGAACTCCGCTAACATAGGTGGATCTTTCTTTTGATAGAGCAGTTCTGAAAAACACTTTTTGTTGAATCTGCAAGTGGACATTTGGATAGATTTGAAGATTTCGTTGGAAACGGGAATATCTTCATATCAAATCTAGACAGAAGCATTCTCAGAAACGTCTTTGTGATGTTTGCATTCAACTCATAGAGTTGAACATACCCTTTCAGAGAGCAGCTTTGAAGCACTCTTTTTGTAGTATGTGCAAGTGGATATTTGGAGCGCTCTGAGGCCTACGGTGAAAAAGCAAATATCTTCCCATAACCACTAGACAGAAACATTCTCAGAAACTCCTTTATGACGTATGCACTCACCTAACAGAGAAGAACCTTCCTTTTGACAGAGCAGTTTTGATACACTCTTTTTGTAGAATCTGCAAGTGGATATTTGAATAGCTGTGAAGATTTCGTTGGAAACGGGAATATCTTCCTATAAAATCTAGACAGAAGCATTCTCAGAAACTGCTCTGTGATGTCTGCATTCAAGGTCACAGAGTTGAACATTGCCGTTCATAGAGCAGGTTTGAAACACTCTTTTTGTAGTATATGGAAGTGGACGTTTCGGACGGTTTGAGGCCCATGGTGATAAAGGGAATATCTTCCCCTACAAGCTAGAAAGAAGCATTCTGTGAAACTTGTTTGTGATGTGTGTACTCAACTAACAGAGTTGAACCTTTCTTTTTACAGAGCAGTTTTGAAACACTCTTTTTGTAGAATCTACGAGGGGATATTTGGATAGATTTCAGGATTTCGTTGGAAACGGGAATATCTTCATATAAAATCTCGACAGAAGCATTCTCAGAAACTTCCTTGTGATATGTGCATTCAAGTCACAGCGTTGAATATTCCCTTTCACAGAGTAGGTTTGAAACACTCTTTTTGTAGTATCTGGAAGTGGACATTTGGAGCGCCTTGACGCCCACGGTGAAAAGGGAAATATCTTCCCATAAAAACTAGACAGAAGGAATCTCAGAATCTTCTTTGGGATATATGCACGCAGCTAACAGATTTGAACCTTTCTATTGACAGAGCAGTTTTGAAACAGTCTTTCTGTGGAATCTGCAAGTGGATATTTGGATAGCTTGGAGGATTTCGTTGGAAACGGGATTACGTATAAAAAGTAGACAGCAGCATCCTCAGAAACTTCTTTGTGATGTGTGCATTCAAGTCACAGAGTTGAACATTCCCTTTCGTACAGCAGTTTTGAAACACTCTTTCTGTAGTATCTGGAAGTGAACATTAGGACAGCTTTCAGCTCTATGGTGAGAAAGGAAATATCTTCAAATGAAAACTAGACAGAAGAATTCTCATAAACTTGTTTGTGATGTGTGAACTCAGCTAAGAGAGGTGGATCTTTCTTTTGATAGAGCAGTTCTGAAAAACACTTTTTGTTGAATCTGCAAGTGGACATTTGGATAGATTTGAAGATTTCGTTGGAAACGGGAATATCTTCATATCAAATCTAGACAGAAGCATTCTCAGAAACGTCTTTGTGATGTTTGCATTCAACTCATAGAGTTGAACATTCCCTTTCAGAGAGCAGCTTTGAAGCACTCTTTTTGTAGTATGTGCAAGGGGGTATTTGGAGAGCTCTGAGGCCTAAGGTGAAAAAGCAAATATCTTCCCATAACCACTAGACAGAAACATTCTCAGAAACTCCTTTATGACGTATGCACTCACCTAACAGAGAAGAACCTTCCTTTTGACAGAGCAGTTTTGATACACTCTTTTTGTAGAATCTGAAAGTGGATATTTGGATAGCTGTGAAGATTTCGTTGGAAACGGGAATATCCTCCTATAAAATCTAGACAGAAGCATTCTCAGAAACTGCTCTGTGATGTCTGCATTCAAGTCACAGAGTTGAACATTGCTTTTCGTAGAGCAGGTTTGAAACGCTCTTTTTGTAGTATATGGAAGTAGACGTTTCGGACGGTTTGAGGCCCATGGTGATAAAGGGAATATCTTCCCCTACAAGCTAGAAAGAAGCATTCTGTGAAACTTGTTTGTGATGTGTGTACTCAACTAACAGTGTTGAACCTTTCTTTATACAGAGCAGTTTTGAAACACTCTTTTTGTAGAATCTGCGAGGGGATATTTGGATAGATTTCAGGATTTCGTTGGAAACTGGAATATCTTCATATAAAATCTCGACAGAAGCATTTTCAGAAACTTCTTTGTGATATGTGCATTCAAGTCACAGAGTTGAATATTCCCTTTCACAGAGTAGGTTTGAAACACTCTTTTTGTAGTATCTGGAAGTGGACATTTGGAGCGCCTTGACGCCTATGGTGAAAAGGGAAATATCTTCCCATAAAAACTAGACAGAAGCAATCTCAGAATCTTCTTTGGGATATATGTACGCAGCTAATAGAGTTGAACCTTTCTATTGACAGAGCAGTTTTGAAACAGTCTTTCTGTGGAATCTGCTAGTGGATATTTGGATAGCTTGGAGGATTTCGTTGGAAACGGGATTACGTATAAAAAGTAGACAGCAGCATCCTCAGAAACTTCTTTGTGATGTGTGCATTCAAGTCACAGAGTTGAACATTCCCTTTCCTACAGCAGTTTTGAAACACTCTTTCTGTAGTATCTGGAAGTGAACATTAGGACAGCTTTCAGGTCTATGGTGAGAAAGGAAATATCTTCAAATAAAAACTAGACAGAAGCATTCTCATAAACTTCTTTGTGATGTGTGAACTCAGCTAACAGACGTGGATCTTTCTTTTGATACAGCAGTTTTGAAAAACACTTTTTGTTGAATCTGCAAGTGGACATTTGGATAGATTTGAAGATTTCGTTGGAAACGGGAATATCTTCATATCAAATCTAGACAGAAGCATTCTCAGAAACGTCTTTGTGATGTTTGCATTCAACTCATAGAGTTGAACATTCCCTTCCAGAGAGTAGCTTTGAAGCACTCTTTTTGTAGCATGTGCAAGTGGACATTTGGAGCGCCCTGAGGCCTACGGGGAAAAAGCAAATATCTTCCCATAACCACTTGACAGAAACATTCTCAGAAACTCCTTTATGACGTATGTGCTCAACTAACAGAGAAGAACCTTCCTTTTGACAGAGCAGTTTTGATACACTCTTTTTGTAGAATCTGCAAGTGGATATTTGGATAGCTGTGAAGATTTCGTTGGAAACGGGAATATCTTCCTATAAAATCTAGACAGAAGCATTCTCAGAAACTGCTCTGTGATGTCTGCATTCAAGTCACAGAGTTGAACATTGCCTTTCCTAGAACAGGTTTGAAAAGCTCTTTTTGTAGTACATGGAAGTGGACGTTTCGGACGGTTTGAGGCCCATGGTGATAAAGGGAATATCTTCCCCTACAAGCTAGAAAGAAGCATTCTGTGAAACTTGTTTGTGATGTGTGTACTCAACTAACAGAGTTGAACCTTTCTTTTTACAGAGCAGTTTTGAAACACTCTTTTTGTAGAATCTGCGAGGGGATATTTGGATAGATTTCAGGATTTCGTTGGAAACGGGAATATCTTCATATAAAATCTCGACAGCAGCATTCTCAGAAACTTCTTTGTGATATGTGCATTCAAGTTACAGAGTTGAATATTCCCTTTCACAGAGTAAGTTTGAAACCCTCTTTTAGTAGTATCTGGAAGTGGACATTTGGAGCGCCTTGACGCCTACGGTGAAAAGGGAAATATCTTCCCATAAAAACTAGACAGAAGCAATCTCAGAATCTTCTTTGGGATATATGCACGCAGCTAACAGAGTTGAACCTTTCTATTGACAGAGCAGTTTTGAAACAGTCTTTCTGTGGAATCTGCAAGTGGATATTTGATTAGCTTGGAGGATTTCGTTGGAAACGGGATTAAGTATAAAAAGTAGACAGCAGCATCCTCAGAAACTTCTTTGTGATGTGTGCATTCAAGTCACAGAGTTGAATATTCCCTTTCGTACAGCAGTTTTGAAACACTCTTTCTGTAGTATCTGGAAGTGAAAACTAGGACAGCTTTCAGGTCTATGGTGAGAAAGGAAATATCTTCAAATAAAAACTAGACAGAAAGCATTCTCATAAACTTGTTTCTGATGTGTGAACTCAGCTAACAGACGTGGATCTTTCTTTTGATACAGCAGTTTTGAAAAACACTTTTTGTTGAATCTGCAAGTGGACATTTGGATAGATTTGAAGATTTCGTTGGAAACGGGAATATCTTCATATCAAATCTAGACAGAAGCATTCTCAGAAACGTCTTTGTGATGTTTGCATTCAACCCATAGAGTTGAACATTCCGTTTCAGAGAGCAGCTTTGAGGCACTCTTTTTGTAGTATGTGCAAGTGGATATTTGGTGCGCTGTGAGGCCTACGGTGAAAAAGAAAATATCTTCCCAAAACCACTAGACAAAAACATTCTCAGAAACTCCTTTATGACGTATGCACTCACCTAACAGAGAAGAACCTTCCTTTTGACAGAGCAGTTTTGATACACTCTTTTTGTAGAATCTGCAAGTGGATATTTGGATAGCTGTGAAGATTTCGTTGGAAACGGGAATATCTTCCTATAAAATCTAGACGGAAGCATTCTCAGAAACTGCTCTGTGATGTCTGCATTCAAGTCACAGAGTTGAACATTGCCTTTCATAGAGCAGGTTTGAAACGCTCTTTTTGTAGTATATGGAAGTGGACGTTTCGGACGGTTGGAGGCCCACGGTGATAAAGGGAATATCTTCCCCTACAAGCTAGAAAGAAGCATTGTGTGAAACTTGTTTGTGATGTGTGTTCTCAACTAACAGAGTTGAACCTTTCTTTTTACAGAGCAGTTTTGAAACACTCTTTTTGTAGAATCTGCGAGGGGATATTTGGATACATTTCAGGATTTCGTTGGAAACGGGAATATCTTCATATAAAATCTCGACAGAAGCATTCTCAGAAACTTCCCTTGTGATATGTGCATTCAAGTCACAGAGTTGAATATTCCCTTTCACAGAGTAGGTTTGAAACACTCTTTTTGTAGTATCTGGAAGTGGACATTTGGAGCGCCTTGACACCTACGGTGAAAAGGGAAAAATCTTCCCATAAAAACTAGACAGAAGCAATCTCACAATCTTCTTTGGGATATATGCACGCAGCTAACAGAGTTGAACCTTTCTATTGACAGAGCAGTTTTGAAACAGTCTTTCTGTGGAATCTGCAAGTGGATATTTGGATAGCTTGGAGGATTTCGTTGGAAACGGGATTACGTATAAAAATTAGACAGCAGCATCCTCAGAAACTTCTTTGAGATGTGTGCATTCAAGTCACAGAGTTGAACATTCCCTTTCGTACAGCAGTTTTAAAACACTCTTTCTGTAGTAACTGGAAGTGAACATTAGGACAGCTTTCAGGTCTATGGTGAGAAAGGAAATATCTTCAAATAAAAACTAGACAGAAGCATTCTCATAAACTTGTTTGTGATGTGTGAACTCAGCTAACAGAGGTGGATCTTTCTTTTGATAGAGCACTTCTGAAAAACACTTTTTGTTGAATCTGCAAGTGGACATTTGGATAGATTTGAAGATTTCGTTGGAAACGGGAATATCTTCATATCAAGTCTAGACAGAAGCATTCTCAGAAACGTCTTTGTGATGTTTGCATTCAACTCATAGAGTTGAACATTCCCTTCCAGAGAGCAGCTTTGAAGCACTCTTTTTGTAGCATGTGCAAGTGGACATTTGGAGTGCCCTGAGGCCTACGGGGAAAAAGCAAATATCTTCCCGTAACCACTAGACAGAAACATTCTCAGAAACTCCTTTATGACGTATGCACTCACCTAACAGAAAAGAACCTTCCTTTTGACAGAGCAGTTTTGATACACTCTTTTTGTAGAATCTGCAAGTGGATATTTGGATAGCTGTGAAGATTTCGTTGGAAACGGGAATATCTTCCTATAAAGTCTAGACAGAAGCATTCTCAGAAACTGCTCTGTGATGTCTGCATTCAAGTCACAGAGTTGAACATTGCCTTTCATAGAGCAGGTTTGAAACGCTCTTTTTGTAGTATATGGAAGTGGACGTTTCGGACGGTTTGAGGACCATGGTGATAAAGGGAATATCTTCCCCTACAAGCTAGAAAGAAGCATTCTGTGAAACTTGTTTGTGATGTGTGTGCTCAACTAACAGAGTTGAACCTTTCTTTTTACAGAGCAGTTTTGAAACACTCTTTCTGTAGAATCTGCGAGGGGATATTTGGATAGATTTCAGGATTTCGTTGGAAACGGGAATATCTTCATATAAAATCTCGACAGAAGCATTCTAAGAAGCTTCTTTGTGATATGTGCATTCAAGTCACAGAGTTGAATATTCCCTTTCACAGAGTAGGTTTGAAACACTCTTTTTGTAGTATCTGGAAGTGGACATTTGGAGCGCCTTGACGCCTACGGTGAAAAGGGAAATATCTTCTCATAAAAAGTAGACAGAAGCAATCTCAGAATCTTCTTTGGGATATATGCACGCAGCTAACAGAGTTGAACCTTTCTATTGACAGAGCAGTTTTGAAACAGTCTTTCTGTGGAATCTGCAAGTGGATATTTGGATAGCTTGGAGCATTTCATTGGAAACGGGATTACGTATAAAAAGTAGACAGCAGCATCCTCAGAAACTTCTTTGTGATGTGTGCATTCAAGTCACAGAGTTGAACACTCCCTTTCGTACAGCAGTTTTGAAACACTCTTTCTGTAGTATCTGGAAGTGAACATTAGGACAGCTTTCAGCTCTATGGTGAGAAAGGAAATATCTTCAAATAAAAACTAGACAGAAGCATTCTCATAAACTTGTTTGTGATGTGTGAACTCAGCTAACAGAGGTGGATCTTTCTTTTGATAGAGCAGTTCTGAAAAACACGTTTTGTTAAATCTGCAAGTGGACATTTGGATAGATTTGAAGATGTCGTTGGAAACGGGAATATCTTCATATCAAATCTAGACAGAAGCATTCTCAGAAACACCTTCGTGATGTTTGCAATCAAGTCACAGAGTTGAACCTTCCGTTTCATAGAGCAGGTTGGAAACACTCTTATTGTAGCATGTGCAAGTGGACATTTGGAGCGCCCTGAGGCCTACGGGGAAAAAGCAAATATCTTCCCATAACCACTAGACAGAAACATTCTCAGAAACTCCTTTATGACGTATGTACTCAACTAACAGAGAAGAACCTTCCTTTTGACAGAGCAGTTTTGATACACACTTTTTGTAGAATCTGCAAGTGCATATTTGGATAGCTGTGAAGATTTCGTTGGAAACGGGAATATCTTCCTATAAAATCTAGACAGAAGCATTCTCAGAAACTGCTCTGTGATGTCTGCATTCAAGTCACAGAGTTGAACATTGCCTTTCATAGAGCAGGTTTGAAATGATCTTTTTCTAGTATATGGAAGTGGACGTTTCAGACGGTTTGAGGCCCATGGTGATAAAGGGAATATCTTCCCCTACAAGCTAGAAAGAAGCATTCTGTGAAACTTGTTTGTGATGTGTGTACTCAACTGACAGAGTTGAACCTTTCTTTTTACAGAGCAGTTTTGAAACACTCTTTTTGTAGAATCTGCGAGGGGATATTTGGATAGATTTCAGGATTTCGTTGGAAACGGGAATATCTTCATATAAAATCTCGACAGAAGCATTCTCAGAAACTTCTTTGTGATATGTGCATTCAAGTCAAAGAGTTGAATATTCCCTTTCACAGAGTAGGTTTGAAACACTCTTTTTGTAGTATCTGGAAGTGGACATTTGGAGCGCCTTGACGCCTACGGTGAAAAGGGAAATATCTTCCCATAAAAACTAGACAGAAGCAATCTCAGAATTTTCTTTGGGATATATGCACATAGCTAATAGAGTTGAACCTTTCTATTGACAGAGCAGTTTTGAAACAGTCTTTCTGTGGAATCTGCAAGTGGATATTTGGATAGCTTGGAGGATTTCGTTGGAAACGGGATTACGTATAAAAAGTAGACAGCAGCATCCTCAGAAACATCCTTGTGATGTGTGCATTCAAGTCACAGTAGTTGAACATTCCCTTTCGTACAGCAGTTTTGAAACACTCTTTCTGTAGTATCTGGAAGTGAACTTTAGGACAGCTTTCAGGTCTATAGTGAGAAAGGATATATCTTCAAATAAAAACTAGACAGAAGCATCCTCAGAAACTTCTTTGTGATGTGTGCATTCAAGTCACAGTAGTTGAACATTCCCTTTCGTACAGCAGTTTTGAAACACTCTTTCTGTAGTATCTGGAAGTGAACATTAGGACAGCTTTCAGGTCTATGGTGAGAAAGGAAATATCTTCAAATAAAAACTACACAGAAGCATTCTCAGAAACGTCTTTGTGATGTTTGCATTCAACTCATAGAGTTGAACATTCCCTTTCAGAGAGCAGCTTTGAAGCACTCTTTTTGTAGCATGTGCAAGTGGACATTTGGAGCGCCCTGAGGCCTACGGGGAAAAAGCAAATATCTTCCCATAACCACAAGACAGAAACATTCTCAGAAACTCCTTTATGACGTATGCACTCACCTAACAGAGAAGAAACTTCCTTTTGACAGAGCAGTTTTGATACACTCTTTTTGTAGAATCTGCAAGTGGATATTTGGATAGCTGTGAAGATTTCGCTGGAAACGGGAATATCTTCCTATAAAATCTAGACAGAAGCATTCTGTGAAACTTGTTTGTGATGTGTGTACTCAACTAACAGAGTTGAACCTTTGTTTTTACAGAGCAGTTTTGAAACACTCTTTTTGTAGAATCTGCGAGGGGATATTTGGATAGATTTCAGGATTTCGTTGGAAACGGGAATATCTTCATATAAAATCTCGACAGAAGCATTCTCAGAAACTTCTTTGTGATATGTGCATTCAAGTCACAGAGTTGAATATTCCCTTTCACAGAGTAGGTTTGAAACACTCTTTTTGTAGAATCTGCGAGGGGATATTTGGATAGATTTCAGGATTTCGTTGGAAACGGGAATATCTTCATATAAAATCTCGACGGAAGCATTCTCTGAAACTTCTTTGTGATATGTGCATTCAAGTCACAGAGTTGAATATTCCCTTTCACAGAGTAGGTTTGAAACACTCTTTTTGTAGTATCTGGAAGTGGACATTTGGAGCGCCTTGACGCCTACGGTGAAAAGGGAAATATCTTCCCATAAAAACTAGACAGAAGCAAACTCAGAATCTTCTTTGTGATATATGCACGCAGCTAACAGAGTTGAACCTTTCTATTGACTGAGCAGATTTGAAACAGTCTTTCTGTGGAATCTGCAAGTGGATATTTGGATAGATTGGAGGATTTCGTTGGAAACGGGATTACGTATAAAAAGTACACAGCCGCATCCTCAGAAACATCTTTGTGATGTGTGCATTCAAGTCACAGAGTTGAACATTCCCTTTCGTACAGCAGTTTTGAAACACTCTTTCTGTAGTATCTGGAAGTGAACATTAGGACAGCTTTCAGGTCTATGGTGAGAAAGGAAATATCTTCAAATAAAAACTAGACAGAAGCATTCTCAAAAACTTGTTTGTGATGTGTGAACTCAGCTAACAGAGGTGGATCTTTCTTTTGATAGAGCAGTTCTGAAAAACACTTTTTGTTGAATCTGCAAGTGGACATTTGGATAGATTTGAAGATTTCGTTGGAAACGGGAATATCTTCATATCAAATCTAGACAGAAGCATTCCCAGAAACGTCTTTGTGATGTTTGCATTCAACTCATAGGGTTGAACATTCCCTTTCAGAGAGCAGCTTTGAAGCACTCTTTTTGTAGTATGTGCAAGTGGATATTTGGAGCGCTCTGAGGCCTACGGTGAAAAAGCAAATATCTTCCCATAACCACTAGACAGAAACATTCTCAGAAACTCCTTTATGACGTATGCACTCACCTAACAGAGAAGAACCTTCCTTTTGACAGAGCAGTTTTGATACACTCTTTTTGTAGAATCTGCAAGTGGATATTTGGATAGCTGTGAAGGTTTCGTTGGAAACGGAAATATCTTCCTATAAAATCTAGACAGAAGCATTCTCAGAAACTGCTCTGTGATGTCTGCTTTCAAGTCACAGAGTTGAACATTGCCTTTCATAGAGCAGGTTTGAAACGCTCTTTTTGTAGTATATGGAAGTGGATGTTTCGGACGGTTGGAGGCCCATGGTGATAAAGGGAATATCTTCCCCTACGAGCTAGAAAGAAGCATTGTGTGAAACTTGTTTGTGATGTGTGTACTCAACTAACAGAGTTGAACCTTTCTTTTTACAGAGCAGTTTTGAAACACTCTTTTTGTAGAATCTGCGAGGGGATATTTGGATACATTTCGGGATTTCGTTGGAAACGGGAATATCTTCATATAAAATCTCGACAGAAGCATTCTCAGAAACTTTCCTTGTGATATGTGCATTCAAGTCACAGAGTTGAATATTCCCTTTCACAGAGTAGGTTTGAAACACTCTTTTTGTAGTATCTGGAAGTGGACATTTGGAGCGCCTTGACGCCTACGGTGAAAAGGGAAATATCTTCCCATCAAAACTAGACAGAAGCAATCTCAGAATCTTCTTTGGGATATATGCACGCAGCTAACAGAGTTGAACCTTTCTATTGACAGAGCAGTTTTGAAACAGTCTTTCTGTGGAATCTGCAAGTGGATATTTGGATAGCTTGGAGGATTTCGTTGGAAACGGGATTACGTATCAAATGTAGACAGCAGCATCCTCAGTAAACATCCTTGTGATGTGTGCATTCAAGTCACAGAGTTGAACATTCCCTTTCGTACAGCAGTTTTGAAACACTCTTTCTGTAGTATCTGGAAGTGAACTTTAGGACAGCTTTCAGGTCTATAGTGAGAAAGGATATATCTTCAAATAAAAACTAGACAGAAGCATTCTCATAAACTTGTTTGTGATGTGTGAACTCAGCTAGGAGACGTGGATCTTTCTTTTGATAGAGCAGTTCTGAAAAACACGTTTTGTTGAATCTGCAAGTGGACATTTGGATAGATTTGAAGATTTCGTTGGAAACGGGAATATCTTCATATCAAATCTAGACAGAAGCATTCTCAGAAACGTCTTTGTGATGTTTGCATTCAACTCATAGAGTTGAACATTCCGTTTCAGAGAGCAGGTTTGAAGCACTCTTTTTGTAGTATGTGCAAGTGGATATTTGGAGCGCTCTGAGGCCTACGGTGAAAAAGCAAATATCTTCCCATAATCACTAGACAGAAACATTCTCAGAAACTCCTTTATGACGTATGCACTCACCTAACAGAGAAGAACCTTCCTTTTGACAGAGCAGTTTTGATACACTCTTTTTGTAGAATCTGCAAGTGGATATTTGGGATAGCTGTGAAGATTTCGTTGGAAACGGGCATATCTTCCTATAAAATCTAGACAGAAGCATTCTCAGAAACTGCTCTGTGATGTCTGCATTCAAGTAACAGAGTTGAACATTGCCTTTCATAGAGCAGGTTTGAAACGCTCTTTTTGTAGTATATGGAAGTGGACTTTTCGGACGGTTTGAGGCCCATGGTGATAAAGGGAATATCTTCCCCTACAAGCTAGAAAGAAGCATTGTGTGAAACTTGTTTGTGATGTGTGTACTCAACTGACAGATTTGAACCTTTCTTTTTACAGAGCAGTTTTGAAACACTCTTTTTGTAGAATCTGCGAGGGGATATTTGGATAGATTTCAGGATTTCGTTGGAAACGGGAATATCTTCATATAAAATCTCGACAGATGCATTCTCAGAAACTTCTTTGTGATATGTGCATTCTAGTCACAGAGTTGAATATTCCCTTTCACAGAGTAGGTTTGAAACACTCTTTTTGTAGTATCTGGAAGTGGACATTTGGAGCGCCTTGACGCCTACGGTGAAAAGGGAAATATCTTCCCATGAAAACTAGACAGAAGCAATCTCAGAATCTTCTTTGGGATATATGCACGCAGCTAACAGAGTTGAACCTTTCTATTGACAGAGCAGTTTTGAAACAGTCTTTCTGTGGAATCTGCAAGTGGATATTTGGATAGCTTGGAGGATTTCGTTGGAAACGGGATTACGTATAAAAATTAGACAGCAGCATCCTCAGAAACTTCCTTGTAATGTGTGCATTCAAGTCACAGAGTTGAACATTCCCTTTCCTACAGCAGTTTTGAAACACTCTTTCTGAAGTATCTGGAAGTGAACTTTAGGAGAGCTTTCATGTCTATAGTGAGAAAGGCTATATCTTCAAATAAAAAATAGACAGAAGCATTTTTAAAAACTTGTTTGTGATGTGTGAACTCAACTAACAGAGGTGGATCTTTCTTTCGATACAGCAGTTTTGAAAAACACTTTTTGTTGAATCTGCAAGTGGACATTTGGATAGATTGGAAGATTTCTTTGGAAACGGGAATATCTTCATATCAAATCTAGACAGAAGCATTCTCAGCAAACGTCTTTGTGATGTTTGCATTCAACCCATAGAGTTGAACATTCCCTTTCAGAGAGCAGCTTTGAAGCACTCTTTTTGTAGTATGTGCAAGGGGATATTTGGAGCGCTCTGAGGCCTAAGGTGAAAAAGCAAATATCTTCCCATAACCACTAGACAGAAACATTCTCAGAAACTCCTTTATGACGTATGCACTCACCTAACAGAGAAGAACCTTCCTTTTGACAGAGCAGTTTTGATACACTCTTTTTGTAGAATCTGCAAGTGGATATTTGGATAGCTGTGAAGATTTCGTTGGAAACGGGAATAACTTCCTATAAAATGTAGACAGAAGCATTCTCAGAAACTGCTCTGTGATGTCTGCATTCAAGTCACAGAGTTGAACATTGCCTTTCATAGAGCAGGTTTGAAACGCTCTTTTTGTAGTATATGGAAGTGGACGTTTCGGACGGTTTGAGGCCCATGGTGATAAAGGGAATATCTTCCCCTACAAGCTAGAAGGAAGCATTCTGTGAAACTTGTTTGTGATGTGTGTACTCAGCTAATAGAGTTGAACCTTTCTTTATACAGAGCAGTTTTGAAACACTCTTTTTGTAGAATCTGCGAGGGGATATTTGGATAGATTTCAGGATTTCGTTGGAAACGGGAATATCTTCATATAAAATCTCGACAGAAGCATTCTCAGAAACTTCTTTGTGATATCTGCATTCAAGTCACAGAGTTGAATATTCCCTTTCACAGAGTAGGTTTGAAACACTCTTTTTGTAGTATTTGGATGTGGACATTTTGAGCGCCTTGACGCCTACGGTGAAAAAGGAAATATCTTCCCATAAAAACTAGACAGAAGCAATCTCCGAATCTTCTTTGGGATGTATGCACGCAGCTAACAGAGTTGAACCTTTCTATTGACAGAGCAGTTTTGAAACAGTCTTTCTGTGGAATCTGCAAGTGGATATTTGGATAGCTTGGAGGATTTCGTTGGAAACGGGATTACGTATAAAAAGTAGACAGCAGCATTCTCAGAAACATCTTTGTGATGTGTGCATTCAAGTCAAAGTGTTGAACATTCCCTTTCGTACAGCAGGTTTGAAACACTCTTTCTGTAGTATCTGGAAGTGAACGGGACGAGAGCTTTCAGGCCTATAGTGAGAAAGGAGATATCTTCAAATAAAAACTAGACAGAAGCATTCTCATAAACTTGTTTGTGATGTGTGAACTCAGCTAACAGAGGTGGATCTTTCTTTTGATAGAGCAGTTCTGAAAAACACTTTTTGTTGAATCTGCAAGTGGACATTTTGATAGATATGAAGATTTCGTTGGAAACGGGAATATCTTCATATCAAATCTAGACAGAAGCATTCTCAGAAACGTCTTTGTGATGTTTGCATTGAACTCATAGAGTTGAACATTCCGTTTCAGAGACCAGCTTTGAAGCACTCTTTTTGTAGTATGTGCAAGTGGATATTTGGAGCGCTCTGAGGCCTACGGTGAAAAAGCAAATATCTTCCCATAACCACTAGACAGAAACATTCTCAGAAACTCCTTTATGACGTATGTACTCAACTAACAGAGAAGAACCTTCCTTTTGACAGAGCAGTTTTGATAAACTCATTTTGTAGAATCTGCAAGTGGATATTTGGATAGCTGTGAAGATTTCGCTGGAAACGGGAGTATCTTCCTATAAAATCTAGACAGAAGCATTCTCAGAAACTGCTCTGTGATGTCTGCATTCAAGTCACAGAGTTGAACATTGCCTTTCATAGAGCAGGTTTGAAATGCTCTTTTTGTAGTATATGGAAGTTGACGTTTCGGACGGTTTGAGGCCCATGGTGATAAAGGGAATATCTTCCCCTACAAGCTAGAAAGAAGCATTCTGTGAAACTTGTTTGTGATGTGTGTACTCAACTAACAGAGTTGAACCTTTCTTTTCACAGAGCAGTTTTGAAACACTCTTTTTGTAGAATCTGCGAGGGGATATTTGGATAGATTTCAGGATTTCGTTGGGAACGGGAATATCTTCATATAAAATCTCGACAGAAGCATTCTCAGAAACTTCCTTGTGATATGTGCATTCAAGTCACAGTGTTGAATATTCCCTTTCACAGAGTAGGTTTGAAACACTCTTTTTGTAGTATCTGGAAGTGGACATTTGGAGCGCCTTGACGCCTACGGTGAAAAGGGAAATATCTTCCCATAAAAACTAGACAGAAGCAATCTCAGAATCTTCTTTGGGATATATGTACGCAGCTAATAGAGTTGAACCTTTCTATTGACAGAGCAGTTTTGAAACAGTCTTTCTGTGGAATCTGCAAGTGGATATTTGGATACCTTGGAGGATTTCGTTGGAAACGGGATTACGTATAAAAAGTAGACAGCAGCATCCTCAGAAACTTCTTTGTGATGTGTGCATTCAAGTCACAGAGTTGAACATTCCCTTTCGTACAGCAGTTTTGAAACACTCTTTCTGTAGTATCTGGAAGTGAACATTAGGACAACTTTCAGCTCTATGGTGAGAAAGGAAATATCTTCAAATAAAAACTAGACAGAAGCATTCTCATAAACTTGTTTGTGATGTGTGAACTCAGCTAACGGAGGTGGATCTTTCTTTTGATAGAGCAGTTCTGAAAAACACTTTTTGTTGAATCTGCAAGTGGACATTTGGATAGATTTGAAGATTTCGTTGGAAACGGGAATATCTTCATATCAAATCTAGACAGAAGCTTCTCAGAAACGTCTTTGTGATGTTTGCATTCAACTCATAGAGTTGAACATTCCCTTTCAGAGAGCAGCTTTGAAGCACTGTTTTTGTAGTATGTGCAAGTGGATATTTGGAGCGCTCTGAGGCCTAAGGTGAAAAAGCAAATATCTTCCCATAACCACTAGACAGAAACATTCTCAGAAACTCCTTTATGACGTATGCACTCACCTAACAGAGAAGAACCTTCCTTTAGACAGAGCAGTTTTGATACACTCTTTTTGTAGAATCTGCAAGTGGATATTTGGATAGCTGTGAAGATTTCGTTGGAAACGGGAATATCTTCCTATAAAATCTAGACAGAAGCATTCTCAGAAACTGCTCTGTGATGTCTGCATTCAAGTTACAGAGTTGAACATTGCCTTTCATAGAGCAGGTTTGAAACGCTCTTTTTGTAGTATATGGAAGTGGACGTTTCGGACGGTTTGAGGCCCATGGTGATAAAGGGAATATCTTCCCCTACAAGCTAGAAAGAAGCATTCTGTGAAACTTGTTTGTGATGTGTGTACTCAACTAACAGAGTTGAACCTTTCTTTTTACAGAGCAGTTTTGAAACACTCTTTTTGTAGAATCTGCGAGGGGATATTTGGATAGATTTCAGGATTTCGTTGGAAACGGGAATATCTTCATATAAAATCTCGACAGAAGCATTCTCAGAAACTACTTTGTGATATCTGCATTCAAGTCACAGAGTTGAATATTCCCTTTCACAGAGTAGGTTTGAAACACTCTTTTTGTAGTATCTGGAAGTGGACATTTGGAGCGCCTTGACACCTACGGTGAAAAAGGGAAATATCTTCCCATAAAAACTAGACAGAAGGAATCTCAGAATCTTCTTTGGGATATATGCACGCAGCTAACAGAGTTGAACCTTTCTATTGATAGAGCAGTTTAGAAACAGTCTTTCTGTGGAATCTGCAAGTGGATATTTGGATAGCTTGGAGGATTTCGTTGGAAACGGGATTACGTATAAAAAGTAGACAGCAGCATCCTCAGAAACTTCTTTGTGATGTGTGCATTCAAGTCACAGAGTTGAACATTCCCTTTCGTACAGCAGTTTTGAAACACTCTTTCTGTAGTATCCGGAAGTGAACATTAGGACAGCTTTCAGCTCTATGGTGAGAAAGGAAATATCTTCAAATAAAAACTAGACAGAAGCATTCTCATAAACTTGTTTGTGATGTGAGAACTCAGCTAACAGAGGTGGATCTTTCTTTTGATAGAGCAGTTCTGAAAAACACTTTTTGTTGAATCTGCAAGTGGACATTTGGATAGATTTGAAGATTTCGTTGGAAACGGGAATATCTTCATATCAAATCTAGACAGAAGCATTCTCAGAAACGTCTTTGTGATGTTTGCATTCAACTCATAGAGTTGAACATTCCGTTTCAGAGAGCAGCTTTGAAGCACTCTTTTTGTAGTATGTGCAAGTGGATATTTGGTGCGCTCTGAGGCCTACGGTGAAAAAGCAAATATCTTCCCATAACCACTAGACAGAAACATTCTCAGAAACTCCTTTATGACGTATGCACTCACCTAACAGAGAAGAACCTTCCTTTTGACAGAGCAGTTTTGATACACTCTTTTTGTAGAATCTGCAAGTGGATATTTGAATAGCATTGAAGATTTCGTTGGAAACGGGAATATCTTCGTATAAAATCTAGACAGCAGCATTCTGAGAAACTGCTCTGTGATGTCTGCATTCAAGTCACAGAGTTGAACATTGCCTTTCATAGAGCAGGTTTGAAACGCTCTTTTTGTAGTATATGGAAGTGGACGTTTCGGACGGTTTGAGGCCCATGGTGATAAAGGGAATATCTTCCCCTACAAGCTAGAAAGAAGCATTCTGTGAAACTTGTTTGTGATGTGTGTACTCAACTAACAGAGTTGAACCTTTCTTTTTACAGAGCAGTTTTGAAACACTCTTTTTGTAGAATCTGCGAGGGGATATTTGGATACATTTCAGCATTTTGTTGGAAACGGGAATATCTTCATATAAAATCTCGACAGAAGCATTCTCAGAAACTTATTTGTGATATCTGCATTCAAGTCACAGAGTTGAATATTCCCTTTCACAGAGTAGGTTTGAAACACTCTTTGTAGTATCTGGAAGTGGACATTTGGAGCGCCTTGACGCCTACGGTGAAAAGGGAAATATCTTCCCATAAAAACAAGACAGAAGCAATCTCAGAATCTTCTTTGGGATATATGCACGCAGCTAACAGAGTTGAACCTTTCTATTGACAGAGCAGTTTTGAAACAGTCTTTCTGTGGAATCTGCAAGTGGATATTTGGATAGATTGGAGGATTTCGTTGGAAAGGGGATTACGTATCAAAAGTAGACAGCAGCATCCTCAGAAACTTCTTTGTGATGTGTGCATTCAAGTCACAGAGTTGAACATTCCCTTTCGTACAGCAGTTTTGAAACACTCTTTCTGTAGCATCTGGAAGTAAACATTAGGACAGCTTTCAGGTCTATGGTGAGAAAGGAAATATCTTCAAATAAAAACTAGACAGAAGCATTCTCATAAACTTGTTTGTGATGTCTGAACTCAGCTAACAGAGGTGGATCTTTCTTTTGATAGAGCAGTTCTGAAAAACACTTTTTGTTGAATCTGCAAGTGGACATTTGGATAGATTTGAAGATTTCGTTGGAAACGGGAATATCTTCATATCAATCTAGACAGAAGCATTCTCAGAAACGTCTTTGTGATGTTTGCATTCAACTCATAGAGTTGAACATTCCGTTTCAGAGAGCAGGTTTGAAGCACTCTTTTTGTAGTATGTGCAAGTGGATATTTGGAGCGCTCTGAGGTCTACGGTGAAAAAGCAAATATCTTCCCATAACCACTAGACAGAAACATTCTCAGAAACTTCTTTATGACGTATGTACTCAACTAGCAGAGAAGAACTTTCCTTTTGACAGAGCATTTTTGATACACTCTTTTTGTACTATCTGCAAGTGGATATTGGGATAGCTGTGAAGATTTCGTTGGAAACGGGAATATCTTCCTATAAAGTCTGGACAGAAGCATTCTCAGAAACTGCTCTGTGATGTCTGGATTCAAGTCACAGAGTTGAACATTGCCTTTCATAGAGCAGGTTTCAAACACTCTTTTTTTAGTATATGGAAGTGGATGTTTCGGACGGTTTGAGGTCCATGGTGATACAGGGAATATCTTCCCCTACAAGCTAGAAAGAAGCATTCTGTGAAACTTGTTTGTGATGTGTGTACTCAACTAACAGAGTTGAACCTTTCTTTTTACAGAGCAGTTTTGAAACACTCTTTTTGTAGAATCTGCGAGGGGATATTTGGATAGATTTCAGGATTTCATTGGAAACGGGAATATCTTCATAGAAAATCTCGACAGAAGCATTCTCAGAAACTTCTTTGTGATATGTGCATTCAAGTCACAGAGTTGAATATTCCCTTTCACAGAGTAGGTTTGAAACACTCTTTTTGTAGTATCTGGAAGTGGACATTTGGAGCGCCTTGACGCCTACGGTGAAAAGGGAAATATCTTCTCATAAAAAGTAGACAGAAGCAATCTCAGAATCTTCTTTGGGATATATGCACGCAGCTAACAGAGTTGAACCTTTCTATTGACAGAGCAGTTTTGAAACAGTCTTTCTGTGGAATCTGCAAGTGGATATTTGGATAGCTTTGAGGATTTCGTTGGAAACGGGATTACGTACAAAAAGTAGACAGCAGCATCCTCAGAAACTTCTTTGTGATGTATGCATTCAAGTCACAGAGTTGAACATTCCCTTTCGTACAGCAGTTTTGAAACACTCTTTCTGTAGTATCTGGAAGTGAACATTAGGACAGCTTTCAGGTCTATGGTGAGAAAGGAAATATCTTCAAATAAAAACTAGACAGAAGCATTCTCATAAACTTGTTTGTGATGTGTGAACTCAGCTAAGAGACGTGGATCTTTCTTTTGATAGAGCAGTTCTGAAAAACACTTTTTGTTGAATCTGCAAGTGGACATTTGGGTAGATTTGAAGATTTCTTTGGAAACGGGAATATCTTCATATCAAATCTAGACAGAAGCATTCTCAGAAACGTCTTTGTGATGTTTGCATTCAACTCATAGAGTTGAACATTCCCTTTCAGAGAGCAGCTTTGAAGCACTCTTTTTGTAGTATGTGCAAGTGGATATTTGGAGCGCTCTGAGGCCTATAGGGAAAAAGCAAATATCTTCCCATAACCACTAGACAGAAACATTCTCAGAAACTCCTTTATGACGTATGTACTCAACTAACAGAGAAGAACCTTCTTTTTGACAGAGCAGTTTTGATACACTCTTTTTGTAGAATCTGCAAGTGGATATTTGGATAGCTGTGAAGATTTCGTTGGAAACGGGAATATCTTCCTATAAAATCTAGACAGAAGCATTCTCAGAAACTGCTCTGTGATGTCTGCATTCAAGTCACAGAGTTGAACATTGCCTTTCATAGAGCAGGTTTGAAACGCTCTTTTTGTAGTATATGGAAGTGGATGTTTCGGACGGTTTGAGGCCCATGGTGATAAAGGGAATATCTTCCCCTACAAGCTAGAAAGAAGCATTCTGTGAAACTTGTTTGTGATGTGTGTACTCAACTAACAGAGTTGAACCTTTCTTTTTACAGAGCAGTTTTGAAACACTCTTTTTGTAGAATCTGCGAGGGGATATTTGGATAGATTTCAAGATTTCGTTGGAAACGGGAATATCTTCATAAAAAATCTCGACAGAAGCATTCTCAGAAACTTCTTTGTGATATGTGCATTCAAGTCAGAGAGTTGAATATTCCCTTTCACAGAGTAGGTTTGAAACACTCTTTTTGTAGTATCTGGAAGTGGACATTTTGAGCACCTTGACGCCTACGGTGAAAAGGGAAATATCTTCTCATAAAAAGTAGACAGAAGCAATCTCAGAATCTTCTTTGGGATATATGCACGCAGCTAACAGATTTGAACCTTTCTATTGACAGAGCAGTTTTGAAACAGTCTTTCTGTGGAATCTGCAAGTGGATATTTGGATAGCTTGGAGGATTTCGTTGGAAACGGGATTACGTATAAAAAGTAGACAGCAGCATCCTCAGAAACTTCTTTGTGATGTGTGCATTCAAGTCACAGAGTTGAACATTCCCTTTCGTACAGCAGTTTTGAAACACTCTTTCTGTAGTATCTGTAAGTGAACATTAGGACAGTTTTCAGGTCTATGGTGAGAAAGGAAATATCTTCAAATAAAAACTAGACAGAAGCATTCTCATAAACTTGTTTGTGATGTGTGAACTCAGCTAACAGAGATGGATCTTTCTTTTGATAGAGCAGTTCGGAAAAACACTTTTTGTTGAATCTGCAAGTGGACATTTGGATAGATTTGAAGATTTCGTTGGAAACGGGAATATCTTCATATCAAATCTAGACAGAAGCATTCTCAGAAACGTCTTTGTGATGTTTGCATTCAACTCATAGAGTTGAACATTCCGTTTCAGAGAGCAGCTTTGAAGCACTCTTTTTGTAGTGTGTGCAAGTGGATATTTGGAGCGCTGTGAGGCCTACGGTGAAAAAGCAAATATCTTCCCATAACCACTAGACAGAAACATTCTCAGAAACTCTTTTATGACGTATGCACTCACCTAGCAGAGAAGAACCTTCCTTTTGACAGAGCAGTTTTGATACACTCCTTTTGTAGAATCTGCAAGTGGATATTTGGATAGCTGTGAAGATTTCGTTGGAAACGGGAATATCTTCCTATAAAATCTAGACAGAAGCATTCTCAAGAAACTGCTCTGTGATGTCTGCATTCAAGTCACAGAGTTGAACATTGCCTTTCATAGAGCAGGTTTGGAATGCTCTTTTTGCAGTATATGGAAGTGGACGTTTCAGACGGTTTGAGGCCCATGGTGATAAAGGGAATATCTTCCCCTACAAGCTAGAAAGAAGCATTCTGTGATACTTGTTTGTGATGTGTGTACTCAACTAACAGAGTTGAACCTTTCTTTTTACAGAGCAGTGTTGAAACACTCTTTTTGTAGAATCTGCGAGGGGATATTTGGATAGATTTCAGGATTTCGTTGGAAACGGGAATATCTTCATATAAAATCTCGACGGAAGCATTCTCAGAAACATCTTTGTGATATCTGCATTCAAGTCACAGAGTTGAATATTCCCTTTCACCAAGTAGGTTTGAAACACTCTTTTTGTAGTATCTGGAAGTGGACATTGGGAGCGCCTTGACACCTACGGTGAAAAGGGAAATATCTTCCCATAAAAACTAGACAGAAGCAATCTCAGAATCTTCTTTGGGATATATGCACGCAGCTAACAGAGTTTAACCTTTCTATTGACAGAGCAGTTTTGAAACAGTGTTTCTGTGGAATCTGCAAGTGGATATTTGGATAGATTGGAGGATTTCGTTGGAAACGGGATTACATATAAAAAGTAGACAGCAGCATCCTCAGAAACTTCTTTGTGATGTGTGCATTCAAGTCACAGAGTTGAACATTCCCTTTCGTACAGCAGTTTTGAAACACTCTTTCTGTAGTATCTGGAAGTGAACATTAGGACAGCTTTCAGCTCTATGGTGAGAAAGGAAATATCTTCAAATAAAAACTGGACAGAAGCATTCTCATAAACTTGCTTGTGATGTGTGAACTCAGCTAACAGAGGTGGATCTTTCTTTTGATAGAGCAGTTCTGAAAAACACTTTTTGTTGAATCTGCAAGTGGACATTTGGATAGATTTGAAGATTTTGTTGGAAACGGGAATATCTTCATATCAAGTCTAGACAGAAGCATTCTCAGAAACGTCTTTGTGATGTTAGCATTCAACTCATAGAGTTGAACATTCCCTTTCAGAGAGCAGCTTTGAAGCACTCTTTTTGTAGTACGTTGAAGTGGACATTTGGAGCGCTTTGAGGCCTACAGGGAAAAAGCAAATATCTTCCCATAACCACTAGACAGGAACATTCTCAGAAACTTCTTTATGACGTATGTACTCAACTAGCAGAGAAGAACTTTCCTTTTGACAGAGCATTTTTGATACACTCTTTTTGTACTATCTGCAAGTGGATATTTGGATAGCTGTGAAGATTTCGATGGAAACGGGAATATCTTCCTATAAAGTCTGGACAGAAGCATTCTCAGAAACTGCTCTGTGATGTCTGCATTCAAGTCACAGAGTTGAACATTGCCTTTCATAGAGCAGGTTTCAAACACTCTTTTTTTAGTATATGGAAGTGGACGATTCGGATGGTTTGAGGATGATGGTGATAAAGGAAATATCTTCCCCTACAAGCTAGAAAGAAGCATTGTGTGAAACTTGTTTGGGATGTGTGTACTCAACTAACAGAGTTGAACCTTTCTTTTTACAGAGCAGTTTTGAAACACTCTTTTTGTAGAATCTGCGAGGGGATATTTGGATAGATTTCAGGATTTCGTTGGAAACGGGAATATCTTCATATAAAATCTCGACAGAAGCATTCTCAGAAACTTCTTTGTGATATCTGCATTCAAGTCACAGAGTTGAATATTCCCTTTCACAGTGTAGGTTTGAAACACTCTTTTGTAGTATCTGGAAGTATACATTTGGAGCGCCTTGACGCCTACGGTGAAAAGGGAAACATCTTCCCATAAAAACTAGACAGAAGCAATCTCAGAATCTTCTTTGGGATATATGCACGCAGCTAACAGAGTTGAACCTTTCTATTGACAGAGCAGTTTTGAAACAGTCTTTCTGTGGAATCTGCAAGTGGATATTTGGTTAGATTGGAGGATTTCGTTGGAAACGGGATTACGTATAAAAAGTAGACAGCAGCATTCTCAGAAACTTCTTTGTGATGTGTGCATTCAAGTCACAGAGTTGAACATTCCCTTTCGTACAGCAGTTTTGAAACACTCTTTCTGTAGTATCTGGAAGTGAACATTAGGACAGCTTTCAGGTCTATGGTGAGAAAGGAAATATCTTCAAATAAAAACTAGACAGAAAGCATTCTCATAAACTTGTTTGTGATGTGTGAACTCAGCTAACAGAGGTGGATCTTTCTTTTGATAGAGCAGTTCTGAAAAACACTTTTTGTTGAATCTGCAAGTGGACATTTGGATAGATTTGAAGATTTCTTTGGAAACGGGAATATCTTCATATCAAATCTAGACAGAAGCATTCTCAGAAACGTCTTTGTGATGTTTGCATTCAACTCACAGAGTTGAACATTCCCTTTCAGAGAGCAGCTTTGAAGCACTCTTTTTGTAGTATGTGCAAGGGGATATTTGGAGCGCTCTGAGGCCTACGGTGAAAAAGCAAATATCTTCCCATAACCACTAGACAGAAAGATTCTCAGAAACTCCTTTATGACGTATGTACTCAACTAACAGAGAAGAACCTTCCTTTTGACAGAGCAGTTTTGATACACTCTTTTTGTAGAATCTGCAAGTGGATATTTGGATAGCTGTGAAGATTTCGTTGGAAACGGGAATATCTTCCTATAAAATCTAGACAGAAGCATTCTCAGAAACTGCTCTGTGATGTCTGCATTCAAGTCACAGAGTTGAACATTGCCTTTCATAGAGCAGGTTTGAAACGCTCTTTTTGTAGTATATGGAAGTGGATGTTTCGGACGGTTGGAGGCCCATGGTGATAAAGGGAATATCTTCCCCTACAAGCTAGAAAGTAGCATTCTGTGAAACTTGTTTGTGATGTGTGTACTCAACTAACAGAGTTGAACCTTTCTTTTTACAGAGCGGTTTTGAAACACTCTTTTTGTAGAATCTGCGAGGGGATATTTGGATAGATTTCAGGATTTCGTTGGAAACGGGAATATCTTCATAGAAAATCTCGACAGAAGCATTCTCAGAAACTTCTTTGTGATATCTGCATTCAAGTCACAGAGTTGAATATTCCCTTTCACAGAGTAGGTTTGAAACACTCTTTTTGTAGCATCTGGAAGTGGACATTTGGAGCGCCTTGACACCTACGGTGAAAAGGGAAATATTTTCCCATAAAAACTAGACAGAAGCAATCTCAGAATCTTCTTTGGGATATATGCACGCAGGTAACAGAGTTGAACCTTTCTATTGACAGAGCAGTTTTGAAACAGTCTTTCTGTGGAATCTGCAAGTGGATATTTGGATAGCTTGGAGGATTTCGTTGGAAACGGGATTACGTATAAAAAGTAGAAAGCAGGATCCTCAGAAACTTCTTTGTGATGTGTGCATTCAAGTCACAGAGTTGAACATTCCCTTTCGTACAGCAGTTTTGAAACACTCTTTCTGTAGTATCTGGAAGTGAACATTACGACAGCTTTCAGGTCTATGGTGAGAAAGGAAATATCTTCAAATAAAAACTAGACAGAAGCATTCTCATAAACTTGTTTGTGATGTGTGAACTCAGCTAACAGAGGTGGATCTTTCTTTTGATAGAGCAGTTCTGAAAAACACTTTTTGTTGAATCTGCAAGTGGGCATTTGGATAGATTTGAAGATTTCAGTTGGAAACGGGAATATCTTCATATCAAATCTAGACAGAAGCATTCTCAGAAACGTCTTTGTGATGTTTGCATTCAACTCATAGAAGTTGAACATTCCGTTTCAGAGAGCAGCTTTGAAGCACTCTTTTTGTAGCATGTGCAAGTGGATATTTGGAGCGCTCTGAGGCCTACGGTGAAAAAGCAAATATCTTCCCATAACCAGTAGACAGAAACATTCTCAGAAACTCCTTTATGACGTGTGCACTCACCTAACAGAGAAGAACCTTCCTTTTGACAGAGCAGTTTTGATACACTCTTTTTGTAGAATCTGCAAGTGGATATTTGGATAGCTGTGAAGATTTCTTTGGAAACGGGAATATCTTCCTATAAAATCTAGACAGAAGCATTCTCAGAAACTGCTCTGTGATGTCTGCATTCAAGTCACAGAGTTGAACATTGCCTTTCATAGAGAAGGTTTGAAACGCTCTTTTTGTAGTATATGGATGTGGACGTTTCGGACGGTTTGAGGCCCATGGTGATAAAGGGAATATCTTCCCCTACCAGCTAGAAAGAAGCATTCTGTGAAACTTGTTTGTGATGTGTGTACTCAACTAACAGAGTTGAACCTTTCTTTTTACAGAGCAGTTTTGAAACACTCCTTTTGTAGAATCTGTGAGGGGATATTTGGATAGATTTCAGGATTTCGTTGGAAACGGGAATATCTTCATATAAAATCTCGACAGAAGCATTCTCAGAAACTTCTTTGTGATATGTGCATTCAAGTCACAGAGTTGAATATACCCTTTCACAGAGTAGGTTTGAAACACTCTTTTTGTAGTATCTGGAAGTGGACATTTGGAGCGCCTTGACGCCTACGGTGAAAAGGGAAATATCTTCCCATAAAAACTAGACAGAAGCAATCTCAGAATCTTCTTTGGGATATATGCACGCAGCTAACAGAGTTGAACCTTTCTATTGACAGAACAGTTTTGAAAGAGTCTTTCTGTGGAATCTGCAACTGGATATTTGGATAGCTTGGAGGATTTCGTTGGAAACGGGATTACGTATAATAAGTAGACAGCAGCATTCTCAGAAACTTCTTTGTGATGTGTGCATTCAAGTCACAGAGTTCAACATTCCCTTTCGTACAGCAGTTTTGAAACACTCTTTCTGTAGTATCTGGAAGTGAACATTAGGACAGCTTTCAGGTCTATGGTGAGAAAGGAAATATCTTCAAATAAAAACTAGACAGAAGCATTCTCATAAACTTGTTTGTGATGTGTGAACTCAGCTAACAGAGGTGGATCTTTCTTTTGATAGAGCAGTTCTGAAAAACACTTTCTGTTGAATCTGCAAGTGGACATTTGGATAGATTTGAAGATTTCGTTGGAAATGGGAATATCTTCATATCAAATCTAGACAGAAGCATTCTCGGAAACGTCTTTGTCATGTTTGCATTCAACTCATAGAGTTGAACATTCCGTTTCAGAGAGCAGCTTTGAAGCACTCTTTTTGTAGTATGTGCAAGGGGATATTTGGAGCGCTGTGAGGCCTACGGTGAAAAAGCAAATATCTTCCCATAACCACTAGACAGAAACATTCTCAGAAACTCCTTTATGACGTATGTACTCAACTAACAGCGAAGAACCTTCCTTTTGACAGAGCAGTTTTGATACACTCTTTTTGTAGAATCTGCAAGTGGATATTTGGATAGCTGTGAAGATTTCGTTGGAAACGGGAATATCTTCCTATAAAATCTAGACAGAAGCATTCTCAGAAACTGCTGCTGTGATGTCTGCATTCAAGTCACAGAGTTGAACATTGCCTTTCATAGAGCAGGTTTGAAACGCTCTTTTTGTAGTATATGGAAGTGGACTTATCGGACGGTTTGAGGCCCATGGTGATAAAGGGAATATCTTCCCCTACAAGCTAGAAAGAAGCATTCTGTGAAACTTGTTTGTGATGTGTGTACTCAACTAACAGAGTTGTACCTTTCTTTTTACAGAGCAGTTTTGAAACACTCTTTTTGTAGAATCTGCGAGGGGATAATTGGATAGATTTCAGGATTTCATTGGAAACGGGAATATCTTCATATAAAATCTCGACAGAAGCATTCTCAGAAACTTCTTTGTGATATGTGCATTCAAGTCACAGAGTTGAATATTCCCTTTCACAGAGGAGGTTTGAAACACTCTTTTTGTAGTATCTGGAAGTGGACATTCGGAGCGCCTTGACGCCTACGGTGAAAAGGGAAATATCTTCCCATAAAAACTAGACAGAAGCAATCTCAGAATCTTCTTTGGGATATATGCACACAGCTAACAGAGTTGAACCTTTCTATTGACAGAGCAGTTTTGAAACAGTCTTTCTGTGGAATCTGCAAGTAGATATTTGGATAGATTGGAGGATTTCATTGGAAACGGGATTACGTATAAAAAGTAGACAGCAGCATCCTCAGAAACTTCTTTGTGATGTGTGCATTCAAGTCACAGAGTTGAACATTCCCTTTCGTACAGCAGTTTTGAAACACTCTTTCTGTAGTATCTGGAAGTGAACATTAGGACAGCTTTCAGGTCGATGGTGAGAAAGGCAATATCTTCAAATAAAAACTAGACAGAAGCATTCTCATAAACTTGTTTGTGATGTGTGAACTCAGCTTAGAGACGTGGCATCTTTCTTTTGATAGAGCAGTTCTGAAAAACACGTTTTGTTGAATCTGCAAGCGGACATTTGGATAGATTTGAAGATTTCGTTGGAAACGGGAATATCTTCATATCAAATCTAGACAGAAGCATTCTCAGAAACGTCTTTGTGATGTTTGCATTCAACTCATAGAGTTGAACATTCCCTTTCAGAGAGCAGCTTTGAAGCACTCTTTTTGTAGGATGTGCAAGGGGATATTTGGAGCGCTCTGAGGCCTAAGGTGAAAAAGCAAATATCTTCCCATAACCACTAGACAGAAACATTCTCAGAAACTCCTTTATGACGTATGCACTCACCTAACAGAGAAGAACCTTCCTTTTGACAGAGCAGTTTTGATACACTCTTTTTGTAGAATCTGCAAGTGGATATTTGGATAGCTGTGAAGATTTCGTTGGAATCGGGAATATCATCCTATAAAATCTAGACAGAAGCATTCTCAGAAACAGCTCTGTGATGTCTGCATTCAAGTCACAGAGTTGAACATTGCCTTTCATAGAGCAGGTTTGAAACGCTCTTTTTGAAGTATATGGAAGTGGACGTTTCGGACGGTTTGAGGCCCATGGTGATAAAGGGAATATCTTTCCCTACAAGCTACAAACAAGCATTCTGTGAAACTTGTTTGTGATGTGTGTACTCAATTAACAGAGTTGAACCTTACTTTTTAAAGAGCAGTTTTGAAACACTCTTTTTGTAGAATCTGCGAGGGGATATTTGGATAGATTTCAGGATTTCGTTGGAAACGGGAATATCTTCATATAAAATCTCGACAGAAGCATTCTCAGAAACTTCTTTGTGATATGTGCATTCAAGTCACAGAGTTGAATATTCCCTTTCACAGAGTAGGTTTGAAACACTCTTTTTGTAGTATCTGGAAGTGGACATTTGGAGCGCCTTGACACCTACGGTGCAAAGGGAAATATCTTCCCATAAAAACTAGACAGAAGTAATCTCAGAATCTTCTTTGGGATATATGCACGCAGCTAACAGAGTTGAACCTTTCTATTGACAGAGCAGTTTTGAAACAGTCTTTCTGTGGAATCTGCAAGTGGATATTTGGATGGCTTGGAGGATTTCGTTGGAAACGGGATTACGTATAAAAATTGGACAGCAGCATTCTCAGAAACTTCTTTGTGATGTGTGCATTCAAGTCAAAGTGTTGAACATTCCCTTTCGTACAGCAGTTTTGAAACACTCTTTCTGTAGTATCTGGAAGTGAACGTGATGAGAGCTTTCAGGTCTATGGTAAGAAAGGAAATATCTTCAAATAAAAACTAGACAGAAGCATTCTCATAAACTTGTTTGTGATGTGTGAACTCAGCTAACAGAGGTGGATCTTTCTTTTTATAGAGCAGTTCTGAAAAACACTTTTTGTTGAATCTGCAAGTGGACATTTGGATAGATTTGAAGATTTCGTTGGAAACGGGAATATCTTCATATCAAATCTAGACAGAAGCATTCTCAGAAACGTCTTTGGGATGTTTGCATTCAACTCATAGAGTTGAACATTCCGTTTCAGAGACCAGCTTTGAAGCACTCTTTTTGTAGTATGTGCAAGTGGATATTTGGAGCGCTCTGAGGCCTACGGTGAAAAAGCAAATATCTTCCCATAACCACTAGACAGAAACATTCTCAGAAACTCCTTTATGACGTATGTACTCAACTAACGGAGAAGAACCTTCCTTTTGACAGAGCAGTTTTGATACACTCTTTTTGTAGAATCTGCAAGTGGATATTTGGATAGCTGTGAAGATTTCGTTGGAAACGGGAATATCTTCCTGTAAAATCTAGACAGAAGCATTCTCAGGAACTGCTCTGCGATGTCTGTATTCAAGTCACAGAGTTGAACATTGCCTTTCATAGAGCAGGTTTGAAACGCTCTTTTTGTAGTATATGGAAGTGGACGTTTCGGACGGTTTGAGGCCCATGGTGATAAAGGGAATATCTTCCCCTACAAGCTAGAAAGAAGCATTCTGTGAAACTTGTTTGTGATGTGTGTACTCAACTAACAGAGTTGAACCTTTCTTTTTACAGAGCAGTTTTGAAACACTCTTTTTGTAGAATCTGCGATGGGATATTTGGATACATTTCAGCATTTCGTTGGAAACGGGAATATCTTCATATAAAATCTCGACAGAAGCATTCTCAGAAACTTCTTTGTGATATGTGCATTCAAGTCACAGAGTTGAATATTCCCTTTCACAGAGTAGGTTTGAAACACTCTTTTTGTAGTATCTGGAAGTGGACATTTGGAGCGCCTCGACGCCTACGGTGAAAAGGGCAATATCTTCCCATAAAAACTAGACAGAAGCAATCTCAGAATCTTCTTTGGGATATATGCACGCAGCTAACAGAGTTGAACCTTTCTATTGACAGAGCAGTTTTGAAACAGTCTTTCTGTGGAATCTGCAAGTGGATATTTGGATAGCTTGGAGGATTTCCTTGGAAACGGGATTACGTATAAAAAGTAGACAGCAGCATCCTCAGAAACTTCTTTGTGATGTGTGCATTCAAGTCACAGAGTTGAACATTCCCTTTCGTACAGCAGTTTTGAAACACTCTTTCTGTAGCATATGGAAGTGAACATTAGAACAGCTTTCAGGTCTATCGTGAGAAAGGAAATATCTTCAAATAAAAACTAGACAGAAGCATTCTGATAAACTTGTTTGTGAAGTGTGATCTCAGCTAACAGAGGTGGATCTTTCTTGTGATAGAGCAGTTCTGAAAAACACTTTGTTGAATCTGCAAGTGGACATTTGGATAGATTTGAAGATTTCGTTGGAAACGGGAATATCTTCATATCAAATCTAGACAGAAGCATTCTCAGAAACGTCTTTGTGATGTTTGCATTCAACTCATAGAGTTGAACATTCCGTTTCAGAGAGCAGCTTTGAAGCACACTTTTTGTAGTATGTGCAAGGGGATATTTGGAGCGCTCCGAGGCCTAAGGTGAAAAAGCAAATATCTTCCCATAACCACTAGACAGAAACATTGTCAGAAACTCCTTTATGACGTATGCACTCACCTAACAGAGAAGAACCTTCCTTTTGACAGAGCAGTTTTGATACACTCTTTTTGTAGAATCTGCAAGTGGATATTTGGATAGCTGTGAAGATTTCGTTGGAAACGGGAATATCTTCCTATAAAATCTAGACAGAAGCATTCTCAGAAACTGCTCTGTGATGTCTGCATTCAAGTCACAGAGTTGAACATTGCCTTTCATAGAGCAGGTTTGAAACGCTCTTTTTGTAGTATATGGAAGTGGACGTTTCGGACGGTATGAGGCCCATGGTGATAAAGGGAATATCTTCCCCTACAAGCTAGAAAGAAGCATTCTGTGAAACTTGTTTGTGATGTGTGTACTCAACTAACAGAGTTGAACCTTTCTTTTTACAGTGCAGTTTTGAAACACTCTTTTTGTAGAATCTGCGAGGGGATATTTGGATAGATTTCAGGATTTCGTTGGAAACGGGAGTATCTTCATATAAAATCTCGACAGAAGCATTCTCAGAAACTTCTTTGTGATATCTGCCTTTAAGTCACAGAGTTGAATATTCCCTTTCACAGAGTAGGTTTGAAACACTCTATTTGTAGTATCTGGAAGTGGACATTTGGAGCGCCTTGACACCTACGGTGAAAAGGGAAATATCTTCCCATAAAAACTAGACAGAAGCAATCTCAGAATCTTCTTTGGGATATATGCACGCAGCTAACAGAGTTGAACCTTTCTATTGACAGAGCAGTTTTGAAACAGTCTTTCTGTGGAATCTGCAAGTGGATATTTGGATAGCTTGGAGGATTTCGTTGGAAACGGGATTACGTATATAAAGTAGACCACAGCATCCTCAGAAACATCCTTGTGATGTGTGCATTCAAGTCACAGAGTTGAACATTCCCTTTCGTACAGCAGATTTGAAACACTCTTTCTGTAGTATCTGGAAGTGAACTTTAGGACAGCTTTCAGGTCTATAGTGAGAAAGGATATATCTTCAAATAAAAACTAGACGGAAGCATTCTCATAAACTTGTTTGTGATGTGTGAACTCAGCTAACAGAGGTGGATCTTTCTTTTGATAGAGCAGTTCTGAAAAACACTTTTTGTTGAATCTGCAAGTGGACATTTGGATAGATGTGAAGATTTCGTTGGAAACGGGAATATCTTCATATCCAATCTAGACAGAAGCATTCTCAGAAACGTCTTTGTGATGTTTGCATTCAACTCATAGAGTTGAACATTCCCGTTTCAGAGACCAGCTTTGAAGCACTCTTTTTGTAGTATGTGCAAGTGGATATTTGGAGCGCTCTGAGGCCTACGGTGAAAAAGCAAATATCTTCCCATAACCACTAGACAGAAACATTCTCAGAAACTCCTTTATGACGTATGCACTCTCCTAACAGAAAAGAACCTTCCTTTTGACAGAGCAGTTTTGATACACTCTTTTTGTAGAATCTGCAAGTGGATATTTGGATAGCTGTGAAGATTTCGTTGGAAACGGGAATATCTTCCTATAAAATCTAGACAGAAGCATTCTCAGAAACTGCTCTGTGATGTCTGCATTCAAGTCACAGAGTTGAACATTGCCTTTCATAGAGCAGATTTGAAACGCTCTTTTTGTAGTATATGGAACTGGATGTTTCGGACGGTTGGAGGCCCATGGTGATAAAGGGAATATCTTCCCCTACAAGCTAGAAAGAAGCATTCTGTGAAGCTTGTTTGTGATGTGTGTACTCAACTAACAGAGTTGAACCTTTCTTTTTACAGAGCAGTTTTGAAGCACTCTTTTTGTAGAATCTGCGAGGGGATATTTGGATAGATTTCAGGATTTCCTTGGAAACGGGAATATCTTCATATAAAATCTCGACAGAAAGCATTCTCAGAAACTTCTTTGTGATATCTGCCTTCAAGTCACAGAGTTGAATATTCCCTTTCACAGAGTAGGTTTGAAACACTCTTTTTGTAGTATCTGGAAGTGGACATTTGGAGCGCCTTGACGCCTACGGTGAAAAGGGAAATATCTTCCCATAAAAACTAGACAGAGCAATCTCAGAATCTTCTTTGGGATATATGGACGCAGCTAACAGAGTTGAACCTTTCTATTGACAGAGCAGTTTTGAAACAGTCTTTCTGTGGAATCTGCAAGTGGATATTTGGATAGCTTGTAGGATTTCGTTGGAAACGGGATTACGTATAAAAAGTAGACAGCAGCATCCTCAGAAACTTCTTTGTGATGTGTGCGTTCAAGTCACAGAGTTGAACATTCCCTTTCGTACAGCAGTTTTGAAACACTCTTTCTGTAGTATCTGGAAGTGAACATTAGGACAGCTTTCAGGTCTATGGTGAGAAAGGAAATATCTTCAAATAAAAACTAGACAGAAGCATTCTCATAAACTTGTTTGTGATGTGTGAACTCAGCTAACAGAGGTGGATCTTTCTTTTGATAGAGCAGTTCTGAAAAACACGTTTTGTTGAATCTGCAAGTGGACATTTCGATAGATTTGAAGATTTCGTTGGAAACGGGAATATCGTCATATCAAATCTAGACAGAAGCATTCTCAGAAACGTCTTTGTGATGTTTGCATTCAACTCATAGAGTTGAACATTCCGTTTCAGAGAGCAGCTTTGAAGCACTCTTTTTGTAGTATGTGCAAGTGGATATTTGGAGTGCTCTGAGGCCTACGGTGAAAAAGCAAATATCTTCCCATAACCACTAGACAGAAACATTCTCAGAAACTCCTTTATGACGTATGTACTCAACTAACAGAGAAGAAACTTCCTTTTGACAGAGCAGTTTTGATACACTCTTTTTGTAGAATCTGCAAGTGGATATTTGGATAGCTGTGAAGATTTCGTTGGAAACGGGAATATCTTCCTATAAAATCCAGACAGAAGCATTCTCAGAAACTGCTCTGTGATGTCTGCATTCAAGTCACAGAGTTGAACATTGCTTTTCCTAGAGAAGGTTTGAAACGCTCTTTTTGTAGTATATGGAAGTAGACTTTTCGGACGGTTTGAGGCCCATGGTGATAAAGGGAATATCTTCCCCTACAAGCTAGAAAGAAGCATTCTGTGAAACTTGTTTGTGATGTGTGTACTCAACTAACAGAGTTGAACCTTTCTTTTTACAGAGCAGTTTTGAAACACTCTTTTTGTAGAATCTGCGAGGGGATATGTGGATAGATTTCAGGATTTCGTTGGAAACGGGAATATCTTCATATAAAATCTCGACAGAAGCATTCTCAGAAACTTCTTTGTGATATGTGCATTCAAGTCACAGAGTTGAATATTCCCTTTCACAGTAGTAGGTTGGAAACACTCTTTTTGTAGTATCTGGAAGTGGACATTTGGAGCGCCTTGACACCTACGGTGAAAAGGGAAATATCTTCCCATAAAAACTAGACAGAAGCAATCTCAGAATCTTCTTTGGGATATATGCACGCAGCTAACAGAGTTGAATCTTTCTATTGACAGAGCAGATTTGAAACAGTCTTTCTGTGGAATCTGCAAGTGGATATTTGGATAGATTGGAGGATTTCTTTGGAAACGGGATTACGTATAAAAAGTAGACAGCAGCATCCTCAGAAACTTCCTTGTGATGTGTGCACTCAAGTCACAGAGTTGAAAATTCCCTTTCGTACAGCAGGTTTGAAACACTCTTTCTGTAGTATCTGGAAGTGAACTTTAGGAGAGCTTTCAGGTCTATAGTGAGGAAGGATATATCTTCAAATAAAAACTAGACAGAAGCATTCTCATAAACTTGTTTGTGATGTGTGAACTCAGCTAACAGAGGTGGATCTTTCTTTTGATAGAGCAGTTCTGAAAAACACTTTCTGTTGAATCTGCAAGTGGACATTTGGATAGATTTGAAGATTTCGTTGGAAACGGGAATATCTTCATATCAAATCTAGACAGAAGCATTCTCAGAAACGTCTTTGTGATGTTTGCATTCAACTCATAGAGTTGAACATTCCCTTTCAGAGAGCAGCTTTGAAGCACTTTTTGTAGCATGTGCAAGTGGACATTTGGAGCGCCCTGAGGCCTACGGGGAAAAAGCAAATATCTTCCCATAACCACTAGACAGAAACATTTTCAGAAACTCCTTTATGACGTATGCACTCACCTAACAGAGAAGAACCTTCCTTTTGACAGAGCAGTTTTGATACACTCTTTTTGTAGAATCTGCAAGTGGATATTTGGATACCTGTGAAGATTTCGTTGGAAACGGGAATATCTTCCTATAAAATCTAGACAGAAGCATTCTCAGAAACTGCTACTGTGATGTCTGCATTCAAGTCACAGAGTTGAACATTGCCTTTCATAGAGCAGGTTTGAAATGCTCTTTTTGTAGTATATGGAAGTGGACGTTTCAGACGGTTTGAGGCCCATGGTGATAAAGGGAATATCTTCCCCTACAAGCTAGAAAGAAGCATTCTGTGAAACTTGTTTGTGATGTGTGTACTCATCTAACAGAGTTGAACCTTTCTTTTTACAGAGCAGTTTTGAAACACTCTTTTTGTAGAATCTGCGAGGGGATATTTGGATAGATTTCAGGATTTCGTTGGAAACGGGAATATCTTCATATAAAATCTCGACAGAAGCATTCTCAGAAACTTCTTTGTGATATGTGCATTCAAGTCACAGAGTTGAATATTCCCTTTCACAGAGTAGGTTTGAAACACTCTTTTTGTAGTATCTGGAAGTGGACATTTGGAGCGTCCTTGGCGCCTACGGTGAAAAGGGAAATATCTTCCCATAAAAACTAGACAGCAGCAATCTCAGAATCTTCTTTGGGATATATGCACGCAGCTAACAGAGTTGAACCTTTCTATTGACAGAGCAGTTTTGAAACAGTCTTTCTGTGGAATCTGCAAGTGGATATTTGGATAGCTTGGAGGATTTCGTTGGAAACGGGATTACGTATAAAAGTAGACAGCAGCATCCTCAGAAACTTCTTTGTGATGTGTGCATTCAAGTCACAGAGTTCAACATTCCCTTTCGTACAGCAGTTTTGAAACACTCTTTCTGTAGTATCTGGAAGTGAACATTAGGACAGCTTTCAGGTCTATGGTGAGAAAGGAAATATCTTCAAATAAAAACTAGACACAAGCATTCTCATAAACTTGTTTGTGATCTGTGAACTCAGCTAAGAGACGTGGATCTTTCTTTTGATAGAGCAGTTCTGAAAAACACTTTTTGTTGAATCTGCAAGTGGACATTTGGATAGATTTGAAGATTTCTTTGGAAACGAGAATATCTTCATATCAAATCTAGACAGAAGCATTCTCAGAAACGTCTTTGTGATGTTTGCATTCAACTCATAGAGTTGAACATTCCCTTTCCGAGAGCAGCTTTGAAGCACTCTTTTTGTAGTATGTGCAAGTGGATATTTGGAGCGCTCTGAGGCCTACGGTGAAAAAGCAAATATCTTCCCATAACCACTAGACAGAAACATTCTCAGAAACTCCTTTATGACGTATGCACTCACCTAACAGAGAAGAACCTTCCTTTCGACAGAGCAGTTTTGATACACTCTTTTTGTGGAATCTGCAAGTGGATATTTGGATAGCTGTGAAGATTTCGTTGGAAACGGGAATATCTTCCTATAAAATCTAGACAGAAGCATTCTCAGAAACTGCTCTGTGATGTCTGCATTCAAGTCACAGAGTTGAACATTGCCTTTCATAGAGCACGTTTGAAACGCTCTTTTTGTAGTATATGGAAGTGGACGTTTCGGACGGTTTGTGGCCCATGGTGATAAAGGGAATATCTTCCCCTACAAGCTAGAAAGAAGCATTATGTGAAACTTGTTTGTGAGGTGTGTACTCAACTAACAGAGTTGAACCTTTCTTTTTACAGAGCAGTTTTGAAACACTCTTTTTGTAGAATCTGCGAGGGGATATTTGGATAGATTTCAGGATTTCGTTGGAAAGGGGAATATCTTCATATAAAATCTCGACAGAAGCATTCTCAGAAACTTCCTTGTGATATGTGCATTCAAGTCACAGAGTTGAATATTCCCTTTCACAGAGTAGGTTTGAAACACTCTTTTTGTAGTATCTGGAAGTGGACATTTGGAGCGCCCTGACGCCTACGGTGAAAAGGGAAATATCTTCCCATAAAAACTAGACAGAAGCAATCTCCGAATCTTCTTTGGGATATATGCACGCAGCTAATAGAGTTGAACTTTTCTATTGACAGAGCAGATTTGAAACAGTCTTTCTGTGGAATCTGCAAGTGGATATTTGGATAGCCTGGAGGATTACGTTGGAAACGGGATTACGTATAAAAAGTAGACAGCAGCATCCTCAGAAACATCCTTGTGATGTGTGCATTCAAGTCACAGAGTTGAACATTCCCTTTCATACAGCAGTTTTGAAACACTCTTTCTGTAGTATCTGGAAGTGAACTTTAGGACAGCTTTCAGGTCTATAGTGAGAAAGGATATATCTTCAAATAAAAACTAGACAGAAGCATTCTGATAAACTTGTTTGTGAAGTGTGAACTCAGCTAACAGAGGTGGATCTTTCTTTTGATTGAACAGTTCTGAAAAACACTTTTTGTTGAATCTGCAAGTGGACATTTGGATAGATTTGAAGATTTCGTTGGAAACGGGAATATCTTCATATCAAATCTAGACAGAAGCATTCTCAGAAACGTCTCTGTCATGTTTGCATTCAACTCATAGAGTTGAACATTCCCTTTCAGAGAGCAGCTTTGAAACATTCTTTTTGTAGTATGTGCAAGTGGATATTTGGAGCGCTCTGAGGCCTACGGTGAAAAAGAAAATATCTTCCCATAACCACTAGACAGAAACATTCTCAGAAACTCCTTTATGACGTAAGCACTCACCTAACAGAGAAGAACCTTCCTTTTGACAGAGCAGTTTTGTTACACTCTTTTTGTAGAATCTGCAAGTGGATATTTGGATACCTGTGAAGATTTCGTTGGAAACGGGAATATCTTCCTATAAAATCTAGACAGAAGCATTCTCAGAAACTGCTCTGTGATGTCTGCATTCAAGTCACAGAGTTGAACATTGCCGTTCATAGAGCAGGTTTGAAACACTCTTTTTGTAGGATATGGAAGTGGACGTTTCGGACGGTTTGAGGCCCATGGTGATAAAGGGAATATCTTCCCCTACAAGCTAGAAAGAAGCATTCTGTGAAACTTGTTTGTGATGTGTGTACTCAACTAACAGAGGTGAACCTTTCTTTTTACAGAGCAGTTTTGAAACACTCTTTTTGTAGAATCTGCGAGGGGATATTTGGATACATTTCAGGATTTCGTTGGAAACGGGAATATCTTCATATAAAATCTCTACAGAAGCATTCTCAGAAACTTCCTTGTGATATGTGCATTCAAGTCACAGAGTTGAATATTCCCTTTCACAGAGTAGGTTTGAAACACTCTTTTTGTAGTATCTGGAAGTGGACATTTGGAGCGCCTTGACACCTACGGTGAAAAGGGAAAAATCTTCCCATAAAAACTAGACAGAAGCAATCTCAGAATCTTCTTTGGGATATATGCACGCAGCTAACAGAGTTGAAGCTTTCTATTGACAGAGCAGTTTTGAAACAGTCTTTCTGTGGAATCTGCAAGTGGATATTTGGATAGCTTTGAGGATTTCGTTGGAAACGGGATTACGTATAAAAAGTAGACAGCAGCATCCTCAGAAACTTCTTTGTGATGTGTGCATTCAAGTCACAGAGTTGAACATTCCCTTTCGTACAGCAGTTTTGAAACACTCTTTCTGTAGTATCTGGAAGTGAACATTAGGACAGCTTTCAGCTCTATGGTAAGAAAGGAAATATCTTCAAATAAAAACTAGACAGAAGCATTCTCATAAACTTCTTTGTGATGTGTGAACTCAGCTAACCGAGGTGGATCTTTCTTTTGATAGAGCAGTTCTGAAAAACACTTTTTGTTGAATCTGCAAGTGGACATTTGGATAGATATGAAGATTTCGTTGGAAACGGGAATAACTTCATTTCAAATCTAGACAGAAGCATTCTCAGAAACGTCTTTGTGATGTTTGCATTCAACTCATAGAGTTGAACATTCCCTTTCAGAGAGCAGCTTTGAAGCACTCTTTTTGTAGTATGTGCAAGGGGATATTTGGAGCGCTCTGAGGCCTAAGGTGAAAAATCAAATATCTTCCCATAACCACTAGACAGAAACATTCTCAGAAACTCCTTTATGACGTATGCACTCAACTAACAGAGAAGAACCTTCCTTTTGACAGAGCAGTTTTGATACACTCTTTTTGTAGAATCTGCAAGTGGATATTTGGATACCTGTGAAGATTTCGTTGGAAACGGGAATATCTTCCTATAAAATCTAGACAGAAGCATTCTCAGAAACTGCTCTGTGATGTCTGCATTCAAGTCACAGAGTTCAACATTGCCTTTCATAGAGCAGGTTTGAAATGCTCTTTTTGTAGTATATGGAAGTGGACTTTTCGGACGGTTTGAGGCCCATGGTGATAAAGGGAATATCTTCCCCTACAAGCTAGAAAGAAGCATTCTGTGAAACTTGTTTGTGATGTGTGTACTCAACTAACAGAATTGAACCTTTCTTTTCACAGAGCAGTTTTGAAACACTCTTTTTGTAGAATCTGCGAGGGGATATTTGGATAGATTTCAGGATTTCGTTGGAAACGGGAATATCTTCATATAAAATCTCGACAGAAGCATTCTCAGAAACTTCTTTGTGATATCTGCATTCAAGTCACAGAGTTGAATATTCCCTTTCACAGAGTAGGTTTGAAACACTCTTTTTGTAGTGTCTGGAAGTGGACATTTGGAGCACATTGACACCTACTTTGAAAAGGGAAATATCTTCCCATAAAAACTAGACAGAAGCAATCTCAGAATCTTCTTTGGGATATTTGCACGCAGCTAACAGAGTTGAACCTTTCTATTGACAGAGCAGTTTTGAAACAGTCTTTCTGTGGAATCTGCAAGTGGATATTTGGATAGCTTGGAGGATTTCATTGGAAACGGGATTACGTATAAAAATTAGACAGCAGCATCCTCAGAAACTTCTTTGTGATGTGTGCATTCAAGTCACAGAGTTGAACATTCCCTTTCGTACAGCAGTTTTGAAACACTCTTTCTGTAGTAACTGGAAGTGAACATTAGGACAGCTTTCAGGTGTATGGTGAGAAAGGAAATATCTTCAAATAAAAACTAGACAGAAGCATTCTCATAAACTTGTTTGTGATGTGTGAACTCAGCTAACAGAGGTGGATCTTTCGTTTGATAGAGCAGTTCTGAAAAACACTTTTTGTTGAATCTGCAAGTGGACATTTGGATAGATTTGAAGATTTCGTTGGAAACGGGAATATCTTCATATCAAATCTAGACAGAAGCATTCTCAGAAACGTCTTTGTGATGTTAGCATTCAACTCATAGAGTTGAACATTCCCGTTCAGAGAGCAGCTTTGAAGCACTCTTTTTGTAGTATGTGCAAGTGGATATTTGGAGCGCTCTGAGGCCTATGGTGAAAAAGCAAATATCTTCCCATAACCACTAGACAGAAGCATTCTCAGAAACTCCTTTATGACGTATGCACTCACCTAACAGAAAAGAACCTTCCTTTTGACAGAGCAGTTTTGATACACTCTTTTTGTAGAATCTGCAAGTGGATATTTGGATAGCTGTGAAGATTTCGTTGGAAACGGGAATATCTTCCTATAAAATCTAGACAGAAGCATTCTCAGAAACTGCTCTGTGATGTCTGCATTCAAGTCACAGAGTTGAACATTGCCTTTCATAGAGCAGGTTTGAAACGCTCTTTTTGTAGTATATGGAAGTGGACGTTTCGGACGGTTTGAGGCCCATGGTGATAAAGGGAATATCTTCCCCTACTAGCTAGAAAGAAGCATTGTGTGAAACTTGTTTGTGATGTGTGTACTCAACTAACAGAGTTGAACCTTTCTTTTTACAGAGCAGTTTTGAAACACTCGTTTTGTAGAATCTGCGAGGGGATATTTGGATAGATTTCAGGATTTCGTTGGAAACGGGAATATCTTCATATAAAATCTCGACAGAAGCATTCTCAGAAACTTCTTTGTGATATCTCCATTCAAGTCACCGAGTTGAATATTCCCTTTCACAGAGTAGGTTTGAAACACTCTTTTTGTAGTATCTGGAAGTGGACATTTGGAGCGCCTTGACGCCTACGGTGAAAAGGGAAATATCTTCCCATAAAAACTAGACAGAAGCAATCTCAGAATCTTCTTTGGGATATATGCACGCAGCTAACACAGTTGAACCTTTCTATTGACAGAGCAGTTTTGAAACAGTCTTTCTGTGGAATCTGCAAGTGGATATTTGGAGAGCTTGGAGGATTTCGTTGGAAACGGGATTACGTATAAAAAGTAGACAGCAGCATCCTCAGAAACTTCTTTGTGATGTGTGCATTCAAGTCACAGAGTTGAACATTCCCTTTCGTACAGCAGTTTTGAAACACTCTTTCTGTAGTATCTGGAAGTGAACATTAGGACAGCTTTCAGGTCTATGGTGAGAAAGGAAATATCTTCAAATAAAAAGTAGACAGAAGCATTGTCATAAACTTGTTTGTGATGTGTGAACTCAGCTAACAGAGGTGGATCTTTCTTTTGATAGAGCAGTTCTGAAAAACACGTTTTGTTGAATCTGCAAGTGGACATTTGGATAGATTTGAAGATTTCGTTGGAAACGGGAATATCTTCATATCAAATCTAGACAGAAGCATTCTCAGAAACGTCTTTGTGATGTTTGCATTCAACTCATAGAGTTGAACATTCCGTTTCAGAGAGCAGCTTTGAGGCACTCTTTTTGTAGTATGTGCAAGTGGATATTTGGAGCGCTCTGAGGCCTAAGGTGAAAAAGCAAATATCTTCCCATAACCACTAGACAGAAACATTCTCAGAAACTCCTTTATGACGTATGCACTCACCTAACAGAAAAGAACCTTCCTTTTGACAGAGCAGTTTTGATACACTCTTTTTGTAGAATCTGCAAGTGGATATTTGGATAGCTGTGAAGATTTCGTTGGAAACGGGAATATCTTCCTATAAAATCTATACAGAAGCATTCTCAGAAACTGCTCTGTGATGTCTGCATTCAACTCACAGAGTTGAACATTGCCTTTCATAGAGCAGGTTTGAAATGCTCTTTTTGTAGTATATGGAAGTGGACGTTTCAGACGGTTTGAGGCCCATGGTGATAAAGGGAATATCTTCCCCTACAAGCTAGAAAGAAGCATTCTGTGAAACTTGTTTGTGATGTGTGTACTCAACCAACAGAGTTGAACCTTTCTTTTTACAGAGCAGTGTTGAAACACTCTTTTTGTAGAATCTGCGAGGGGATATTTGGATAGATTTCAAGATTTCGTTGGAAACGGGAATATCTTCATATAAAATCTCGACAGAAGCATTCTCAGAAACTTCTTTGTGATATGTGCATTCAAGTCACAGAGTTGAATATTCCCTTTCACAGAGTAGGTTTGGAACACTCTTTTTGTAGTATCTGGAAGTGGACATTTGGAGCGCCTTGACGCCTACGGTGAAAAGGGAAATATCTTCCCATAAAAACTAGACAGAAGCAATCTCAGAATCTTCTTTGGGATATATGCACGCAGCTAACAGAGTTGAACATTTCTATTGACAGAGCAGTTTTGAAACAGTCTTTCTGTGGAATCTGTAAGTGGATATTTGGATAGATTGGAGGATTTCGTTGGAAACGGGATTACGTATAAAAAGTAGACAGCAGCATCCTCAGAAACTTCTTTGTGATGTGTGCATTCAAGTCACAGAGTTGAACATTCCCTTTCGTACAGCAGTTTTGAAACACTCTTTCTGTAGTATCTGGAAGTGAACATTAGGACAGCTATCAGGTCTATGGTGAGAAAGGAAATATCTTCAAATAAAAACTAGACAGAAGCATTCTCATAAACTTGTTTGTGATGTGTGAACTCAGCTAACAGAGGTGGATCTTTCTTTTGATAGAGCAGTTCTGAAAAACACTTTTTGTTGAATCTGCAAGTGGACATTTGGATAGATTTGAAGATTTCATTGGAAACGGGAATATCTTTATATCAAATCTAGACAGAAGCATTCTCAGAAACGTCTTTGTGATGTTTGCATTCAACTCATAGAGTTGAACATTCCGTTTCAGAGAGCAGCTTTGAGGCACTCTTTTTGTAGTATGTGCAAGTGGATATTTGGAGCTCTCTGAGGCCTACGGTGAAAAAGCAAATATCTTCCCATAACCACTAGACAGAAACATTCTCAGAAACTCCTTTATGACGTATGCACTCACCTAACAGAGAAGAACCTCCCTTTTGACAGAGCAGTTTTGATACACTCTTTTTGTAGAATCTGCAAGTGGATATTTGGATACCTGTGAAGATTTTGTTGGAAACGGGAATATCTTCCTATAAAATCTAGACAGAAGCATTCTCAGAAACTGCTATGTGATGTCTGCATTCAAGTCACAGAGTTGAACATTGCCTTTCCTAGAGCAGGTTTTAAACGCTCTTTTTGTAGTATATGGAAGTGGACGTTTCGGACGGTTTGAGGCCCATGGTGATAAAGGGAATATCTTCCCCTACAAGCTAGAAAGAAGCATTCTGTGAAACTTGTTTGTGATGTGTGTACTCAACTAACAGAGTTGAACCTTTCTTTTTGCAGAGCAGTTTTGAAACACTCTTTTGTAGAATCTGCGAGGGGATATTTGGATAGATTTCAGGATTTCATTGGAAACGGGAATATCTTCATATAAAATCTCGACAGAAGCATTCTCAGAAACTTCTTTGTGATATCTGCATTCAAGTCACAGAGTTGAATATTCACTTTCACAGAGTAGGTTTGAAACACTCCTTTTGTAGTATCTGGAAGTGGACATTTGGAGCGCCTTGACGCCTACGGTGAAAAGGGAAATATCTTCCCATAAAAACTAGACAGAAGCAATCTCAGAATTTTCTTTGGGATATATGCACACAGCTAACAGAGTTGAACTTTTCTATTGACATAGCAGTTTTGAAACAGTCTTTCGGTGGAATCTGCAAGTGGATATTTGGATAGCTTGGAGGATTTCGTTGGAAATGGGATTACGTATAAAAAGTAGACAGCAGCATCCTCAGAAACTTCTTTGTGATGTGTGCATTCAAGTCACAGAGTTGAACATTTCCTTTCGTACAGCAGTTTTGAAACACTCTTTCTGTATTATCTGGAAGTGAACATTAAGACAGCTTTCAGCTCTATGGTGAGAAAGGAAATATCTTCAAATAAAAACTGGACAGAAGCATTCTCATAAACTTGTTTGTGATGTGTGAACTCAGCTAACCAGAGGGGGATCTTTCTTTTGATAGAGCAGTTCTGAAAAACACTTTTTGTTGAATCTGCAAGTGGACATTTGGATAGATTTGAAGATTTCGTTGGAAACGGGAATATCTTCATATCAAATCTAGACAGAAGCATTCTCAGAAACGTCTTTGTGATGTTTGCATTCAACTCATAGAGTTGAACAATTCCCTTTCAGAGAGCAGCTTTGAAGCACTCTTTTTGTAGTATGTGCAAGGGGATATTTGGAGCGCTCTGAGGCCTAAGGTGAAAAAGCAAATATCTTCCCATAACCACTAGACAGAAACATTCTCAGAAACTCCTTTATGACGTATGCACTCACCTAACAGAGAAGAACCTTCCTTTTGACAGAGCAGTTTTGATACACTCTTTTTGTAGGATCTGCAAGTGGATATTTGGATAGCTGTGAAGATTTCGTTGGAAACGGGAATATCTTCCTATAAAATCTAGACAGAAGCATTGTCAGAAACTGCTCTGTGATGTCTGCATTCAAGTCACAGAGTTGAACATTGCCTTTCATAGAGCAGCTTTCAAACACTCTTTTTTTAGTATATGGAAGTGGACGTTTCGGACGGTTTGAGGCCCATGGTGATAAAGGAAATATCTTCCCCTACAAGCTAGAAAGAAGCATTCTGTGAAACTTGTTTGTGATGTGTGTACTCAACTAACAGAGTTGAACCTTTCTTTTTACAGAACAGTTTTGAAACACTCTTTTGTAGAATCTGCGAGGGGATATTTGGATAGATTTCAGGATTTCGTTGGAAACGGGAATAACTTCATATAAAATCTCGACAGAAGCATTCTCAGAAACTTCTTTGTGATATCTGCCTTCAAGTCACAGAGTTGAATATTCCCTTTCACAGAGTAGGTTTGAAACACTCTTTTTGTAGTATCTGGAAGTGGACATTTGGAGCGCCTTGACGCCTACGGTGAAAAGGGTAATATCTTCCCATAAAAACTAGACAGAAGCAATCTCAGAATCTTCTTTGGGATATATGCACGCAGCTAACAGAGTTGAACCTTTCTATTGACAGAGCAGTTTTGAAACAGTCTTTCTGTGGAATCTGCAAGTGGATATTTGGATAGCTTGGAGGATTTCGTTGGAAACAGGATTACGTATAAAAAGTAGACAGCAGCATCCTCAGAAACTTCCTTGTGATGCGTGCATTCAAGTCACAGAGTTGAATATTCCCTTTCGTACAGCAGTTTTGAAACACTCTTTCTGTAGTATCTGGAAGTGAACTTTAGGAGAGCTTTCAGGTCTATAGTGAGAAAGGATATATCTTCAAATAAAAACTAGACAGAAGCATTCTCATGTGTGATGTGTGAACTCAGCTAACAGAGGTGGATCTTTCTTTTCATACAGCAGTTTTGAAAAACACTTTTTGTTGAATCTGCAAGTGGACATTTGGATAGATTTGAAGATTTCGTTGGAAACGGGAATATCTTCATATCAAATCTAGACAGAAGCTTTCTCAGAAACGTCTTTGTGATGTTTGCATTCAACTCATAGAGTTGAACATTCCGTTTCAGAGAGCAGCTTTGAGGCACTCTTTTTGTAGTATGTGCAAGTGGATATTTGGAGCGCTCTGAGGCCTACGGTGAAAAAGCAAATATCTTCCCATAACCACTAGACAGAAACATTCTCAGAAACTCCTTTATGACGTATGCACTCACCCAACAGAGAAGAACCTTCCTTTTGACAGAGCAGTTTTGATACACTCTTTTTGTAGTATCTGCAAGTGGATATTGGGATAGCTGTGAAGATTTCGTTGGAAACGGGAATATCTTCCTATAAAATCTAGACAGAAGCATTCTCAGAAACTGCTCTGTGATGTCTGCATTCAAGTCACAGAGTTGAACATTACCTTTCATAGAGCAGGTTTGAAACGCTCTTTTTGTAGTATATGGAAGTGGACGTTTCGGACGGTTTGAGGCCCATGGTGATAAAGGGAATATCTTCCCCTACAAGCTAGAAAGAAGCATTCTGTGAAACTTGTTTGTGATGTGTTTACTCAACTAACAGAGTTGAACTTTTCTTTTGATAGAGCAGTTTTCAAACATTCTTTTTTGTAGAGTCTGCAAGTGGATATTTGGCTAGCTTTGAGGATTTTGTTGGAAACGGGAATATCTTCACATAAAAACTAGGCAGAAGCATTCTCAGAAACTTCTTTGTGATATCTGCATTCAAGTCACAGAGTTGAATATTCCCTTTCACAGAGTAGGTTTGAAACACTCTTTTTGTAGTATCTGGAAGTGGACATTTGGAGCGCCTTGACGCCTAAGGTGAAAAGGGAAATATCTTCCCATAAAAACTAGACAGAAGCAATCTCAGAATCTTCTTTGGGATATATGCACGCAGCTAACAGAGTTGAACTTTTCTATTGACAGAGCAGTTTTGAAACAGTCTTTCTGTGGAATCTGCAAGTGGATATTTGGATAGATTGGAGGATTTCGTTGGAAACGGGATTACGTATAAAAAGTAGACAGCAGCATCCTCAGAAACTTCTTTGTGATGTGTGCATTCAAGTCACAGAGTTGAACATTCCCTTTCGTACAGCAGTTTTGAAACACTCTTTCTGTAGTATCTGGAAGTGAACATTAGGACAGCTTTCAGGTCTATGGTGAGAAAGGAAATATCTTCTAATAAAAACAAGACAGAAGCATTCTCATAAACTTGTTTGTGATGTGTGAACTCAGCTAACAGAGGAGGATCTTTCTTTTGATAGAGCAGTTCTGAAAAACACTTTTTGTTGAATCTGCAAGTGGACATTTGGATAGATTTGAAGATTTCGTTGGAAACGGGAATATCTTCATATCAAATCTAGACAGAAGCATTCTCAGAAACGTCTTTGTGATGTTTGCATTCAACTCATAGAGTTGAACATTCCCTTTCAGAGAGCAGCTTTGAAGCACTCTTTTTGTAGTATGTGGAAGTGGATATTTGGAGCGCTCTGAGGCCTACGGTGAAAAAGCAAATATCTTCCCATAACCACTAGACAGAAACATTCTCAGAAACTCCTTTATGACGTATGCACTCACCTAACAGAGAAGAACCTTCCTTTTGACAGAGCAGTTTTGATACACTCTTTTTGTAGAATCTGCAAGTGGATATTTTGATAGCTGTGAAGATTTCGTTGGAATCGGGAATATCTTCCTACAAAATCTAGACAGAAGCATTCTCAGAAACTGCTCTGTGATGTCTGCATTCAAGTCACAGAGTTGAACATTGCCTTTCATTTAGCAGGTTTGAAACGCTCTTTTTGTAGTATATGGAAGTGGACGTTTCGGACTGTTTGAGGCCCATGGTGATAAAGGGAATATCTTCCCCTACAAGCTAGAAAGAAGCATTCTGTGAAACTTATTTGTGATGTGTGTACTCAACTAACAGAGTTGAACCTTTCTTTTTACAGAGCAGTTTTGAAACACTCTTTTTGTAGAATCTGCGAGGGGATATTTGGATAGATTTCAGGATTTCGTTGGAAACGGGAATATCTTCATATAAAATCTCGACAGAAGCATTCTCAGAAACTTCTTTGTGATATGTGCATTCAAGTCACAGTGTTGAATATTCCCTTTCACAGAGTAGGTTTGAAACACTCTTTTTGTTGTATCTGGAAGTGGACATTTGGAGCGCCTTGACACCTACGATGAAAAGGGAAATATCTTCCCATAAAAACTAGACAGAAGCAATCTCAGAATCTTCTTTGGGATATATGCACGCAGCTAACAGAGTTGAACCTTTCTATTGACAGAGCAGTTTTGAAACAGTCTTTCTGTAGAATCTGCAAGTGGATATTTGGATAGCTTGGAGGATTTCATTGGAAACGGGATTACGTATAAAAAGTAGACAGCAGCATCCTCAGAAGCTTCTTTGTGATGTGTGCATTCAAGTCACAGAGTTGAACATTCCCTTTCGTACAGCAGTTTTGAAACACTCTTTCTGTAGTATCTGGGAGTGAACATTAGGACAGCTTTCAGGTCTATGGTGAGAAAGGAAATATCTTCAAATAAAAACTAGACAGAAGCATTCTCATAAACTTGTTTGTGATGTGTGAACTCAGCTAACAGAGGTGGATCTTTCTTTTGATAGAGGAGTTCTGAAAAACACTTTTTGTTGAATCTGCAAGTGGACATTTGGATAGATTTGAAGATTTCTTTGGAAACGGGAATATCTTCATATCAAATCTAGACAGAAGCATTCTCAGAGACGTCTTTGTGATGTTTGCATTCAACTCATAGAGTTGAACATTCCGTTTCAGAGAGCAGCTTTGAGGCACTCTTTTTGTAGTATGTGCAAGTGGATATTTGGAGCGCTCTGAGGCCTACGGTGAAAAAGCAAATATCTTCCCATAACCACTAGACAGAAACATTCTCAGAAACTCCTTTATGACGTATGCACTCACCTAACAGAGAAGAACCTTCCTTTTGACAGAGCACTTTTGATACACTCTTTTTGTAGAATCTGAAAGTGGATATTTGGATAGCTGTGAAGATTTCGTTGGAAACGGGAATATCTTCCTATAAAATACTAGACAGAAGCATTCTCAGAAACTGCTCTGTGATGTCTGCATTCAAGTCACAGAGTTGAACATTGCCTTTCATACAGCAGGTTTGAAACGCTCTTTTTGTAGTATATGGAAGTGGACGTTTCGGACGGTTTGAGGCCCATGGTGATAAAGGGAATATCTTCCCCTACAAGCTAGAAAGAAGCATTCTGTGAAACTTGTTTGTGATGTGTGTACTCAACTAACAGAGTTGAACCTTTCTTTTTAGAGAGCAGTTTTGAAACACTCTTTTTGTAGAATCTGCGAGGGGATATTTGGATACATTTCAGGATTTCGTTGGAAACGGGAATATCTTCATATAAAATCTCGACAGAAGCATTCTCAGAAACTTCTTTGTGATATGTGCATTCAAGTCACAGAGTTGAATATTCCCTTTCACAGAGTAGGTTTGAAACACTCTTTTTGTAGTATCTGGAAGTGGACATTTGGAGCGCCTTGACGCCTACGGTGAAAAGGGAAGTATCTTCCCATCAAAACTAGACAGAAGAAATCTCAGAATCATCTTTGGGATATATGCACGCAGCTAACAGAGTTGAACCTTTCTATTGACAGAGCAGATTAGAAACAGTCTTTCTGTGGAATCTGCAAGTGGATATTTGGATAGCTTGGAGGATTTCGTTGGAAACGGGATTACGTATAAAAAGTAGACAGCAGCATCCTCAGAAAGTTCTTTGTGATGTGTGCATTCAAGTCACAGAGTTGAACATTCCCTTTCGTACAGCAGTTTTGAAACACTCTTTCTGTAGTATCTGGAAGTGAACATTTGGACAGCTTTCAGCTCTATGGTGAGAAAGGAAATATCTTCAAATAAAAACTAGACAGAAGCATTCTCATAAACTTGTTTGTGGTGTGTGAACTCAGCTAACAGAGGTGGATCTTTCTTTTGATAGAGCAGTTCTGAAAAACACTTTTTGTTGAATCTGCAAGTGGACATTTGGATAGATTTGAAGATTTCGTTGGAAACGGGAATATCTTCATATCAAATCTAGACAGAAGCATTGTCAGAAACGTCTTTGTGATGTTTGCATTCAACTCATAGAGTTGAACATTCCCTTTCAGAGAGCAGATTTGAAGCACTCTTTTTGTAGTATGTGCAAGTGGATATTTGGAGCGCTCTGAGGCCTTCGGTGAAAAAGCAAATATCTTCCCATAACCACTAGACAGAAACATTCTCAGAAACCCCTTTATGACGTATGTACTCAAATAACAGAGAAGGACCTTCCTTTTGACAGAGCAGTTTTGATACACTCTTTTTGTAGAATCTGCAAGAGGATATTTGGATAGCTGTGAAGATTTCGTTGGAAACGGGAATACCTTCCTATAAAATCTAGACAGAAGCATTCTCAGAAACTGCTCTGTGATGTCTGCATTCAAGTCACAGAGTTGAACATTGCCTTTCATAGAGCAGGTTTGAAACGCTCTTTTTGTAGTATATGGAAGTGGATGTTTCGGACGGTTGGAGGCCCATGGTGATAAAGGGAATATCTTCCCCTAAAAGCTAGAAAGAAGCATTCTGTGAAACTTGTTTGTGATGTGTGTACTCAACTAACAGAGTTGAACCTTTCTTTTTACAGAGCAGTTTTGAAACTCTCTTTTTGTAGAATCTGCGAGGGGATATTTGTATAGATTTCAGGATTTCGTTGGAAACGGGAATATCTTCATATAAAATCTCGACAGAAGCATTATCAGAAACTTCTTTGTGATATGTGCATTCAAGTCACAGAGTTGAATATTCCCTTTCACAGAGTAGGTTTGAAACACTCTTTTTGTAGTATCTGGAAGTGGACATTTGGAGCGCCTTGACGCCTACGGTGAAAAGGGAAATATCTTCCCATAAAAACTAGACAGAAGCAATCTCAGAATCTTCTTTGGGATATATGCACGCAGCTAACAGAGTTGAACCTTTCTATTGACAGAGCAGTTTTGAAACAGTCTTTCTGTGGAATCTGCAAGTGGATATTTGGATAGCTTGGAGGATTTCGTTGGAAACGGGATTACGTATAAAAAGTAGACAGCACGCATCCTCAGAAACTTCTTTGTGATGTGTGCATTCAAGTCACAGTAGTTGAACATTCCCTTTCGTACAGCAGTTTTGAAACACTCTTTCTGTAGTATCTGGAAGTGAACATTAGGACAGCTTTCAGGTCTATGGTGAGAAAGGAAATATCTTCAAATAAAAACTAGACAGAAGCATTCTCATAAACTTGTTTGTGATGTGTGAACTCAGCTAACAGAGGTGGATCTTTCTTTTGATAGAGCAGTTCTGAAAAACACTTTTTGTTGAATCTGCAAGTGGACATTTGGATAGATTTGAAGATGTCGTTGGAAACGGGAATATCTTCATATCAAGTCTAGACAGAAGCATTCTCAGAAACGTCTTTGTGATGTTTGCATTCAACTCATAGATTTGAACATTCCGTTTCAGAGAGCAGCTTTGAGGCACACTTTTTGTAGTATGTGCAAGTGGATATTTGGAGCGCTCTGAGGCCTACGGTGAAAAAGCAAATATCTTCCCATAACCACTAGACAGAAACATTCTCAGAAACTCCTTTATGACTGTATGCACTCACCTAACAGAGAAGAACCTTCCTTTTGACAGAGCAGTTTTGATACACTCTTTTTGTAGAATCTGCAAGTGGATATTGGGATAGCTGTGAAGATTTCGTTGGAAACGGGAATATCTTCCTATAAAATCTAGACAGAAGCATTCTGTGAAACTTGTTTGTGATGTGTGTACTCAACTAACAGAGTTGAACCTTTCTTTTTACAGAGCAGTTTTGAAACACTCTTTTTGTAGAATCTGCGAGGGGATATTTGGATAGATTTCAGGATTTCGTTGGAAACCGGAATATCTTCATATAAAATCTCGACAGAAGCATTCTCAGAAACTTCTTTGTGATATCTGCATTCAAGTCACAGAGTTGAATATTCCCTTTCACAGAGCAGTTTTGAAACACTCTTTTTGTAGAATCTGCGAGGGGATATTTGGATAGATTTCAGGATTTCGTTGGAAACGGGAATAACTTCATATAAAATCTCGACAGAAGCATTCTCAGAAACTTCTTTGTGATATGTGCATTCAAGTCACAGAGTTGAATATTCCCTTTCACAGAGTAGGTTTGAAACACTCTTTTTGTAGTATCTGGAAGTGGACATTTGGAGCTCCTTGACACCTACGGTGGAAAGGGAAATATCTTCCCATAAAAACTAGACAGAAGCAATCTCAGAATCTTCTTTGGGATATATGCACGCAGCTAACAGAGTTGAACCTTTCTATTGACAGAGCAGTTTTGAAACAGTCTTTCTGTGGAATCTGCAAGTGGATATTTGGATAGCTTGGAGGATTTCGTTGGAAACCGGATTACGTATAAAAAGTAGACAGCAGCATCCTCAGAAAATTCTTTGTGATGTGTGCATTCAAGTCACAGAGTTGAACATTCCCTTTCGTACAGCAGTTTTGAAACACTCTTTCTGTAGTATCTGGAAGTGAACATTAGGACAGCTTTCAGCTCTATGGTGAGAAACAAAATATCTTCAAATAAAAACTAGACAGAAGCATTCTCATAAACTTGTTTGTGATGTGTGAACTCAGCTAACAGAGGTGGATCTTTCTTTTGATAGAGCAGTTCTGAAAAACACTTTTTGTTGAATCTGCAAGTGGACATTTGGATAGATTTGAAGATTTCGTTGGAAACGGCAATATCTTCATATCAAATCTAGACAGAAGTATTCTCAGAAACGTCTTTGTGATGTTTGCATTCAACTCATAGAGTTGAACATTCCGTTTCAGAGAGCAGCTTTGAGGCACTCTTTTTGTAGTATGTGCAAGTGGATATTTGGAGCGCTCTGAGGCCTACGGTGAAAAAGCAAATATCTTCCCATAACCACTAGACAGAAACATTCTCAGAAACTCCTTTATAACGTATGCACTCACCTAACAGAGAAGAACCTTCCTTTTGACAGAGCAGTTTTCATACACTCTTTTTGTAGAATCTGCAAGTGGATATTTGGATAGCTGTGAAGATTTCGTTGGAAACGGGAATATCTTCCTATAAAATCTAGACAGAAGCATTCTCAGAATCTGCTCTGTGATGTCTGCATTCAAGTCACAGAGTTGAACATTGTCTTTCATAGAGCAGGTTTGAAGCGTTCTTTTTGTAGTATATGGAAGCGGACGTTTCGGACGGTTTGAGGCCCATGGTGATAAAGGGAATATCTTCCCCTACAAGCTAGAAAGAAGCATTCTGTGAAACTTGTTTGTGATGTGTGTACTCAACTAACAGAGTTGAACCTTTCTTTTTACAGAACAGTTTTGAAACACTCTTTTTTTAGAATCTGCGAGGGGATATTTGGATAGATTTCAGGATTTCGTTGGAAACGGGAATATCTTCCTATAAAATCTCGACAGAAGCATTCTCAGAAACTTCTTTGTGATATGTGCATTCAAGTCACAGAGTTGAATATTCCCTTTCACAGAGTAGGTTTGAAACAATCTTTTTGTAGTATCTGGAAGTGGACATTTGGAGCGCCTTGACACCTACGGTGAAAAGCGAAATATCTTCCCACAAAAATTAGACAGAAGCAATCTCAGAATCTTCTTTGGGATATATGCACACAGCTAACAGAGTTGAACCTTTCTATTGACAGAGCAGTTTTGAAACAGTCTTTCTGTGGAATCTGCAAGTGGATATTTGGATAGCTTGGAGGATTTCGTTGGAAACGGGATTACGTATCAAAAGTAGACAGCAGCATCCTCAGAAACTTCTTTGTGATGTGTGCATTCAAGTCACAGAGTTGAACATTCCCTTTCGTACAACAGTTTTGAAACACTCTTTCTGTAGTATCTGGAAGTGAACATTAGGACAGCTTTCAGCTCTATGGTGAGAAAGGAAATATCTTCAAATAAAAACTAGACAGAAGCATTCTGATAAACTTGTTCGTGAAGTGTGAACTCAGCTAACAGAGGTGGATCTTTCTTTTGATAGAGCAGTTCTGAAAAACACTTTTTGTTGAATCTGCAAGTGGACATTTGGATAGATTTGAAGATTTCGTTGGAAACGGGAATATCTTCATATCAAATCTAGACAGAAGCATTCTCAGAAACGTCTTTGTGATGTTTGCATTCAACTCATAGAGTAGAACATTCCGTTTCAGAGAGCAGCTTTGAGGCACTCTTTTTGTAGTATGTGCAAGTGGATATTTGGAGCGCTCTGAGGTCTACGGTGAAAAAGCAAATATCTTCCCATAACCACTAGACAGAAGCATTCTCAGAAAATCCTTTATGACGTATGCACTCACCTAACAGAAAAGAACCTTCCTTTTGACAGAGCAGTTTTGATACACTCTTTTTGTAGAATCTGCAAGTGGATATTTGGATAGCTGTGAAGATTTCGTTGGAAACGGGAGTATCTTCCTATAAAATTTAGACAGAAGCATTCTCAGAAACTGCTCTGTGATGTCTGCATTCAAGTCACAGAGTTGAACATTGCCTTTCCTAGAGCAGGTTTGAAACGCTCTTTTTGTAGTATATGAAAGTGGACGTTTCGGACGGTTTGAGGACCATGGTGATAATGAGAATATCTTCCCCTACAAGCTAGAAAGAAGCATTCTGTGAATCTTGTTTGTGATGTGTGTACTCAACTAACAGAGTTGAACCTTTCTTTTTACAGAGCAGTTTTGAAACACTCTTTTTGTAGAATCTGCGAGGGGATATTTGGATAGATTTCAGGATTTCGTTGGAAACCGGAATATCTTCATATAAAATCTCGACAGAAGCATCCTCAGAAACTTCTTTGTGATATGTGCATTCAAGTCACAGAGTTGAATATTCCCTTTCACAGAGTAGGTTTGAAACACTCTTTTTGTAGTATCTGGAAGTGGACATTTGGAGCGCCTTGACGCCTACGGTGAAAAGGGAAATATCTTCCCATAAAAACTAGACAGAAGCAATCTCAGAATCTTCTTTGGGATATATGCACGCAGCTAACAGAGTTGAACCTTTCTATTGACAGAGCAGTTTTGAAACAGTCTTTCTGTGGAATCTGCAAGTGGATATTTGGATAGCTAGGAGGATTTCTTTGGAAACGGGATTACGTATAAAAAGTAGACAGCAGCATCCTCAGAAACTTCTTTGTGATGTGTGCATTCAAGTCACAGAGTTGAACATTCCTTTTCGTACAGCAGTTTTGAAACACTCTTTCTGTAGTATCTGGAAGTGAACATTATGACAGCTTTCAGGTCTATGGTGAGAAAGGAAATATCTTCAAATAAAAACAAGACAGAAGCATTCTCATAAACTTGTTTGTGATGTCTGAACTCAGCTAACAGACGTGGATCTTTCTTTTGATACAGCAGTTTTGAAAAACACTTTTTGTTGAATCTGCAAGTGGACATTTGGATAGATTTGAAGATTTCGTTGGAAACGGGAATATCTTCATATCAAATCTAGACAGAAGCATTCTCAGAAACGTCTTTGTGATGTTTGCATTCAACTCATAGAGTTGAACATTCCGTTTCAGAGAGCAGCTTTGAAGCACTCTTTTTGTAGTATATGCAAGTGGATATTTGGAGCGCTCTGAGGCCTACGGTGAAAAAGCAAATATCTTCCCATAATCACTAGACAGAAACATTCTCAGAAACTCCTTTATGACGTATGTACTCACCTAACAGAGAAGAACCTTCCTTTTGACAGAGCAGTTTTGATACACTCTTTTTGTAGAATCTGCAAGTGGATATTTGGATAGCTGTGAAGATTTCGTTGGAAACGGGAATATCTTCCTATAAAATCTAGACAGAAGCATTCTCAGAAACTGCTCTGTGATGTCTGCATTCAAGTCACAGAGTTGAACACTGCCTTTCCTAGAGCAGGTTTGAAACGCTCTTTTTGTAGTATATGGAAGTGGACGTTTCGTACGGTTTGAGGCCCATGGTGATAAAGGGAATATCTTCCCCTACAAGCTAGAAAGAAGCATTCTGTGAAACTTGTTTGTGATGTGTGTACTCAACTAACAGAGTTGAACCTTTCTTTTTACAGAGCAGTTTTGAAACACTCTTTTTGTAGAATCTGCGAGGGGATATTTGGATACATTTCAGGATTTCGTTGGAAACGGGAATATCTTCATATAAAATCTTGACAGAAGCATTCTCAGAAACTTCCTTGTGATATGTGCATTCAAGTCACAGAGTTGAATATTCCCTTTCACAGTAGTAGGTTTGAAACACTCTTTTTGTAGTATCTGGAAGTGGACATTTGGAGCGCCTTGACGCCTACGGTGAAAAGGGAAATATCTTCCCATAAAAACTAGACAGAAGCAATCTCAGAATCTTCTTTGGGATATATGTACGCAGCTAATAGAGTTGAACCTTTATATTGACAGAGCAGTTTTGAAACAGTCTTTCTGTGGAATCTGCAAGTGGATATTTGGATAGCTTGGAGGATTTCGTTGGAAACGGGATTACGTATAAAAAGTAGACAGCAGCATCCTCAGAAACTTCTTTGTGATGGGTGCATTCAAGTCACAGAGTTGAACATTCCCTTTCGTACAGCAGTTTTGAAACACTCTTTCTGTAGTATCTGGAAGTGAACATTAGGACAGCTTTCAGGTCTATGGTGAGAAAGGAAATATCTTCAAATAAAAACTAGACAGAAGCATTCTCATAAACTTGTTTGTGATGTGTGAACTCAGCTAACAGAGGTGGATCTTTCTTTTGATAGAGCAGTTCTGAAAAACACTTTTTGTTGAATCTGCAAGTGGACATTTGGATAGATTTGAAGATTTCGTTGGAAACGGGAATATCTTCATATCAAGTCTAGACAGAAGCATTCTCAGAAACGTCTTTGCGTTGTTTGCATTCAACTCATAGAGTTGAACATTCCGTTTCAGAAAGCAGATTTGAGGCACTCTTTTTGTAGTATGTGCAAGTGGATATTTGGAGCGCTCTGAGGCCTACGGTGAAAAAGCAAATATCTTTCCATAACCACTAGACAGAAACATTCTCAGAAACTTCTTTATGACGTATGTACTCAACTAGCAGAGAAGAACTTTCCTTTTGACAGAGCATTTTTGATACACTCTTTTTGTACTATCTGCAAGTGGATATTTGGATAGCTGTGAAGATTTCGTTGGAAACGGGAATATCTTCCTATAAAGTCTGGACAGAAGCATTCTCAGAAACTGCTCTGTGATGTCTGCATTCAAGTCACAGAGTTGATCATTGCCTTTCATAGAGCAGGTTTGAAACGCTCTTTTTGTAGTATATGGAAGTGGACGTTTCAGACGGTTTGAGGCCCATGGTGATAAAGGGAATATCTTCCCCTACAAGCTAGAAAGAAGCATTCTGTGAAACTTGTTTGTGAGGTGTGTACTCAACTAACAGAGTTGAACCTTTCTTTTTACAGAGCAGTTTTGAAACACTCTTTTTGTAGAATCTGCGAGGGCATATTTGGATAGATTTCAGAATTTCGTTGGAAAGGGGAATATCTTCATATAAAATCTCGACAGAAGCATTCTCAGAAACTTCTTTGTGATATGTGCATTCAAGTCACAGAGTTGAATATTCCCTTTCACAGAGTAGGTTTGAAACACTCTTTTTGTAGTATCTGGAAGTGGACATTTGGAGCGCCTTGATGCCTACGGTGAAAAGGGAAATATCTTCCCATAAAAATTCGACAGAAGGAATCTCAGAATCTTCTTTGGGATATATGCACGCAACTAACAGAGTTGAACCTTTCTATTGACAGAGCAGTTTTGAAACAGTCTTTCTGTGGAATCTGCAAGTGGATATTTGGATAGCTTGGAGGATTTCGTTGGAAACGGGATTACGTATAAAAAGTAGACAGCAGCATCCTCAGAAACTTCTTTGTGATGTGTGCATTCAAGTCACAGAGTTGAACATTCCTTTTCGTACAGCAGTTTTGAAACACTCTTTCTGTAGTATCTGGAAGTGAACATTAGGACAGCTTTCAGCTCTATGGTGAGAAAGGAAATATCTTCAAATAAAAACTAGACAGAAGCATTCTCATAAACTTGTTTGTGATGTGTCAACTCAGCTAACAGAGGTGGATCTTTCTTTTGATAGAGCAGTTCTGAAAAACACTTTTTGTTGAATCTGCAAGTGGAGATTTGGATAGATTTGAAGATTTCGTTGGAAACGGGAATATCTTCATATCAAATCTAGACAGAAGCATTCTCAGAAACGTCTTTGCGATGTTTGCATTCAACTCATAGAGTTGAACATTCCCTTTCAGAGAGCAGCTTTGAGGCACTCTTTTTGTAGTATGTGCAAGTGGATATTTGGAGCGCCCTGAGGCCTACGGGGAAAAAGCAAATATCTTCCCATAACCACTAGACAGAAACATTCTCAGAAACTGCTTTATGACGTATGCACTCACCTAACAGAGAAGAACCTTCCTTTTGACAGAGCAGTTTTGATACACTCTTTTTGTAGAATCAGCAAGTGGATATTTGGATAGCTGTGAAGATTTCGTTGGAAACGGGAATATCTTCCTATAAAATCTAGACAGAAGCATTCTCAGAAACTGCCCTGTGATGTCTGCATTCAAGTCACAGAGTTGAACATTGCCTTTCATAGAGCAGGTTTGAAACGCTCTTTTTGTAGTATATGGAAGTAGACGTTTCGGACGGTTTGAGGCCCATGGTGATAAAGGGAATATCTTCCCCTACAAGCTAGAAAGAAGCATTCTGTGAAACTTGTTTGTGATGTGTATACTCAACTAACAGAGTTGAACCTTTCTTTTTACAGAGCAGTTTTGAAACACTCTTTTTGTAGAATCTGCGAGGGGATATTTGGATAGATTTCAGGATTTCGTTGGAAACGGGAATATCTTCATTTAAAATCTCGACAGAAGCATTCTCAGAAACTTCTTTGTGATATCTGCCTTCAAGTCACAGAGTTGAATATTCCCTTTCGCAGAGTAGGTTTGAAACACTCTTTTTGTAGTATCTGGAAGTGGACAATTGGAGCTCCTTGACACCTACGGTGAAAAGGGAAATATCTTCCCATAAATACTAGACAGAAGCAATCTCAGAATCTTCTTTGGGATATGTGCACGCAGCTAACAGAGTTGAACCTTTCTATTGACAGAGCAGTTTTGAAACAGTCTTTCTGTGGAATCTGCAAGTGGATATTTTGATAGATTGGAGGATTTCGTTGGAAACGGGATTACGTATAAAAAGTAGACAGCAGCATCCTCAGAAACTTCTTTGTGATGTGCGCATTCAAGTCACAGAGTTGAATATTCCCTTTCGTACAGCATTTTTGAAACACTCTTTCTGTAGTATCTGGAAGTGAACATTAGGACAGCTTTCAGGTCTATGGTGAGAAAGGAAATATCTTCAAATAAAAACTAGACAGAAGCATTCTCATAAACATGTTTGCGATGTCTGAACTCAGCTAACAGAGGTGGATCTTTCTTTTGATAGAGCAGTTCTGAAAAACACTTTTCGTTGAATCTGCAAGTGGACATTTGGATAGATTTGAAGATTTCGTTGGAAACGGGAATATCTTCATATCAAATCTAGACAGAAAGCATTCTCGGAAACGTCTTTGTGATGTTTGCATTCAACTCATAGTATTTGAACATTCCGTTTCAGAGAGCAGCTTTGAGGCACTCATTTTGTAGTATGTGCAAGTGGATATTGGGAGCGCTCTGAGGCCTTCGGTGAAAAAGCAAATATCTTCCCATAACCACTAGACAGAAACATTCTCAGAAACTCGTTTATGACGTATGCACTCACCTAACAGAGAAGAACCTTCCATTTGACAGAGCAGTTTTGATGCACTCTTTTTGTAGAATCTGCAAGTGGATATTTGGATAGCTGTGAAGATTTTGCTGGAAACGGGAATATCTTCCTATAAAATCTAGACAGAAGCATTCTCAGAAACTGCTCTGTGATGTCTGCATTCAAGTCACAGAGTTGAACATTGCCTTTCATGGAGCAGGTTTGAAACGCTCTTTTTGTAGTATATGGAAGTGGACGATTCGGATGGTTTGAGGCCCATGGTGATAAAGGGAATATCTTCCCCTACGAGCTAGAAAGAAGCATTCTGTGAAACTTGTTTGTGATGTGTGTACTCAACTAACAGAGTTGAACCTTTCTTTTTACAGAGCAGTTTTGAAACACTCTTTTTGTAGAATCTGCGAGGGGAAGTTTGGATAGATTTCAGGATTTAGTTGGAAACGGGAATATCTTCATATAAAATCTCGACAGAAGCATTCTCATAAGCTTCTTTGTGATATGTGCATTCAAGTCACAGAGTTGAATATTCCCTTTCACAGAGTAGGTTTGAAACACTCTTTTTGTAGTATCTGAAGTGGACATTTGGAGCGCCTTGACGCCTACGGTGAAAAGGGAAATACCTTCTCATAAAAAGTAGACAGAAGCAATCTCAGAATCTTCTTTGGGATATATGCACGCAGCTAACAGAGTTGAACCTTTCTATTGACAGAGCAGTTTTGAAACAGTCTTTCTGTGGAATCTGCAAGTGGATATTTGGATAGCTTGGAGGATTTCGTTGGAAACGGGATTACGTATAAAATGTAGAAAGCCGCATCCTCAGAAACTTCTTTGTGATGTGTGCATTCAAGTCACAGAGTTGAATATTCCCTTTCGTACAGCAGTTTTGAAACACTCTTTCTGTAGTATCTGGAAGTGAACATTAGGACAGCTTTCAGGTCTATGGTGAGAAAGGAAATATCTTCAAATAAAAACTAGACAGAAGCAGTCTGATAAACTTGTTTGTGAAGTGTGAACTCAGCTAACAGAGGTGGATCTTTCTTTTGATACAGCAGTTTTGAAAAACACTTTGTTGAATCTGCAAGTGGACATTTGTATAGATTTGAAAATTTCGTTGGAAACGGGAATATCTTCATATCAAATCTAGACAGAAGCATTCTCAGAAACGTCTTTGTGATGTTTGCATTCAACTCATAGAGTTGAACATTCCGTTTCAGAGAGCAGCTTTGAAGCACTCTTTTTGTAGTATGTGCAAGTGGACATTTGGAGCGCTTTGAGGCCTACGGTGAAAAAGCAAATATGCTTCCCATAACCACTAGACAGAAACATTCTCAGAAACTCCTGTATGACGTATGCACTCACCTAACAGAGAAGAACCTTCCTTTTGACAGAGCAGTTTTGATACACTCTTTTTGTAGAATCTGCAAGTGGATATTTGGATAGCTGTGAAGGTTTCGTTGGAAACGGGAATATCTTCCTATAAAATCTAGACAGAAGCATTCTCAGAAACTGCTGCTGTGATGTCTGCATTCAAGTCACAGAGTTGAACATTGCCTTTCATAGAGCAGGTTTGAAACGCTCTTTTTGTAGTATATGGAAGTAGACGTTTCGGACGGTTTGAGGCCCATGGTGATAAAGGGAATATCTTCCCCTACAAGCTAGAAAGAAGCATTCTGTGAAACTTGTTTGTGATGTGTGTACTCAACTAACAGAGTTGAACCTTCCTTTTTACAGAGCAGTTTTGAAACACTCTTTTTGTAGAATCTGCGAGGGGATATTTGGATAGATTTCAGGATTTCGTTGGGAACGGGAATATCTTCATATAAAATCTCGACAGAAGCATTCTCAGAAACTTCTTTGTGATATGTGCATTCAAGTCACAGAGTTGAATATTCCCTTTCACAGAGTAGGTTTGAAACACTCTTTTTGTAGTATCTGGAAGTGGACATTTGGAGCGCCTTGACGCCTACGGTGAAAAGGGAAATATCTTCCCATAAAAACGAGACAGAAGCAATCTCAGAATCTTCTTTGGGATATATGCACGCAGCTAACAGTGTTGAACCTTTCTATTGACAGAGCAGTTTTGAAACAGTCTTTCTGTGGAATCTGCAAGTGGATATTTGGATAGCTTGGAGGATTTCGTTGGAAACGGGATTACGTATAAAAAGTAGACAGCAGCATCCTCAGAAACTTCTTTGTGATGTGTGCATTCAAGTCACAGAGTTGAACATTCCCTTTCGTACACCAGTTTTGAAAGACTCTTTCTGTAGCATCTGGAAGTGAACATTAGGACAGCTTTCAGGTCTATGGTGAGAAAGGAAATATCTTCAAATAAAAACTAGACAGAAGCATTCTCATAAACTTGTTTGTGATGTGTGAACTCAGCTAACAGAGGTGGATCTTTCTTTTGATAGAGCAGTTCTGAAAAACACTTTTTGTTGAATCTGCAAGGGGACATTTGGATAGATTTGAAGATTTCGTTGGAAACGGGAATATCTTCATATCAAATGTAGACAGAAGCATTCTCGGAAACGTCTTTGTGATGTTTGCATTCAACTCATAAAGTTGAACATTCCGTTTCAGAGAGCAGCTTTGAGGCACTCTTTTTGTAGTATGTGCAAGTGGATATTTGGAGCGCTCTGAGGCCTTCTGTGAAAAAGCAAATATCTTCCCATAACCACTAGACAGAAAACATTCTCAGAAACTCCTTTATGACGTATGCACTCACCTAACAGAGAAGAACCTTCCTTTTGACAGAGCAGTTTTGATACACTCTTTTTGTAGAATCTGCAAGAGGATATTGGGATAGCTGTGAAGATTTCGTTGGAAACGGGAATATCTTCCTATAAAATCTAGACAGAAGCATTCTCAGAAACTGCTCTGTGATGTCTGCATTCAAGTCACAGAGTTGAACATTGCCTTTCATAGAGCAGGTTTGAAACGCTCTTTTTGTAGTATATGGAAGTGGACGTTTCGGACGGTTTGAGGCCCATGGTGATAAAGGGAATATCTTGCCCTACAAGCTAGAAAGACAAGCATTCTGTGAAACTTGTTTGTGATGTGTGTACTCAACTAACAGAGTTGAACCTTTCTTTTTACAGAGCAGTTTTGAAACACTCTTTTTGTAGAATCTGCGAGGGGATATTTGGATAGATTTCAGGATTTCGTTGGAAAGGGGATTATCTTCATATAAAATCTCGACAGAAGCATTCTCAGAAACTTCTTTGTGATATCTGCATTCAAGTCACAGAGTTGAATATTCCCTTTCACAGAGTCGGTTTGAAACACTCTTTTTGTAGTATCTGGAAGTGGACATTTGGAGCGCCTTGACGCCTACAGTGAAAAGGGAAATATCTTCCCATAAAAACTAGACAGAAGAAATCTCAGAATCATCTTTGGGATATATGCACGCAGCTAACAGAGTTGAACCTTTCTATTGACAGAGCAGTTTTGAAACAGTCTTTCTGTGGAATCTGCAAGTGGATATTTGGATAGCTTGGAGGATTTCGTTGGAAACGGGATTACGTATAAAAAGTAGACAGCAGCATCCTCAGAATCTTCTTTGTGATGTGTGCATTCAAGTCAAAGAGTTGAACATTCCCTTTCGTACAGCAGTTTTGAAACACTCTTTCTGTAGTATCTGGAAGTGAACATTAGGACAGCTTTCAGGTCTATGGTGAGAAAGGAAATATCTTCAAATAAAAACTAGACAGAAAGCATTCTCAAGAACTTGTTTGTTATGTGTGAACTCAGCTAACAGAGGTGGATGTTTCTTTTGATAGAGCAGTTCTGAAAAACACGTTTTGTTGAATCTGCAAGTGGACATTTGGATAGATTTGAAGATGTCGTTGGAAACGGGAATATCTTCATATCAAATCTAGACAGAAGCATTCTCAGAAACGTCTTTGTGATGTTGGCATTCAACTCATAGAGTTGAACATTCCGTTTCAGAGAGCAGCTTTGAGGCACTCTTTTTGTAGTATGTGCAAGTGGATATTTTGAGCGCTCTGAGGCCTACGGTGAAAAAGCAAATATCTTCCCATAACCACTAGACAGAAACATTCTCAGAAACTCCTTTATGACGTATGTACTCAACTAACAGAGAAGAACCTTCTTTTTGACAGAGCATTTTTGATACACTCTTTTTGTAGAATCTCCAAGTGGATATTTGGATAGCTGTGAAGATTTCGTTGGAAACGGGAATATCTTCCTATAAAATCTAGACAGAAGCATTCTCAGAAACTGCTCTGTGATGTCTGCATTCAAGTCACAGAGTTGAACATTGCCTTTCATAGAGCAGGTTTGAAACGCTCTTTTTTTAGTATATGGAAGTTGACGTTTCGGACGGTTTGAGGCCCATGGTGATAAAGGGAATATCTTCCCCTACAAGCTAGAAAGAAGCATTCTGTGAAACTTGTTTGTGATGTGTGTACTCAACTAACAGAGTTGAACCTTTCTTTCTACAGAGCAGTTTTGAAACACTCTTTTTGTAGAATCTGCGAGGGGATATTTGGATAGATTTCAGGATTTCGTTGGAAAGGGGAATATCTTCATATAAAATCTCGACAGAAGCATTCTCAGAAACTTCTTTGTGATATGTGCATTCAAGTCACAGAGTTGAATATTCCCTTTCACAGAGTAGGTTTGAAACACTCTTTTTGTAGTATCTGGAAGTGGACATTTGGAGCGCCTTGACGCTTACGGTGAAAAGGGAAATATCTTCCCATAAAAACTAGACAGAAGCAATCTCAGAATCTTCTTTGGGATATATGCACGGAGCTAACAGAGTTGAACCTTTCTATTGACAGAGCAGTTTTGAAACAGTCTTTCTGTGGAATCTGCAAGTGGATATTTGGATAGCTTGGAGGATTTCGTTGGAAACGGGATTACGTATAAAAAGTAGACAGCAGCATCCTCCGAAACTTCTTTGTGATGTGTGCATTCAAGTCACAGAGTTGAACATTCCCTTTCGTACAGCAGTTTGGAAACACTCTTTCTGTAGTATCTGGAAGTGAACATTAGGACAGCTTTCAGCTCTATGGTGAGAAAGGAAATATCTTCAAATAAAAACTAGACAGAAGCATTCTCATAAACTTGTTCGTAATGTGTGAACTCAGCTAACACACGTGGATCTTTCTTTTGATAGAGCAGTTCTGAAAAACACTTTTTGTTGAATCTGCAAGTGCACATTTGGATAGATTTGAAGATTTCGTTGGAAACGGGAATATCTTCATATCAAATCTAGACAGAAGCATTCTCAGAAACGTCTTTGCGATGTTTGCATTCAACTCATAGATTTGAACATTCCGTTTCAGAGAGCAGCTGTGAGGCACTCTTTTTGTAGTATGTGCAAGTGGATATTTGGAGCGCTCTGAGGCCTACGGTGAAAAAGCAAATATCTTCCCATAACCACTAGACAGAAGCATTCTCAGAAACTCCTTTATGAAGTATGTACTCAACTAACAGAGAAGAACCTTCCTTTTGACAGAGCAGTTTTGATACACTCTTTTTGTAGAATCTGCAAGTGGATATTTGGATAGCTATGAAGATTTCGTTGGAAACGGGAATATCTTCCTATAAAATCTAGACAGAAGCATTCTCAGAAACTGCTCTGTGATGTCTGCATTCAAGTCACAGAGTTGAACATTGCCTTTCATAGAGCAGGTTTGAAACGCTCTTTTTGTATTATATGGAAGTGGACTTATCGGACGGTTTGAGGCCCATGGTGATAAAGGGAATATCTTCCCCTACAAGCTAGAAAGAAGCATTCTATGAAACTTGTTTGTGATGTGTGTACTCAACTAACAGAGTTGAACCTTTCTTTTTACAGAGCAGCTTTGAAACACTCTTTTTGTAGAATCTGCGAGGGGATATTTGGATAGATTTCAGGATTTCGTTGGAAACGGGAATATCTTCATATAAAATCTCGACAGAAGCATTCTCAGAAACTTCTTTGTGATATGTGCATTCAAGTCACAGAGTTGAATATTCGCTTTCACAGAGGAGGTTTGAAACACTCTTTTTGTAGTATCTGGAAGTGGACATTTGGAGCGCCTTGACGCCTACGGTGAAAAGGGAAATATCTTCCCATAAAAACTAGACAGAAGCAATCTCAGAATCTTCTTTGGGATATATGCACGCAGCTAACAGAGTTGAACCTTTCTATTGACAGAGCAGTTTTGAAACAGTCTTTCTGTGGAATCTGCAAGTGGATATTTGGATAACTTGGAGGATTTCGTTGGAAACGGGATTAAGTATAAAAAGTAGACAGCAGCATCCTCAGAAACTTCTTTGAGATGTGTGCATTCAAGTCACAGAGTTGAACATTCCCTTTCGTACAGCAGTTTTGAAACACTCTTTCTGTAGTAACTGGAAGTGAACATTAGGACAGCTTTCAGGTCTATGGTGAGAAAGGAAATATCTTCAAATAAAAACTAGACAGAAGCTTTCTGATAAACTTGTTTGTGAAGTGTGAACTCAGCTAACAGAGGTGGATCTTTCTTTTGATACAGCAGTTTTGAAAAACACTTTGTTGAATCTGCAAGTGGACATTTGGATAGATTTGATGATTTCGTTGGAAACGGGAATATCTTCATATCAAATCTAGACAGAAGCATTCTCAGAAACGTCTTTGTGATGTTTGCATTCAACTCATAGAGTTGAACATTCCGTTTCAGAGAGGAGGTTTGAAGCACTCTTTTTGTAGTATGTGCAAGTGGATATTTGGAGCGCTCTGAGGCCTACGGTGAAAAAGCAAATATCTTCCCATAACCACTAGACAGAAACATTCTCAGAAACTCCTTTATGACGTATGCACTCACCTAACAGAAAAGAACCTTCCTTTTGACAGAGCAGTTTTGATACACTCTTTTTGTGGAATCTGCAAGTGGATATTTGGATAGCTGTGAAGATTTCGTTGGAAACGGGAATATCTTCCTATAAAATCTAGACAGAAGCATTCTGTGAAACTTGTTTGTGATGTGTGTACTCAACTAACAGAGTTGAACCTTTCTTTTTACAGAGCAGTTTTGAAACACTCTTTTTGTAGAATCTGCGAGGGGATATTTGGATACATTTCAGCATTTCGTTGGAAACGGGAATATCTTCATATAAAATGCTCGACAGAAGCATTCTCAGAAACTTCTTTTTGATATGTGCATTCAAGTCACAGAGTTGAATATTCCCTTTCACAGAGTAGGTTTGAAACACTCTTTTTGTAGTATCTGGAAGTGGACATTTGGAGCGCCTTGACGCCTACGGTGAAAAGGGAAATATATTCCCATAAAAACTAGACAGAAGCAATCTCAGAATCTTCTTTGGGATATATGCACGCAGCTAACAGAGTTGAACCTTTCTATTGACAGAGCAGTTTTGAAAAAGTCTTTCTGTGGAATCTGCAAATGGATATTTGGATAGCTTGGAGGATTTCGTTGGAAACGGGATTACGTATAAAAAGTAGCCAGCAGCATTCTCAGAAACTTCGTTGTGATGTGTGCATTCAAGTCACAGAGTTCAACATTCCCTTTCGTAGAGCAGGTTTGAAACACTCTTTCTCTAGTATCTGGAAGTGAACGTTACGAGAGCTTTCAGGTCTATGGTGAGAAAGAAAATATCTTCAAATAAAAACTAGACAGAAGCATTCTCATAAACTTGTTTGTGATGTGTGAACTCAACTAACAGAGGTGGATCTTTCTTTTCATATAGCAGTTTTGAAAAACACTTTTTGTTGAATCTGCAAGTGGACATTTGGATAGATTTGAAGATTTCGTTGGAAACGGGAATATCTTCATATCAAAACTAGACAGAAGCATTCTCAGAAACGTCTTTGTGATGTTTGCATTCAACTCATAGAGTTGAACATTCCCTTTCAGAGAGCAGCTGTGAAGCACTCTTTTTGTAGTATGTGCAAGTGGATATTTGGAGCGCTACTGAGGCCTACGGTGAAAAAGCAAATATCTTCCCATAACCACTAGACAGAAACATTCTCAGAAACTCCTTTATGATGTATGCACTCACCTAACAGAGAAGAACCTTCCTTTTGACAGAGCAGTTTTGATACACTCTTTTTGTAGAATCTGCAAGTGGATATTTGGATAGCTGTGAAGATTTCGTTGGAAACGGGAATATCTTCCTATAAAATCTAGACAGAAGCATTCTCAGAAACTGCTCTGTGATGTCTGCATTCAAGTCACAGAGTTGAACATTGCCTTTCATAGAGCAGGTTTGAAATGCTCTTTTTGTAGTATATGGAAGTGGACGTTTCACACGGTTTGAGGCCGATGGTGATAAAGGGAATATCTTCCCCTACAAGCTAGAAAGAAGCATTCTGTGAAACTTGTTTGTGATGTGTGTACTCAACTAACAGAGTTGAACCTTTCTTTTTACAGAGCAGTTTTGAAACACTCTTTTTGTAGAATCTGCGAGGGGATATTTGGATAGATTTCAGGATTTCGTTGTAAACGAGAATATCTTCATATAAAATCTCGACAGAAGCATTCTCAGAAACTTCTTTGTGATATGTGCATTCAAGTCACAGAGTTGAATATTCCCTTTCACAGAGTAGGTTTGAAACACTCTTTTTGTAGTATCTGGAAGTGGACATTTGGAGCGCCTTGACGCCTACGGTGAAAAGGGAAATATCTTCCCATACAAACTAGACCGAAGCAATCTCAGAATCTTCTTTGGGATATATGCACGCAGCTAACAGAGTTGAACCTTTCTATTGACAGAGCAGTTTTGAAACAGTCTTTCTGTGGAATCTGCAAGTGGATATTTGGATAGATTCGAGGATTTCGTTGGAAACGGGATTACGTATAAAAAGTAGACAGCAGCATCCTCAGAAACTTCTTTGTGATGTGTGCATTCAAGTCACAGAGTTGAACATTCCCTTTCGTACAGCAGTTTTGAAACACTCTTTCTGTAGTATCTGGAAGTGAACATTAGGACAGCTTTCAGGTCTATGGTGAGAAAGGAAATATCTTCAAATAACAACTAGACAGAAGCATTCTCATCAACTTGTTTGTGATGTGTGAACTCAGCTAACAGAGGTGGATCTTTCTTTTGATAGAGCAGTTCTGAAAAACACGTTTTGTTGAATCTGCAAGTGGACATTTGGATAGATTTGAAGATTTCGTTGGAAACGGGAATATCGTCATATCAAATCTAGACAGAAGCATTCTCAGAAACGTCTTTGTGATGTTTGCATTCAACCCATAGAGTTGAACATTCCGTTTCAGAGAGCAGCTTTGAGGCACTCTTTTTGTAGTATGTGCAAGTGGATATTTGGTGCGCTGTGAGGCCTACGGTGAAAAAGCAAATATCTTCCCAAAACCACTAGACAGAAACATTCTCAGAAACTCCTTTATGACGTATGCACTCACCTAACAGAGAAGAACCTTCCTTTTGACAGACCAGTTTTGATACACTCTTTTTGTAGAATCTGCAAGTGGATATTTGGATAGCTGTGAAGATTTCGTTGGAAACGGGAATATCTTCCTATAAAATCTAGACAGAAGCATTCTCAGAAACTGCTCTGTGATGTCTGCATTCAAGTCACAGAGTTGAACATTGCGTTTCATAGAGCAGGTTTGAAACTCTCTTTTTGTAGTATATGGAAGTGGACGTTTCGGACGGTTTGAGGCCCATGGTGATAAAGGGAATATCTTCCCCTACAAGCTAGAAAGAAGCATTCTGTGAAACTTGTTTGTGATGTGTGTACTCAAGTAACAGAGTTGAACCTTTCTTTTTACAGAGCAGTTTTGAAACGCTCTTTCTGTAGAATCTGCGAGGGGATATTTGGATAGATTTCAGGATTTCGTTGGAAACTGGAATATCTTCATATAAAATCTCGACAGAAGCATTCTCAGAAACTTCTTTGTGATATGTGCATTCAAGTCACAGAGTTGAATATTCCCTTTCACAGAGTAGGTTTGAAACACTCTTTTTGTAGTATCTGGAAGTGGACATTTGGAGCGCCTTGACGCCTACGGTGGAAAGGGAAATATCTTCCCATAAAAACTAGACAGAAGCAATCTCAGAATCTTCTTTGGGATATATGCACGCAGTTAACAGAGTTGAACCTTTCTATTGACAGAGCAGTTTTGAAACAGTCTTTCTGTGGAATCTGCAAATGGATATTTGGATAGCTTGGAGGATTTCGTTGGAAACGGGATTATGTATAAAAAGTAGACAGCAGCATCCTTAGAAACTTCTTTGTGATGTGTGCATTCAAGTCACAGAGTTGAACATTCCCTTTCGTACAGCAGTTTTGAAACACTCTTTCTGTAGTATCTGGAAGTGAACATTAGGACAGCTTTCAGCTCTATGGTGAGAAAGGAAATATCTTCAAATAAAAACTAGACAGAAGCATTCTCATAAACTTGTTTGTGATGTGTGATCTCAACTAACAGAGGTGGGTCTTTCTTTTGATACACCAGTTATGAAAAACCCTTTTAATTGAATCTGCAAGTGGACATTTGGATAGATTTGAAGATTTCGTTGGAAACGGGAATATCTTCATATCAAATCTAGACAGAAGCATTCTCAGAAACGTCTTTGTCATGTTTGCATTCAACTCATAGAGTTGAACATTCCGTTTCAGAGAGCAGCTTTGAAGCACTCTTTTTGTAGTATGTGCAAGTGGATATTTGGAGCACTCTGAGGCCTACGGTGAAAAAGCAAATATCTTCCCATAACCACTAGACAGAAACAATCTCAGAAACTCCTTTATGACGTATGCACTCACCTAACAGAGAAGAACCTTCCTTTTCACAGAGCAGTTTTGATACACTCTTTTTGTAGAATCTGCAAGTGGATATTTGGATAGCTGTGAAGATTTCGTTGGAAACGAGAATATCTTCCTATAAAATCTAGACAGAAGCATGCTCAGAAACTGCTCTGTGATGTCTGCATTCAAGTCACAGAGTTCAACATTGCCTTTCATAGAGCAGGTTTGAAACGCTCTTTTTGTAGTATATGGAAGTGGAAATTTCGAGCCGTTTGAGGCCCATGGTGATAAAGGAAATATCTTCCCCTACAAGCTAGAAAGAAGCATTCTGTGAAACTTGTTTGTGATGTGTGTACTCAACTAACAGAGTTGAACCTTTCTTTTTACAGAGCAGTTTTGAAACACTCTTTTTGTGGAATCTGCGAGGGGATATTTGGATAGATTTCAGGATTTCGTTGGAAACGGGAATATCTTAATATAAAATCTCGACAGAAGCATTCTCAGAAACTTCTTTGTGATATCTGCATTCAAGTCACAGAGTTGAATATTCCCTTTCACAGAGTAGGTTTGAAACACTCTTTGTAGTATCTGGAAGTGGACATTTGGAGCACCTTGACACCTACGGTGAAAAGGGAAATATCTTCCCATAAAAACTAGACAGAAGCAATCTCAGAATCTTCTTTGGGATATATGCACGCAGCTAACCGAGTTGAACCTTTCTATTAACAGAGCATTTTTGAAACAGTCTTTCTGTGGAATCTGCAAGTGGATATTTGGATAGCTTGGAGGATTTCGTTGGAAACGGGATTACGTATAAAAAGTAGACAGCAGCATCCTCAGAAACTTCTTTGTGATGTGTGCATTCAAGTCACAGATTTGAACATTCCCTTTCGTACAGCAGTTTTGAAACACTCTTTCTGTAGTATCTGGAAGTGAACATTAGGACAGCTTTCAGCTCTATGGTGAGAAAGGAAATATCTTCAAATAAAAACTAGACAGAAGCATTCTCATAAACTTGTTTGTGATGTGTGAACGCAGCTAACAGAGGTGGATCTTTCTTTTGATACAGCAGTTTTGAAAAACACTTTTTGTTGAATCTGCAAGTGGACATTTGGATAGATTTGAAGATTTCTTTGGAAACGGGAATATCTTCATATCAAATCTAGACAGAAGCATTCTCAGAAACGTCTTTGTGATGTTTGCATTCAACTCATAGCAGTTGAACATTCCGTTTCAGAGAGCAGCTTTGAAGCACTCTTTTTGTAGTATGTGCAAGTGGATATTTGGAGCGCTCTGAGGCCTACGGTGAAAAAGCAAATATCTTCCCATAACCACTAGACAGAAACATTCTCAGAAACTCCTTTATGACGTATGCACTCACCTAACAGAGAAGAACCTTCCTTTTGACAGAGCAGTTTTGATACACTCTTTTTGTAGAATCTGCAAGTGGATATTGGGATAGCTGTGAAGATATCGTTGGAAACGGGAATATCTTCCTATAAAATCTAGACAGAAGCATTCTCAGAAACTGCTCTGTGATGTCTGCATTCAAGTCACAGAGTTGAACATTGCCTTTCCTAGAGCAGGTTTGAAACGCTCTTTTTGTAGTATATGGAAGTGGACGTTTCGGACGGTTTGAGGACCATGGTGATAAAGGGAATATCTTCCCCTGCAAGCTAGAAAGAAGCATTCTGTGAAACTTGTTTGTGATGTGTGTACTCAACTAACAGAGTTGAACCTTTCTTTTTACAGAGCAGTTTTGAAACACTCTTTTTGTAGAATCTGCGAGGGGATATTTGGATAGATTTCAGGATTTCGTTGGAAACGGGAATATCTTCATATAAAAGATCGACAGAAGCATTCTCAGAAACTTCTTTGTGATATGTGCATTCAAGTCACAGAGTTGAACATTCCCTTTCGTACAGCAGTTTTGAAACACTCTTTCTGTAGTATCTGGAAGTGAACATTAGGACAGCTTTCAGCTCTATGGTGAGAAAGGAAATATCTTCAAATAAAAACTAGACAGAAGCATTCTCGTAAACTTGTTTGTGATGTGTGAGCTCAGCTAACAGAGGTGGATCTTTCTTTTGATAGAGCAGTTCTGAAAAACACTTTTTGTTGAATCTGCAAGTGGACATTTGGATAGATTTGAAGATTTCGTTGGAAACGGGAATATCTTCATATCAAATTTTGACAGAAGCATCCTCAGAAACTTCTTTTTGATGTGTGCATTCAAGTCACAGAGTTGAACATTCCCTTTCGTACAGCAGTTTTGAAACACTCTTTCTGTAGTATCTGGAAGTGAACATTAGGACAGCTTTCAGGTCTATGGTGAGAAAGGAAATATCTTCAAATAAAAACTAGACAGAAGCATTCTAATAAACTTGTTTGTGATGTGTGAACTCATCTAACACAGGTGGATCTTTCTTTTGATAGAGCAGTTCTGAAAAACACTTTTTGTTGAATCTGCAAGTGGACATTTGGATAGATTTGAAGATTTCGTTGGAAACGGCAATATCTTCATATCAAATCTAGACAGAAGCATTCTCAGAAACGTCTTTGCGATGTTTGCATTCAACTCATAGAGTTGAACATTCCGTTTCAGAGAGCAGCTTTGAGGCACTCTTTTTGTAGTATGTGCAAGTGGATATTTGGAGCGCTACTGAGGCCTACGGTGAAAAAGCAAATATCTTCCCATAACCACTAGACAGAAACATTCTCAGAAACTCCTTTATGATGTATGCACTCACCTAACAGAGAAGAACCTTCCTTTTGACAGAGCAGTTTTGATACACTCTTTTTGTAGAATCTGCAAGTGGATAGTTGGATAGCTGTGAAGATTTCGTTGCAAACGGGAATATCTTCCTATAAAATCTAGACAGAAGCATTCTCAGAAACTGCTCTGTGATGTCTGCATTCAAGTCACAGAGTTGAACACTGCCTTTCCTAGAGCAGGTTTGAAACGCTCTTTTTGTAGTATATGGAAGTGGACGTTTCGGACGGTTTGAGGCCCATGGTGATAAAGGGAATATCTTCCCCTACAAGCTAGAAAGAAGCATTCTGTGAAACTTGTTTGTGATGTGTGTACTCAACTAACAGAGTTGGACCTTTCTTTTTACAGAGCAGTTTTGAAACACTCTTTTTGTAGAATCTGTGAGGGGATATTTGGATAGATTTCAGGATTTCGTTGGAAACGAGAATATCTTCATATAAAATCTCGACAGAAGCATTCTCAGAAACTTCTTTGTGATATGTGCATTCAAGTCACAGAGTTGAATATTCCCTTTCACAGAGTAGGTTTGAAACACTCTTTTTGTAGTATCTGGAAGTGGACATTTGGAGCGCCTCGACGCCTACGGTGAAAAGGGAAATATCTTCCCATAAAAACTAGACAGAAGCAATCTCAGAATCTTCTTTGGGATATATGCACGCAGCTAACAGAGTTGAACCTTTCTATTGACAGAGCAGTTTTGAAACAGTATTTCTGTGGAATCTGCAAGTGGATATTTGGATAGCTTGGAGGATTTCGTTGGAAACGGGATTACGTATAAAAAGTAGACAGCAGCATCCTCAGAAACTTCTTTGTGATGTGGGCATTCAAGTCACAGAGTTGAACATTCCCTTTCGTACATCAGTTTTGAAACGCTCTTTCTGTAGTATCTGGAAGTGAACATTAGGACAGCTTTCAGGTCTATGGTGAGAAAGGAAATATCTTCAAATAAAAACTAGACAGAAGCATTCTCATCAACTTCTTTGTGATGTGTGAACTCAGCTAACAGAGGTGGATCTTTCTTTTGATAGAGCAGTTCTGAAAAACACTTTTTGTTGAATCTGCAAGTGGACATTTGGATAGATTTGAAGATTTCGTTGGAAACGGGAATATCTTCATATCAAATCTAGACAGAAGCATTCTCAGAAACGTCTTTGTGATGTTTGCATTCAACTCATAGATTTGAACATTCCGTTTCAGAGAGCAGCTTTGAGGCACTCTTTTTGTAGTATGTGCAAGTGGATATTTGGAGCGCTCTGAGGCCTACGGTGAAAAAGCAAATATCTTCCCATAACCACTAGACAGAAACATTCTCAGAAACTCCTTTGTGACGTATGCACTCAAGTAACAGAGAAGAACCTTCCTTTTGACAGAGCAGTTTTGATACACTCTTTTTGTAGAATCTGCAAGTGGATATTTGGATAGCTGTGAAGATTTCGTTGGAAACGGGAATATCTTCCTATGAAATCTAGACAGAAGCATTCTCAGAAACTGCTCTGTGATGTCTGCATTCAAGTCACAGAGTTGAACATTGCCTTTCATAGAGCAGGTTTGAAACGCTCTTTTTGTAGTATATGGAAGTGGATGTTTCGGACGGTTGGAGGTCCATGGTGATAAAGGGAATATCTTCCCCTACAAGCTAGAAAGAGAAGCATTCTGTGAAACTTGTTTGTGATGTGTGTACTCAACTAACAGAGTTGAACCTTTCTTTTTACAGAGCAGTTTTGAAACACTCTTTTTGTAGAATCTGCGAGGGGATATTTCGATAGATTTCAGGATTTCGTTGGAAACGGGAATATCTTCATATAAAATCTCGACAGAAGCATTCTCAGGAACTTCTTTGTGATATCTGCATTCAAGTCACAGAGTTGAATATTCCCTTTCACAGAGTAGGTTTGAAACACTCTTTTTGTAGTATCTGGAAGTGGACATTTGGAGCGCCTTGACGCCTACGGTGAAAAGGGAAATATCTTCCCATAAAAACTAGACAGAAGCAATCTCAGAATCTTCTTTGAGATATATGCACGCAGCTAATAGAGTTGAACCTTTCTATTGACAGAGCAGTTTTGAAACAGTCTTTCTGTGGAATCTGCAAGTGGATATTTGGATAGCTTGGAGGATTTCGTTGGAAACGGGATTACGTATAAAAAATAGACAGCAGCATCCTCAGAAACTTCTTTGTGATGTGTGCATTCAAGTCACAGAGTTGAACATTCCCTTTCGTGCAGCAGTTTTGAAACACTCTTTCTGTAGTATCTGGAAGTGAACATTAGGACAGCTTTCAGGTCTATGGTGAGAAAGGAAATATCTTCAAATAAAAACTAGACAGAAGCATACTCATAAACTTGTTTGTGATGTGTGAACTCAGCTAACAGGGGTGGATCTTTCTTTTGATAGAGCAGTTCTGAAAAACACTTTTTGTTGAATCTGCAAGTGGACATTTGGATAGATTTGAAGATTTCGTTGGAAACGGGAATATCTTCATATCAAATCTAGACAGAAGCATTCTCAGAAACGTCTTTGTGATGTTAGCATTCAACTCATAGAGTTGAACATTCCCTTTCAGAGAGCAGCTTTGAAGCACTCTTTTTGTAGTATGTGCAAGTGGACATTTGGAGCGCTTTGAGGTCTACGGGGAAAAAGCAAATATCTTCCCATAACCACTAGACAGGAACATTCTCAGAAACTCCTTTATGACGTATGCACACACCTAACAGAAAAGAACCTTCCTTTTGACAGAGCAGTTTTGATACACTCTTTTTGTAGAATCTGCAAGTGGATATTTGGATAGCTGTGAAGATTTCGTTGGAAACGGGAATATCTTCCTATAAAATCTAGACAGAAGCATTCTCAGAAACTGCTCTGTGATGTCTGCATTCAAGTCACAGAGTTGAACATTGCCTTTCATAGAGCAGGTTTGAAACGCTCTTTTTGTAGTATATGGAAGTGGACTTTTCGGACGGTTTGAGGCCCATGGTGATAAAGGGAATATACTTCCCCTACAAGCTAGAAAGAAAGCATTCTGTGAAACTTGTTTGTGAGGTGTGTACTCAACTAACAGAGTTGAACCTTTCTTTTTACAGAGCAGTTTTGAAACACTCTTTTTGTAGAATATGTGAGGGGATATTTGGATAGATTTCAGGATTTCGTTGGAAACGGGAATATCTTCATATAAAATCTCGACAGAAGCATTCTCAGAAACTTCTTTGTGATATGTGCATTCACGTCACAGAGTTGAATATTCCCTTTCACAGAGTAGGTTTGAAACACTCTTTTTGTAGTATCTGGAAGTGGACATTTGGAGCGCCTTGACACCTACGGTGAAAAGGGAAATATCTTCCCATAAAAACTAGACAGAAGCAATCTCAGAATCTTCTTTGGGATATATGCCCGCAGCTAACAGAGTTGAACCTTTCTATTGACAGAGCAGTTTTGAAACAGTCTTTCTGTGGAATCTGCAAGTGGATATTTGGATAGCTTGGAGGATTTCGTTGGAAACGGGATTACGTATAAAAAGTAGACAGCAGCATCCTCAGAATCTTCTTTGTGATGTGTGCATTCAAGTCACAGAGTTGAACATTCCCTTTCGTACAGCAGTTTTGAAACACTCTTTCTGTAGTATCTGGGAGTGAACATTAGGACAGCTTTCAGGTCTATGGTGAGAAAGGAAATATCTTCAAATAAAAACTAGACAGACAAGCATTCTCATAAACTTGTTTGTGATGTGTGAACTCAGCTAACAACGGTGGATCTTTCTTTTGATAGAGCAGTTCTGAAAAACACTTTTTGTTGAATCTGCAAGTGGACATTTGGATAGTTTTGAAGATTTCCTTGGAAAAGGGAATATCTTCATATCAAATCTAGACAGAAGCATTCTCAGAAACGTCTTTGCGATGTTTGCATTCAACTCATAGAGTTGAACATTCCGTTTCAGAGAGCAGTTTGAGGCACTCTTTTTGTAGTATGTGCAAGTGGATATTTGGAGCGCTCTGAGGCCTACGGTGAAAAAGCAAATATCTTCCCATAACCACTAGACAGAAACATTCTCAGAAACTCCTTTATGACGTATGCACTCACCTAACAGAGAAGAACCTTCCTTTTGACAGAGCAGTTTTGATACACTCTTTTTGTAGAATCTGCAAGTGGATATTTGGATACCTGTGAAGATTTTGTTGGAAACGGGAATATCTTCCTATAAAATCTAGACAGAAGCATTCTCAGAAACTGCTCTCTGATGTCCGCATTCAAGTCACAGGAGTTGAACATTGCCTTTCCTAGAGCAGGTTTGAAACGCTCTTTTGGTAGTATATGGAAGTGGACGTTTCGGACGGTTTGAGGCCCATGGTGATAAAGGGAATATCTTCCCCTACAAGCTAGAAAGAAGCATTCTGTGAAATTGTTTGTGATGTGTGTACTCAACTAACAGAGTTGAACCTTTCTTTTTACAGAGCAGTTTTGAAACACTCTTTTTGTAGAATCTGCGAGGGGATATTTGGATAGATTTCAGGATTTCGTTGGAAACGGGAATATCTTCATATAAAATCTCGACAGAAGCATTCTCAGAAACTTCTTTGTGATATGTGCATTCAAGTCACAGAGTTGAATATTCCCTTTCACAGAGTAGGTTTGAAACAATCTTTTTGTAGTATCTGGAAGTGGACATTTGGAGCGCCTTGACGCCTACGGTGAAAAGGGAAATATCTTCTCATAAAAAGTAGACAGAAGCAATCTCAGAATCTTCTCTGGGATATATGCACGCAGCTAACAGAGTTGAACCTTTCTATTGACAGAGCAGTTTTGAAACAGTCTTTCTGTGGAATCTGCAAGTGGATATTTGGATAGCTTGGAGGATTTCGTTGGAAACGGGATTACGTATAAAAAGTAGACAGCAGCATCCTCAGAAACTTCTTTGTGATGTGTGCATTCAAGTCACAGAGTTGAACATTCCCTTTCGTACAGCAGTTTTGAAACACTCTTTCTGTAGTATCTGGAAGTGAACATTAGGACAGCTTTCAGCTCTATGGTGAGAAAGGAAATATCTTCAAATAAAAACCAGACAGAAGCATTCTCATAAACTTGTTTGTGATGTGTGAACTCAGCTAACAGACGTGGATCTTTCTTTTGATACAGCAGTTCTGAAAAACACTTTTTGTTGAATCTGCAAGTGGACATTTGGATAGATATGAAGATTTCGTTGGGAAACGGGAATATCTTCATATCAAATCTAGACAGAAGCATTCTCAGAAACGTCTTTGTGATGATTGCATTCAACTCATAGAGTTGAACATTCCGTTTCAGAGAGCAGCTTTGAAGCACTCTTTTTGTAGTATGTGCAAGTGGATATTTGGAGCGCTCTGGGGCCTACGGTGAAAAAGCAAATATCTTCCCATAACCACTAGACAGAAACATTCTCAGAAACTCCTTTATGACGTATGTACTCAACTAACAGAGAAGAACCTTCCTTTTGACAGAGCAGTTTTGATCCACTCTTTTTGTAGAATCTGCAAGTGGATATTTGGATAGCTGTGAAGGTTTCGTTAGAAACGGAAATATCTTCCTATAAAATCTAGACAGAAAGCATTCTCAGAAACTGCTCTGTGATGTCTGCATTCAAGTCACAGAGTTGAACATTGCCTTTCATAGAGCAGGTTTGAAACGCTCTTTTTGTAGTATATTGAAGTGGACGTTTCGGACGGTTTGAGGCCCATGGTGATAAAGGGAATATCTTCCCCTACAAGCTAGAAAGAAGCATTCTGTGAAACTTGTTTCTGATGTGTGTACTCAAGTAACAGAGTTGAACCTTTCTTTTTACAGAGCAGTTTTGAAACACTCTTTCTGTAGAATCTGCGAGGGGATATTTGGATAGATTTCAGGATTTCGTTGGAAACGGGAATATCTTCATATAAAATCTCGACAGAAGCATTCTCAGAAACTTCTTTGTGATATGTGCATTCAAGTCACAGAGTTGAATATTCCCTTTCACAGAGTAGGTTTGAAACACTCTTTTTGTAGTATCTGGAGGTGGACATTTGGAGCGCCTTGACGCCTACGGTGAAAAGGGAAATATCTTCCCATAAAAACTAGACAGAAGCAATCTCAGAATCTTCTTTGTGATATATGCACGCAGCTAACAGAGTTGAACCTTTCTATTGACAGAGCAGTTTTGAAACAGTCTTTCTGTGGAATCTGCAAGTGGATATTTGGATAGCTTGGAGGATTTCGTTGGAAACGGGATTACGTATAAAAAGTAGACAGCAGCATCCTCAGAAACTTCTTTGTGATGTGTGCATTCAAGTCACAGAGTTGAACATTCCCTTTTGTACAGCAGTTTTGAAACACTCTTTCTGTAGTATCTGGAAGTGAACATTAGGACAGCTTTCAGGTCTATGGTGAGAAAGGCAATATCTTCAAATAAAAACTAGACAGAAGCATTCTCATAAACTTGTTTGTGATGTGTGAACTCACCTAAGAGACGTGGATCTTTCTTTTGATAGAGCAGTTCTGAAAAACACTTTTTGTTGAATCTGCAAGTGGACATTTGGATAGATTTGAAGATTTCGTTGGAAACGGGAATATCTTCATATCAAATCTAGACAGAAGCATTCTCAGAAACGTCTTTGTCATGTTTGCATTCAACTCATAGAGTTGAACATTCCCTTTCAGAGAGCAGCTTTGAAGCACTCTTTTTGTAGTATGTGCAAGTGGACATTTGGAGCGCTTTGAGGCCTACGGGGAAAAAGCAAATATCTTCCCATAACCACTAGACAGGAACATTCTCAGAAACTCCTTTATGACGTATGTACTCAACTAAGAGAGAAGAACCTTCCTTTTGACAGAGCAGTTTTGATACACTCTTTTTGTAGAATCTGCAAGTGGATATTTGGATAGCTGTGAAGATTTCGTTGGAAACGGGAATATCTTCCTATAAAATCTAGACAGAAGCATTCTCAGTAAACTGCTCTGTGATGTCTGCATTCAAGTCACAGAGTTGAACATTGCCTTTCATAGAGCAGGTTTGAAACGCTCTTTTTGTAGTATATGGAAGTTGACGTTTCGGACGGTTTGAGGCCCATGGTGATAAAGGGAATATCTTCCCCTACAAGCTAGAAAGAAGCATTCTGTGAAACTTGTTTGTGATGTGTGTACTCAAGTAACAGAGTTGAACCTTTCTTTTTACAGAGCAGTTTTGAAACACTCTTTTTGTAGAATCTGCGAGGGGATATTTGGATAGATTTCAGGATTTCGTTGGAAACGGGAATATCTTCACATAAAATCTCGAAGGAAGCATTCTCAGAAACTTCTTTGTGATATGTGCATTCAAGTCACAGAGTTGAATATTCCCTTTCACAGAGTAGGTTTGAAACACTCTTTTTGTAGTATCTGGAAGTGGACATTTGTAGCGCCTTGACACCTACGGTGAAAAGGGAAATATCTTCCCATAAAAACTAGACAGAAGCAATCTCAGAATCTTCTTTGGGATGTATGCACCCAGCTAACAGAGTTGAACCTTTCTATTGACAGAGCAGTTTTGAAACAGTCTTTTTGTGGAATCTGCAAGTGGATATTTGGATAGCTTGGAGGATTTCGTTGGAAACGGGATTACGTATAAAAAGTAGACAGCAGCATCCTCAGAATCTTCTTTGTGATGTGTGCATTCAAGTCAAAGAGCTGAACATTCCCTTTCGTACAGCAGTTTTGAAACACTCTTTCTCTAGTATCTGGAAGTGAACATTAGGACAGCTTTCAGGTCTATGGTGAGAAAGGAAATATCTTCAAATAAAAACTAGACAGAAGCATTCTCATAAACTTGTTTGTGATGTGTGAACTCAGCTAACAGAGGTGGATCTTTCTTTTGATAGAGCAGTTCTGAAAAACACATTTTGTTGAACCTGCAAGTGGACATTTGGATAGATTTGAAGATTTCGTTGGAAACGGGAATATCTTCATATCAAATCTAGACAGAAGCATTCTCAGCAAACGTCTTTGTGATGTTTGCATTCAACTCATAGAGTTGAACATTCCGTTTCAGAGAGCAGCTTTGAAGCACTCTTTTTGTAGTATGTGCAAGTGGATATTTTGAGCGCTCTGAGGCCTACGGTGAAAAAGCAAATATCTTCCCATAACCACTAGACAGAAACATTCTCAGAAACTTCTTTATGACGTATGTACTCAACTAGCAGAGAAGAACTTTCCTTTTGACAGAGCACTTTTGATACACTCTTTTTGTAGTATCTGCAAGTGGATATTTGGATAGCTGTGAAGATTTCGTTGGAAACGGGAATATCTTCCTATAAAGTCTGGACAGAAGCATTCTCAGAAACTGCTCTGTGATGTCTGCATTGAAGTCACAGAGTTGAACATTGCCTTTCATAGAGCAGGTGTGAGACGCTCTTTTTGTAGTATATGGAAGTGGACGTTTCGGACGGTTTGAGGCCCATGGTGATAAAGGGAATATCTTCCCCTACAAGCTAGAAAGAAGCATTCTGTGAAACTTGTTTGTGATGTGTGTACTCAACTAACAGAGTTGAACCTTTCTTTTTACAGAGCAGTTTTGAAACACTCTTTTTGTAGAATCTGCGAGGGGATATTTGGATAGATTTCAGGATTTCGTTGGAAACGGGGATATCTTCATATAAAATCTCGACAGAAGCATTCTCAGAAACTTCTTTGTGATATCTGCCTTCAAGTCACAGAGTTGAATATTCCCTTTCACAGAGTAGGTTTGAAACACTCTTTTTGTAGTATCCGGAAGTGGACATTTGGAGCGCCTTGACGCCTACGGTGAAAAGGGATATATCTTCCCATAAAAACTAGACAGAAGCAATCTCAGAATCTTCTTTGGGATATATGCACGCAGCTAACAGAGTTGAACCTTTCTATTGACAGAGCAGTTTTGAAACAGTCTTTCTGTGGAATCTGCAAGTGGATATTTGGATAGCTTGGAGGATTTCGTTGGAAACGGGATTACGTATAAAACGTAGACAGCAGCATCCTCAGAAACTTCTTTGTGATGTGTGCATTCAAGTCACAGAGTTGAACATTCCCTTTCGTACAGCAGTTTTGAAACGCTCTTTCTGTAGTATCTGGAAGTGAACTTTAGGACAGCTTTCAGGTCTATGGTGAGAAAGGAAATATCTTCAAATAAAAACTAGACAGAAGCATTCTCATAAACTTGTTTGTGATGTGTGAACTCAGCTAACAGAGGTGGATCTTTCTTTTGAGAGAGCAGTTCTGAAAAACACTTTTTGTTGAATCTGCAAGTGGACATTTGGATAGATTTGAAGATTTCGTTGGAAACGGGAATATCTTCATATCAAATCTAGACAGAAGCATTCTCAGAAACGTCTTTGTGATGTTTGCATTCAACTCATAGAGTTGAACATTCCGTTTCAGAGAGCAGCTTTGAAGCACTCTTTTTGTAGTATGTGCAAGTGGATATTTGGATCGCTGTGAGGCCTAAGGTGAAAAAGCAAATATCTTCCCATAACCACTAGACAGAAACATTCTCAGAAACTCCTTTATGACGTATGCACTCACCTAACAGAAAAGAACCTTCCTTTTGACAGAGCAGTTTTGATACACTCTTTTTGTAGAATCTGCAAGTGGATATTTGGATAGCTGTGAAGGTTTCGTTGGAAACGGGAATATCTTCCTATAAAATCTAGACAGAAGCATTCTCAGAAACTGCTCTGTGATATCTGCATTCAAGTCACAGAGTTGAACATTGCCTTTCCTAGAGCAGGTTTGAAACGCTCTTTTTGTAGTATATGGAAGTGGACGTTTCGGACGGTTTGAGGCCCATGGTGATAAAGGGAATATCTTCCCCTACAAGCTAGAAAGAAGCATTCTGTGAAACTTGTTTGTGATGTGTGTACTCAACTAAGAGAGTTGAACCTTTCTTTTCACAGAGCAGTTTTGAAACACTCTTTTTGTAGAATCTGCGAGGGGATATTTGGATAGATTTCAGGATTTCATTGGAAACGGGAATATCTTCATATAAAATCTCGACAGAAGCATTCTCAGAAACTTCTTTGTGATATGTGCATTCAAGTCACAGAGTTGAATATTCCCTTTCACAGAGTAGGTTCGAAACACTCTTTTTGTAGTATCTGGAAGTGGACATTTGGAGCGCCTTGACGCCTACGGTGAAAAGGGAAATATCTTCCCATAAAAACTAGACAGAAACAATCTCAGAATCTTCTTTGGGATATATGCACGCAGCTAACAGAGTTGAACCTTTCTATTGACAGAGCAGTTTTGAAACAGTCTTTCTGCGGAATCTGCAAGTGGATATTTGGATAGCTTGGAGGATTTCGTTGGAAACGGGATTAGGTATAAAAAGTAGACAGCAGCCTCCTCAGAAACTTCTTTGTGATGTGTGCATTCAAGTCACACAGTTGAACATTCCCTTTCGTACAGCAGTTTTGAAACACTCTTTCTGTAGTATCTGGAAGTGAACATTAGGACAGCTTTCAGGTCTATGGTGAGAAAGGCAATATCTTCAAATAAAAACTAGACAGAAGCATTCTCATAAACTTGTTTGTGATGTGTGAACTCAGCTAACAGAGGTGGATCGTTCTTTTGATAGAGCAGTTCTGAAAAACACTTTTTGTTGAATCTGCAAGTGGACATTTGGATAGATTTGAAGATTTCGTTGGAAACGGGAATATCTTCATATCAAATCTAGACAGAAGCATTCTCAGAAACGTCTTTGTGATGTTTGCATTCAACTCATAGAGTTGAACATTCACTTTCAGAGAGCAGCTTTGAAGCACTCTTTTTGTAGTATGTGCAAGTGGATATTTTGATCGCTCTGTGGCCTACGGTGAAAAAGCAAATATCTTCCCATAACCACTAGACAGAAACATTCTCAGAAACTAATTTATGACGTATATACTCAACTAACAGAGAAGAACCTTCCTTTTGACAGAGCAGTTTTGATACACTCTTTTTGTAGGATCTGCAAGTGGATATTTGGATAGCTGTGAAGATTTCGTTGGAAACGGGAATATCTTCCTATAAAATCTAGACAGAAGCATTCTCAGAAACTGCTCTGTGATGTCTGCATTCAAGTCACAGAGTTGAACATTGCCTTTCATAGAGCAGGTTTGAAATGCTCTTTTTGAAGTATATGGAAGTGGACGTTTCAGACGGTTTGAGGCCCATGGTGATAAAGGGAATATCTTCCCCTACAAGCTAGAAAGAAGCATTCTGTGAAACTTGTTTGTGATGTGTGTACTCAACTAACAGAGTTGAACCTTTCTTTTCACAGAGCAGTTTTGAAACACTCTTTTTGTAGAATCTGCGAGGGGATATTTGGATAGATTTCAGCATTTGGTTGGAAACGGGAATATCTTCATGTAAAATCTCGACAGAAGCATTCTCAGAAACTTCCTTGTGATATGTGCATTCAAGTCACAGACTTGAATATTCCCTTTCACAGAGTAGGTTTGAAACACTCTTTTTGAAGTATCTGGAAGTGGACATTTGGAGCGCCTTGACGCCTACGGTGAAAAGGGAAATATCTTCCCATAAAAACTAGACAGAAGCAATCTCAGAATCTTCTTTGGGATATATACACGCAGCTAACAGAGTTGAACCTTTCTATTGACAGAGCAGTTTTGAAACAGTCTTTCTGTGGAATCTGCAAGTGGATATTTGGATAGCTTGGAGGATTTCGTTGGAAACGGGATTAAGTATAAAAAGTAGACAGCAGCATCCTCAGAAACTTCTTTGTGATGTGTGCATTCAAGTCACAGAGTTGAACATTCCCTTTCGTACAGCAGTTTTGAAACACTCTTTCTGTAGTAACTGGAAGTGAACATTAGGACAGCTTTCAGGTCTATGGTGAGAAACGAAATATCTTCAAATAAAAACTAGACAGAAGCATTCTCGTAAACTTGTTTGTGATGTGTGAACCCAGCTAAAAGAGGTGGATCTTTCTTTTGATAGAGCAGTTCTGAAAAACACTTTTTGTTGAATCTGCAAGTGGACATTTGGATAGATTTGAAGATTTCGTTGGAAACGGGAATATCTTCATATCAAATCTAGACAGAAGCATTCTCAGAGACGTCTTTGTGATGTTTGCATTCAACTCATAGAGTTGAACATTCCCTTTCAGAGAGCAGCTTTGAAGCACACTTTTTGTAGTATGTGCAAGTGGATATTTGGAGCGCTATGAGGCCTACGGTGAAAAAGCAAATATCTTCCCATAACCACTAGACAGAAACATTCTCAGAAACTCCTTTATGACGTATGTACTCAACTAACAGAGAAGAACCTTCCTTTTGACAGAGCAGTTTTGATAGACTCTTTTTGTAGAATCTGCAAGTGGATATTTGGATAGCTGTGAAGATTTCGTTGGAAACGGGAATATCTTCCTATAAAATCTAGACAGAAGCATTCTCAGAAACTGCTCTGTGATGTCTGCATTCAAGTCACAGAGTTGAACATTGCCTTTCATAGAGCAGGTTTGAAACGCTCTTTTTGTAGTATATGGAAGTAGACGTTTCAGACGGTTTGAGGCCCTTGGTGATAAAGGGAATATCTTCCCCTACAAGCTAGAAAGAAGCATTCTGTGAAACTTGTTTGTGATGTGTGTACTCAACTAACAGAGTTGAACCTTTCTTTTTACAGAGCAGTTTTGAAACACTCTTTTTGTAGAATCTGCGAGGGGATATTTGGATAGATTTCAGGAATTTGTTGGAAACCGTAATATCTTTATATAAAATCTCGACAGAAGCATTCTCAGAAACTTCTTTGTGATATCTGCCTTCAAGTCACAGAGTTGAATATTCCCTTTCGCAGAGTAGGTTTGAAACACTCTTTTTGTAGTATCTGGAAGTGGACATTTGGAGCTCCTTGACACCTACGGTGAAAAGGGAAATATCTTCCCATAAATACTAGACAGAAGCAATCTCAGAATCTTCTTTGGGATATATGCACGCAGCTAACAGAGTTGAACCTTTCTATTGACAGAGCAGTTTTGAAACAGTCTTTCTGTGGAATCTGCAAGTGGATATTTGTATAGCTTGGAGGATTTTGTTGGAAACGGGATTACGTATAAAAAGTAGACAGCAGCATCCTCAGAAACTTCTTTGTGATGTGTGCATTCAAGTCACAGAGTTGAACATTCCCTTTCATGCAGCAGTTTTGAAACACTCTTTCTGTAGTATCTGGAAGTGAACATTAGGACAGCTTTCAGGTCTATGGTGAGAAAGGAAATATCTTCAAATAAAAACTAGACAGAAGCATTCTCATAAAGTTCTTTGTGATGTGTGGACTCAACTAACAGAGGTGGATCTTTCTTTTGATACAGCACTTTTGAAAAACACTTTTTGTTGAATCTGCAAGTGGACATTTGGATAGATTGGAAGATTTCGTTGGAAACGGGAATATCTTCATATCAAATCTAGACAGAAGCATTCTCAGAAACGTCTTTGTGATGTTTTCATTCAACTCATAGAGTTGAACATTCCGTTTCAGAGAGCAGCTTTGAGGCACTCTTTTTGTAGTATGTGCAAGTGGATATTTGGAGCGCTCTGAGGCCTACGGTGAAAAAGCAAATATCTTCCCATAACCACTAGTCAGAAACATTCTTAGAAACTCCTTTATGACGTATGTACTCAACTAACAGAGAAGAACCTTCCTTTTGACAGAGCAGTTTTGATACACTCTTTTTGTAGAATCTGCAAGTGCATATTTGGATAGCTGTGAAGATTTCGTTGGAAACGGGAATATCTTCCTATAAAATCTAGACAGAAGCATTCTCAGAAACTGCTCTGTGATGTCTGCATTCAAGTCTCAGAGTTGAACATTGCCTTTCATAGAGCAGGTTTGAAACGCTCTTTTTGTAGTATATGGAAGTAGACGTTTCGGACGGTTTGAGGCCCATGGTGATAAAGGGAATATCTTCCCCTACAAGCTAGAAAGAAGCATTCTGTGAAACTTGTTTGTGATGTGTGTACTCAACTAAGATAGTTGAACCTTTCTTTTCACAGAGCAGTTTTGAAACACTCTTTTTGTAGAATCTGCGAGGGGATATTTGGATAGATTTCAGGATTTCGTTGGAAACGGGAATATCTTCATACAAAATCTCGACAGAATCATTCTCAGAAACTTCTTTGTGATATCTGCATTCAAGTCACAGAGTTGAATATTCCCTTTCACAGAGTAGGTTTGAAACACTCTTTTTGTAGTATCTGGAAGTGGACATTTGGAGCGCCTTGACACCTACGGTGAAAAGGGAAATATCTTCCCATAAAAACTAGACAGAAGCAATCTCAGAATCTTCTTTGGGATATATGCACGCAGATAACAGAGTTGAACCTTTCTATTGACAGAGCAGTTTTGAAACAGTCTTTCTGTGGAATCTGCAAGTGGATATTTGGATAGCTTGGAGGATTTCGTTGGAAACGGGATTACGTATAAAAAGTAGACAGCAGCATCCTGAGAAACTTCTTTGTGATGTGTGCATTGAAGTCACAGAGTTGAACATTCTCTTTCGTACAGCAGTTTTGAAACACTCTTTCTGTAGTATCTGGAAGTGAACATTAGGACAGCTTTCAGGTCTATGGTGAGAAAGGAAATATCTTCAAATAAAAACTAGACAGAAGCATTCTCATAAACTTGTTTGTGATGTGTTAACTCAGCTAACAGAGGTGGATCTTTCTTTTGATAGAGCAGTTCTGAAAAACACTTTTTGTTGAATCTGCAAGTGGACATTTGGATAGATTTGAAGATTTCGTTGGAAACGGGTATATCTTCATATCAAATCTAGACAGAAGCATTCTCAGAAACGTCTTTGTCATGTTTGCATTCAACTCATAGAGTTGAACATTCCGTTTCAGAGAGCAGCTTTGAAGCACTCTTTTTGTAGTATGTGCAAGCGGATATTTGGAGCGCTACTGAGGCCTACGGTGAAAAAGCAAATATCTTCCCATAACCACTAGACAGAAAACATTCTCAGAAACTTCTTTATGACGTATGTACTCAACTAGCAGAGAAGAACTTTCCTTTTGACAGAGCATTTTTGATACATTCTTTTTGTAGTATCTGCAAGTGGATATTTGGATAGCTGTGAAGATTTCCTTGGAAACGGGAATATCTTCCTATAAAGTCTGGACAGAAGCATTCTCAGAAACAGCTCTGTGATGTCTGCATTCAAGTCACAGAGTTGAACATTGCCTTTCATAGAGCAGGTTTGAAACGCTCTTTTTGTAGTATATTGAAGTGGACTTTTCGGACGGTTTGAGGCCCATGGTGATAAAGGGAATATCTTCCCCTACAAGCTAGAAAGAAGCATTCTGTGATACTTGTTTGTGATGTGTGTACTCAACTAACAGAGTTGAACCTTTCTTTTTAAAGAACAGTTTTGAAACACTCTTTTTGTAGAATCTGCGAGGGGATATTTGGATAGATTTCAGGATTTCGTTGGAAACGGGAATATCTTCATATAAAATCTCGACAGAAGCATTCTCAGAAACTTCCTTGTGATATGTGTATTCAAGTCACAGAGTTGAATATTCCCTTTCACAGAGTAGGTTTGAAACACTCTTTTTGTAGTATCTGGAAGTGGACATTTGGAGCGCCTTGACGCCTACGGTGAAAAAGGAAATATCTTCCCATAAAAACTAGACAGAAGCAATCTCAGAATCTTCTTTGGGATATATGCACGGAGCTAACAGAGTTGAACCTTTCTATTGACAGAGCAGTTTTGAAACAGTCTTTCTGTGGAATCTGCAAGTGGATATTTGGATAGCTTGGAGGTTTTCTTTGGAAACGGGATTACGTATAAAAAGTAGACTGCAGCATCCTCAGAAACTTCTTTGTGATGTGTGCATTCAAGTCACAGTGTTGAACATTCCCTTTCGTACAGCAGTTTTGAAACACTCTTTCTGTAGTATCTGGAAGTGAACATTAGGACAGCTTTCAGGTCTATGGTGAGAAAGGAAATATCTTCAAATAAAAACAAGACAGAAGGCATTCTCATAAACTTGTTTGTGATGTGTGAACTCAGCTAACAGAGGTGTATCTTTCCTTTGATAGAGCAGTTCTGAAAAACACGTTTTGTTGAATCTGCAAGTGGACATTTTGATAGATTTGAAGATTTCGTTGCAAACGGGAATATCTTCATATCAAAGCTAGACAGAAGCATTCTCAGAAACGTCTTTGCGATGTTTGCATTCAACTCATAGTGTTGAACATTCCCTTTCAGAGAGCAGCTTTGAGGCACTCTTTTTGTAGTATGTGCAAGTGGATATTTGGAGCGCTCTGAGGCCTACGGTGAAAAAGCAAATATCTTCCCATAACCACTAGACAGAAACATTCTCAGAAACTCCTTTATGACGTATGCACTCACCTAACAGAGAAGAACCTTCCTTTTGACAGAGCAGTTTTGATACACTCTTTTTGTAGAATCTGTAAGTGGATATTTGGATAGCTGTGAAGATTTTGTTGGAAACGGGAATATCTTCCTATAAAATCTAGACAGAAGCATTCTCAGAAACTGCTCTGTGATGTCTGCATTCAAGTCACAGAGTTGAACATTGCCTTTCATAGAGCAGGTTTGAAACGCTCTTTTTGTAGTATATGGAAGTGGACGTTTCGGACGGTTTGAGGCCCATGGTGATAAAGGGAATATCTTCTCTCTACAAGCTAGAAAGAAGCATTCTGTGAAACTTGTTTGTGATGTGTGTACTCAACTAACAGAGTTGAACCTTTCTTTTTACAGAGCAGTTTTGAAACACTCTTTTTGTAGAATCTGCGATGGGATATTTGGATAGATTTCAGGATTTCGTTGGAAAGGGGAATATCTTCATATAAAATCTCGACAGAAGCATTCTCAGAAACTTCTTTGTGATATGTGCATTCAAGTCACAGAGTTGAATATTCCCTTTCACAGAGTAGGTTTGAAACACTCTTTTTGTAGTATCTGGAAGTGGACATTTGGAGCGCCTTGACGCCTACGGTGAAAAGGAAAATATCTTCCCATAAAAACTAGACAGAAGCAATCTCAGAATCTTCTTTGGGATATATGCACGTAGCTAACAGAGTTGAACCTTTCTATTGACAGAGCAGGTTTGAAACAGTCTTTCTGTGGAATCTGCAAGTGGATATTTGGATAGCTTCGAGGATTTCGTTGGAAACAGGATTACGTAGAAAAAGTAGACAGCAGCATCCTCAGAAACTTCCTTGTGATGTGTGCATTCAAGTCACAGAGTTGAACTTTCCCTTTCGTACAGCAGTTTTGAAACACTCTTTCTGTAGTATCTGGAAGTGAACATTAGGAGAGCTTTCAGGTCTATAGTGAGAAAGGATATATCTTCAAATAAAAACTAGACAGAAGCATTCTCATAAACTTGTTTGTGATGTGTGAACTCAGCTAACAGAGGTGGATCTTTCTTTTGATAGAGCAGTTGTGAAAAACACTTTTTGTTGATTATGCAAGTGGACATTTGGATAGATTTGAAGATTTCGTTGGAAACGGGAATATCTTCATATCAAATCTAGACAGAAGCATTCTCAGAAACGTCTTTGTGATGTTTGCATTCAACTCATAGAGTTGAACATTCCGTTTCAGAGAGCAGCTTTGAGGCACTCTTTTTGTAGTATGTGCAAGTGGATATTTGGAGCGCTCTGAGGCCTACGGTGAAAAAGCAAATATCTTCCCATAGCCACTAGACAGAAACATTCTCAGAAACTCCTTTATGACGTATGCACTCAACTAACAGAGAAAAACCTTCCTTTTGACAGAGCAGTTTTGATACACTCTTTTTGTAGAATCTGCAAGTGGATATTTGGATAGCTGTGAAGTTTTCGATGGAAACGGGAATATCTTCCTATAAAATCTAGACAGAAGCATTCTCAGAAACTGCTCTGTGATGTCTGCATTCAAGTCACAGAGTTGAACATTGCCTTTCCTAGAGCAGGTTTGAAATGCTGTTTTTGTAGTATATGGAAGTGGACGTTTCGGACGGTTTGAGGCCCATGGTGATAAAGGGAATATCTTCCCCTACAAGCTAGAAAGAAGCATTCTGTGAAACTTGTTTGTGATGTGTGTACTCAACTAACAGAGTTGAACCTTTCTTTTTACAGAGCAGTTTTGAAACACTCTTTTTGTAGAATCTGCGAGGGGATATTCGGATAGATTTCAGGATTTCGTTGGAAACGGGAATATCTTCATATAAAATCTCGACAGAAGCATTCTCAGAAACTTCTTTGTGATATGTGCATTCAAGTCACAGAGTTGAATATTCCCTTTCACAGAGTAGGTTTAAAACACTCTTTTTGTAGTATCTGGAAGTGGACATTTGGAGCGCCTTGACACCTACGGTGAAAAGGGAAATATCTTCCCATAAAAACTAGACAGAAGCAATCTCAGAATCTTCTTTGGGATATATGCACGCAGCTAACAGAGTTGAACCTTTCTATTGACTGAGCAGATTTGAAACAGTCTTTCTGTGGAATCTGCAAGTGGATATTTGGATAGCTTGGAGGATTTCGTTGGAAACGGGATTACGTATAAAAAGTAGACAGCAGCATCCTCAGAAACTTCTTTGTGATGTGTGCATTCAATTCACAGAGTTGAACATTCCCTTTCATACAGCAGTTTTGAAACACTCTTTCTGTAGTATCTGGAAGTGAACATTAGGACAGCTTTCAGGTCTATGGTGAGAAAGGAAATATCTTCAAATAAAAACTAGACAGAAGCATTCTCATAAACTTGTTTGTGATGTGTGAACTCAGCTTACAGAGGTGGATCTTTCTTTTGATAGAGCAGTTCTGAAAAACTCTTTTGTTGAATCTGCAAGTGGACATTTGGATAGATTTGAAGATTTCGTTGGAAACGGGAATATCTTCATATCAAATCTAGACAGAAGCATTCTCGGAAACGTCTTTGTGATGTTTGCATTCAACTCATAGAATTGAACATTCCGTTTCAGAGAGCAGCTTTGAGGCACTCATTTTGTAGTATGTGCAAGTGGATATTTGGAGCGCTCTGAGGCCTTCGGTGAAAAAGCAAATATCTTCCCATAACCACTAGACAGAAACTTTCTCAGAAACTCCTTTATGACGTATGCACTCACCTAACAGAGAAGAACCTTCCTTTTGACAGAGCAGTTTTGATACACTCTTTTTGTAGAATCTGCAAGTGGATATTTGGATAGCTGTGAAGATTTCGTTGGAAACGGGAATATCTTCCTATAAAATCTAGACAGAAGCATTCTCAGAAACTGCTCTGTGATGTCTGCATTCAAGTCACAGAGTTGAACATTCCCTTTCCTAGAGCAGGTTTGAAACGCTCTTCTTGTAGTATATGGAAGTGGACGTTTCGGATGGTTTGAGGCCCATGGTGATAAAGGGAATATCTTCCCCTACAAGCTAGAAAGAAACATTCTCAGAAACTCCTTTATGACGTATGCACTCACCTAACAGAGAAGAACCTTCCTTTTGACAGAGCAGTTTTGATACACTCTTTTTGTAGAATCTGCAAGTGGATATTTGGATAGCTGTGAAGATTTTGTTGGAAACGGGAATATCTTCCTATAAAATCTCGACAGAAGCATTCTCAGAAACTTCTTTGTGATATCTGCCTTTAAGTCACAGAGTTGAATATTCCCTTTCACAGAGTAGGTTTGAAACACTCTTTTTGTAGTATCTGGAAGTGGACATTTGGAGCTCCTTGACACCTACGGTGAAAAGGGAAATATCTTCCCATAAAAACTAGACAGAAGCAATCTCAGAATCTTCTTTGGGATATATGCACGCAGCTATCAGAGTTGAACCTTTCTATTGACAGAGCAGTTTTGAAACAGTCTTTCTGTGGAATCTGCAAGTGGATATTTGGATAGCTTGGAGGATTTCGTTGGAAAAGGGATTATGTATAAAAAGTAGACAGCAGCATCCTCAGAAACTTCTTTGTGATGTGTGCATTGAAGTCACAGAGTTGAACATTCCCTTTCGTACAGCAGTTTTGAAACACTCTTTCTGTAGTACCTGGAAGTGAACATTAGGACAGCTTTCAGGTCTATGGTGAGAAAGGAAATATCTTCAAATAAAAACTAGACAGAAGCATTCTCATAAACTTGTTCGTGATGTGTGAACTCAGCTAACACACGTGGATCTTTCTTTTGATAGAGCAGTTCTGAAAAACACTTTTTGTTGAATCTGCAAGTGGACATTTGGATAGATTTGAAGATTTCGTTGCAAACGGGAATATCTTCATATCAAATCTAGACAGAAGCATTCTCAGAAACGTCTTTGTGATGTTTGCATTCAACTCATAGATTTGAACATTCCGTTTCAGAGAGCAGCTTTGAAGCACTCTTTTTGTAGTATGTGCAAGGGGATATTTGGAGCGCTCTGAGGCCTATGGTGAAAAAGCAAATATCTTCCCATAACCACTAGACAGAAACATTCTCAGAAACTCCTTTATGACGTATGCACTCACCTAACAGAAAAGAACCTTCCTTTTGACAGAGCAGTTTTGATACACTCTTTTTGTAGAATCTGCAAGTGGATATTTGGATAGCTGTGAAGATTTCGTAGGAAACGGGAATATCTTCCTATAAAATCTAGACAGAAGCATTCTCAGAAACTGCTCTGAGATGTCTGCATTCAAGTCACAGAGTTGAACATTGCCTTTCCTAGAGCAGGTTTGAAACGCTCTTTTTGTAGTATATGGAAGTGGACGTTTCGGACGGTTTGAGGCCCATGGTGATAAAGGGAATATCTTCCCCTACAAGCTAGAAATAAGCATTCTGTGAAACTTGTTTGTGATGTGTGTACACAACTAACAGAGTTGAACCTTTCTTTTTACAGAGCAGTTTTGAAACACTCTTTTTGTAGAATCTGCGAGGGGATATTTGGATAGATTTCAGGATTTCGTTGGAAACGGGACTATCTTCATATAAAATCTCGACAGAAGCATTCTCAGGAACTTCTTTGTGATATCTGCACTCAAGTCACAGAGTTGAATATTCCCTTTCACAGAGTAGGTTTGAAACACTCTTTTTGTAGTATCTGGAAGTGGACATTTGTAGCTCCTTGACACCTACGGTGAAAAGGGAAATATCTTCCCATAAAAACTAGACAGAAGCAATCTCAGAATCTTCTTTGGGATATATGCACGCAGCTAACAGAGTTGAACCTTTCTATTGACAGAGCAGTTTTGTAACAGTCTTTCTGTGGAATCTGCAAGTGGATATTTGGATAGCTTGGAGGATTTCGTTGGAAACGGGATTACGTATAAAAAGTAGACAGCAGCATCCTCAAAAACTTCTTTGTGATGTGTGCATTCAAGTCACAGAGTTGAACATTCCCTTTCGTACAGCAGTTTTGAAACACTCTTTCTGTAGTAACTGGAAGTGAACATTAGGACAGCTTTCAGGTCTATGGTGAGAAAGGAAATATCTTCAAATAAAAACTAGACAGAAGCATTCTCATAATCTTGTTTGTGATGTGTGAACTCAGCTAACACACGTGGATCTTTCTTTTGATACAGCAGTTTTGAAAAACACTTTTTGTTGAATCTGCAAGTGGACATTTGGATAGATATGAAGATTTCGTTGGAAACGGGAATATCTTCATATCAAATCTAGACAGAAAGCATTCTCAGAAACGTCTTTGTGATGTTTGCATTCAACCCATAGAGTTGAACATTCCGTTTCAGAGAGCAGCTTTGAGGCACTCTTTTTGTAGTATGTGCAAGTGGATATTTGGTGCGCTGTGAGGCCTACGGTGAAAAAGCAAATATCTTCCCAAAACCACTAGACAGAAACATTCTCAGAAACTCCGTTATCACGTATGCACTCACCTAACAGAGAAGAACCTTCCTTTTGACTGAGCAGTTTTGATACACTCTTTTTGCAGAATCTGCAAGTGGATATTTGGATAGCTGTGAAGATTTCGTTGGAAACGGGAATATCTTCCTATAAAATCTAGACAGAAGCATTCTCAGAAACTGCTCTGTGATGTCTGCATTCAAGTCACAGAGTTGAACATTGCCTTTCATAGAGCAGGTTTGAAACGCTCTTTTTGTACTATATGGAAGTGGATGTTTCGGACGGTTGGAGGCCCATGGTGATAAAGGGAATATCTTCCCCTACAAGCTAGAAAGAAGCATTCTGTGAAACTTGTTTGTGATGTGTGTACTCAACTAACAGAGTTGAACCTTTCTTTTTACAGAGCAGTTTTGAAACACTCTTTTTGTAGAATCTGCGAGGGGATATTTGGATAGATTTCAGGATTTCGTTGGAAACTTGAATATCTTCATATAAAATCTCGACAGAAGCATTCTCAGAAACTTCTTTGTGATATGTGCATTAAAGTCACAGAGTTGAATATTCCCTTTCACAGAGTAGGTTTGAAACACTCTTTTTGTAGTATCTGGAAGTGGACATTTGGAGCGCCTTGACGCCTACGGTGAAAAGGGAAATATCTTCCCATAAAAACTAGACAGAAGCAATCTCAGAATCTTCTTTGGGATATATGCACGCAGCTAACAGAGTTGAACCTTTCTATTGACAGAGCAGTTTTGAAACAGTCTTTCTGTGGAATCTGCAAGTGGATATTTGGATAGCTTCGAGGATTTCGTTGGAAACGGGATTACGCATAAAAAGTAGACAGCAGCATCCTCAGAAACTTATTTGTGAGGTGTGCATTCAAGTCACAGAGTTGAACATTCCCTTTCGTACAGCAGTTTTGAAACACTGTTTCTGTAGTATCTGGAAGTCAACATTAGGACAGCTTTCAGGTCTATGGTGAGAAAGGAAATATCTTCAAATAAAAACTAGACAGAAGCATTCTCATAAACTTGTTTGTGATGTCTGAACTCAGCTAACAGAGGTGGATCTTTCTTTTGATAGAGCAGTTCTGAAAAACACTTTTTGTTGAATCTGCAAGTGGACATTTGGATAGATTTGAAGATTTCGTTGGAAACGGGAAGATCTTCATATCAAATCTAGACAGAAGCGTTCTCAGATACGACTTTGTGATGTTTGCATTCAACTCATAGAGGTGAACACTCCCTTTAAGAGAGCAGCTTTGAAGAACTCTTTTTGTAGTATGTGGAAGTGGACATTTGGAGCGCTATGAGGCCTATGGTGAAAAAGCAAATATCTTCCCATAAACACTAGACAGAAACATTCTCAGAAACTCCTTTATGACGTATGCACTCACCTAACAGAAAAGAACCTTCCTTTTGACAGAGCAGTTTTGATACACTCTTTTTGTAGAATCTGCAAGTGGATATTTGGATAGCTGTGAAGATTTCGTTGGAAACGTGAATATCTTCCTATAAAATCTAGACAGAAGCATTCTCAGAAACTGCTCTGTGATGTCTGCATTCACGTCACAGAGTTGAACATTGCCTTTCATAGAGCAGGTTTGAAACACTCTTTTTGTAGTATATGGAAGTGGACGTTTCGGACGGTTTGAGGCCCATGGTGATAAAGGGAATATCTTCCCCTACAAGCTAGAAAGAAGCATTCTGTGAAACTTGTTTGTGATGTGTGTACTCAACTAACAGAGTTGAACCTTTCTATTTACAGAGCAGTTTTGAAACACTCTTTTTGTAGAATCTGCGAGGGGATATTTGGATAGATTTCAGGATTTCGTTGGAAACGGGAATATCTTCATATAAAATCTCGACAGAAGCATTCTCAGAAACTTCATTGTGATATGTGCATTCAAGTCACAGAGTTGAATATTCCCTTTTACAGAGTAGGTTTGAAACACTCTTTTTGTAGTATCTGGAAGTGGACATTTGGAGCGCTTTGACGCCTACGGTGAAAAGGGAAATATCTTCTCATAAAAACTAGACAGAAGCAATCTCAGAATCTTCTTTGGGATATATGCACGCAGCTAACAGAGTTGAACCTTTCTATTGACAGAGCAGTTTTGAAACAGTCTTTCTGTGGAATCTGCAAGTGGATATTTGGATAGATTGGAGGATTTCTTTGGAAACGGGATTACGTATAAAAAGTAGACAGCAGCATCCTCAGAAACTTCTTTGTGATGTGTGCATTCAAGTCACAGAGTTGAACATTCCCTTTCGTACAGCAGTTTTGAAACACTCTTTCTGTAGTATCTGGAAGTGAACGTTAGGACAGCTTTCAGGTCTATGGTGAGAAAGGAAATATCTTCAAATAAAAACTAGACAGAAGCATTCTCATAAACTTGTTTGTGATGTGTGAACTCAGCTAACAGACGTGGATCTTTCTTTTGATACAGCAGTTTTGAAAAACACTTTTTGTTGAATCTGCAAGTGGACATTTGGATATATTTGAAGATTTCGTTGGAAACGGGAATATCTTCATATCAAATCTAGACAGAAGCATTCTCAGAAACGTCTTTGTCATGTTTGCATTCAACTCATAGAGTTGAACATTCCCTTTCAGAGAGCAGCTTTGAAACACTCTTTTTGTCGTATGTGCAAGTGGATATTTGGAGCGCTCTGAGGCCTACGGTGAAAAAACAAATATCTTCCCATAACCACTAGACAGAAACATTCTCAGAAACTCCTTTATGACGTATGCACTCACCTAACAGAGAAGAACCTTCCTTTTGACAGAGCAGTTTTGATACACTCTTTTTGTAGAATCTGCAAGTGGATATTTGGATAGCTGTGAAGATTTCGTTGGAAACGGGAATATCTTCCTATAAAATGTAGACAGAAGCATTCTCAGAAACTGCTCTGTGATGTCTGCATTCAAGTCACAGAGTTGAACATTGCCTTTCATAGAGCAGGTTTGAAACGCTCTTTTTGTAGCATATGGAAGTGGACGTTTCGGACGGTTTGAGGCCCATGGTGATAAAGGGAATATCTTCCCCTACAAGCTAGAAAGAAGCATTCTGTGAAACTTGTTTGTGATGTGTGTACTCAACTAACAGAGTTGAACCTTTCTTTTTACAGAGCAGTTTTGAAACACTCTTTTTGTAGAATCTGCGAGGGGATATTTGGATAGATTTCAGGATTTCGTTGGAAACGGGCATATCTTCATATAAAATCTCGACAGAAGCATTCTCAGAAACTTCTTTGTGATATGTGCATTCAAGTCACAGAGTTGAATATTCCCTTTGACAGAGTAGGTTTGAAACACTCTTTTTGTAGTATCTGGAAGTGGACATTTGGAGCGCCTTGACACCTACGGTGAAAAGGGAAATATCTTCCCATAAAAACTAGACAGAAGCAATCTCAGAAACTTCTTTGGGATATATGCACGCAGCTAACAGAGTTGAACCTTTCTATTGACAGAGCAGTTTTGAAACAGTCTTTCTGTGGAATCTGCAAGTGGATATTTGGATAGCTTGGAGGATTTCGTTGGAAACGGGATTACGTATAAAAAGTAGACAGCAGCATCCTCAGAAACTTCTTTGTGATGTGTGCATTCAAGTCACAGAGTTGAATATTCCCTTTCACAGAGTAGGTTTGAAACACTCTTTTTGTAGTATCTGGAAGTGGACATTTGGAGCGCCTTGACGCCTACGGTGAAAAGGGAAATATCTTCCCATAAAAACTAGACAGAAGCATTCTCATAAACTTGTTTGTGATGTGTGAACTCAGCTAACAGAGGTGGATCTTTCTTTTGATAGAGCAGTTCTGAAAAACACTTTTTCTTGAATCTGCAAGTGGACATTTGGATAGATTTGAAGATTTCGTTGGAAACGGGAATATCTTCATATCAAATCTAGACAGAAGCATTCTCGGAAACGTCTTTGTCATGTTTGCATTCAACTCATGGAGTTGAACATTCCGTTTCAGAGAGCAGCTTTGAAGCACTCTTTTTGTAGTATGTGCAAGGGGATATTTGGAGCGCTCTGAGGCCTAAGGTGAAAAAGCAAATATCTTCCCATAACCACTAAACAGAAACAATCTCAGAAACTTCTTTATGACGTATGTACTCAACTAGCAGAGAAGAACTTTCCTTTTGACAGAGCATTTTTGATACACTCTTTTTGTAGTATCTGTAAGTGGATATTTGGATAGCTGTGAAGATTTCGTTGGAAACGGGAATATCTTCCTATAAAGTCTGGACAGAAGCATTCTCAGAAACTGCTCTGTGATGTCTGCATTCAACTCACAGAGTTGAACATTGCCTTTCATGGAGCAGGTTTGAAATGCTCTTTTTGTAGTATATGGAAGTGGACGTTTCAGACGGTTTGAGGCCCATGGTGATAAAGGGAATATCTTCCCCTACAAGCTAGAAAGAAGCATTCTGTGAAACTTGTTTGTGATGTGTGTACTGAACTAACAGAGTTGAACCTTTCTTTTTACAGAGCAGTTTTGAAACACTCTTTTTGTAGAATCTGCGAGGGGATATTTGGATAGATTTCAGGATTTCGTTGGAAACGGGAATATCTTCACATAAAATCTCGACAGAGGCATTCTCAGAAGCTTCTTTGTGATATGTGCATTCAAGTCACAGAGTTGAATATTCCCTTTCACAGAGTAGGTTTGAAACACTCTTTTTCTAGTATCTGGAAGTGGACATTTGGAGCGCCTTGACACCTACGGTGAAAAGGGAAATATCTTCTCATAAAAAGTAGACAGAAGCAATCTCAGAATCTTCTTTGGGATATATGCACGCAGCTAACAGAGTTGAACCTTTCTATTGACAGAGCAGTTTTGAAAGAGTCTTTCTGTGGAATCTGCAAGTGGATATTTGGATAGCTTGGAGGATTTCGTTGGAAACGGGATTACGTATAATAAGTAGACAGCAGCATCCTCCGAAACTTCTTTGTGATGTGTGCATTCAAGTCACAGAGTTGAACATTCCCTTTCGTACAGCAGTTTTGAAACACTCTTTCTGTAGTATCTGGAAGTGAACATTAGGACAGCTTTCAGCTCTATGGTGAGAAAGGAAATATCTTCAAATAAAAACTAGAGAGAAGCATTCTCATAAACTTGTTTGTGATGTCTGAACTCAGCTAACAGACGTGGATCTTTCTTTTGATAGAGCAGTTCTGAAAAACACGTTTTGTTGAATCTGCAAGTGGACATTTGGATAGATTTGAAGATTTCGTTGGAAACGGGAATATCTTCATATCAAATCTAGACAGAAGCATTCTCAGAAACGTCTTTGTGATGTTTGCATTCAACTCATAGAGTTGAACATTCCGTTTCAGAGAGCAGCTTTGAAGCACTCTTTTTGTAGCATGTGCAAGTGGATATTTGGAGCGCTCTGAGGCCTACGGTGAAAAAGCAAATATCTTCCCATAACCACTAGACAGAAACATTCTCAGAAACTCCTTTATGACGTGTGCACTCACCTAACAGAGAAGAACCTTCCTTTTTACAGAGCAGTTTTGATACACTCTTTTTGTAGAATCTGCAAGTGGATATTGGGATAGCTGTGAAGATTTCGTTGGAAACGGTAATATCTTCCTATAAAATCTAGACAGAAGCATTCTCAGAAACTGCTCTGTGATGTCTGCATTCAAGTCACAGAGTTGAACATTGCCTTTCATAGAGCAGGTTTGAAACGCTCTTTTTGTAGTATATGGAAGTGGATGTTTCGGACGGTTGGAGGCCCATGGTGATAAAGGGAATATCTTCCCCTCCAAGCTAGAAAGAAGCATTGTGTGAAACTTGTTTGTGATGTGTGTACTCAACTAACAGAGTTGAACCTTTCTTTTTACAGAGCAGTTTTGAAACACTCTTTTTGTAGAATCTGCGAGGGGATATTTGGATAGATTTCAGGATTTCGTTGGAAACGGGAATATCTTCATATAAAATCTCGACAGAAGCATTCTCAGAAACTTCTTTGTGATATGTGCATTCAAGTCACAGAGTTGAATATTCCCTTTCACAGAGTAGGTTTGAAACACTCTTTTTGTAGTATCTGGAAGTGGACATTTGGAGCGCCATGACACCTACAGTGAAAAGGGAAATATCTTCCCATAAAAACTAGACAGAAGTAATCTCAGAATCTTCTTTGGGATATATGCACGCAGCTAACAGAGTTGAACCTTTCTATTGACAGAGCAGTTTTGAAACAGTCTTTCTGTGGAATCTGCAAGTGGATATTTGGATAGCTTGGAGGATTTCGTTGGAAACGGGATTACGTATAAAAAGTAGACAGCAGCATCCTCAGAAACTTCTTTGTGATGTGTGCATTCAAGTCACAGAGTTGAACATTCCCTTTCGTACAGCAGTTTTGAAACACTCTTTCTGTAGTATCTGGAAGTGAACATTAGGACAGCTTTCAGGTCTATGGTGAGAAAGGAAATATCTTCAAATAAAAACTAGACACAAGAATTCTGATAAACTTGTTTGTGAAGTGTGAACTCCGCTAACAGAGTTTGATCTTTCTTTTGATACAGCAGTTTTGAAAAACACTTTGTTGAATCTGCAAGTGGACATTTGGATAAATTTGAAGATTTCGTTGGAAACGGGAATATCTTCATATCAAATGTAGACAGAAACATTCTCAGAAACGTCTTTGTGATGTTTGCATTCAACTCATAGAGTTGAACATTCACTTTCAGAGAGCAGCTTTAAAGCACTCTTTTTGTAGTATGTGCAAGTGGATATTTGGAGCGCTCTGAGGCCTACGGGGAAAAAGCAAATATCTTCCCATAACCACTAGACAGAAACATTCTCAGAAACTCCTTTATGACGTATGTACTCAACTAACAGAGAAGAACCTTCCTTTTGACAGAGCAGTTTTGATACACTCTTTTTGTAGAATCTGCAAGTGGATATTTGGATAGCTGTGAAGATTTCGTTGGAAATGGGAATATCTTCCTATAAAATCTAGACAGAAGCATTCTCAGAAACTGCTCTGTGATGTCTGCATTCAAGTCACAGAGTTGAACATTGCCTTTCATAGAGCAGGTTTGAAACGCTCTTTTTGTAGTATATGGAAGTAGACGTTTCGGACGGTTTGAGGCCCATGGTGATAAAGGGAATATCTGCCCCTACAAGCTAGAAAGAAGCATTCTGTGAAACTTGTTTGTGATGTGTGTACTCAACTAACAGAGTTGAACCTTTCTTTTTACAGAGCAGTTTTGAAACACTCTTTTTGTAGAATCTGCGAGGGGATATTTGGATAGATTTCAGGATTTCGTTGGAAACGCGAATATCTTCATCGAAAATCTCGACAGAAGCATTCTCAGAAACTTCCTTGTGATATGTGCATTCAAGTCACAGAGTTGAATATTCCCTTTCACAGAGTAGGTTTGAAACACTCTTTTTGTAGTATCTGGAAGTGGACATTTGGAGCGCCTTGACGCCTACGGTGAAAAGGAAAATATCTTCCCATAAAAACTAGACAGAAGCAATCTCAGAATCTTCTTTGGGATATATGCACACAGCTAACAGAGTTGAACCTTTCTATTGACAGAGCAGTTTTGAAACAGTCTTTCTGTGGAATCTGCAAGTGGATATTTGGATAGATTGGAGGATTTCGTTGGAAACGGGATTACGTATAAAAAGTAGACAGCAGCATCCTCAGAAACTTCCTTGTGATTTGTGCATTCCAGTCACAGAGTTGAACTTTCCCTTTCGTACAGTAGTTTTGAAACACTCTTTCTGTAGTATCTGGAAGTGAACATTAGGAGAGCTTTCAGGTCTATAGTGAGAAAGGATATATCTTCAAATAAAAATTAGACAGAAGAATACTGATAAACTTGTTTGTGAAGTGTGAACTCAGCTAACACAGGTGGATCTTTCTTTTGATACAGCAGTTTTGAAAAACACTTTGTTGAATCTGCAAGTGGACATTTGTATAGATTTGAAGATTTCGTTGGAAACGGGAATATCTTCATATCAAATCTAGACAGAAGCAGTCTCAGAAACGTCTTTGTGATGTTTGCATTCAACTCATAGAGTTGAACATTCCCTTCCAGAGAGTAGCTTTGAAGCACTCTTTTTGTAGCATGTGCAAGTGGACATTTGGAGCGCCCTGAGGCCTACGGGGAAAAAGCAAATATCTTCCCATAACCACTAGACAGAAACATTCTCAGAAACTCCTTTATGATGTATGCACTCAACTAACAGAAAAGAACCTTCCTTTTGACAGAGCAGTTTTGATACACTCTTTTTGTAGAATCTGCAAGTGGATATTTGGGTAGCTGTGAAGATTTCGTTGGAAACGGGAATATCTTCCTATAAAATCTAGACAGAAGCATTCTCAGAAACCGCTCTGTGATGTCTGCATTCAAGTCACAGAGTTGAACATTGCCTTTCATAGAGCAGGTTTGAAACGCTCTTTTTGTAGTATATGGAAGTGGACGTTTCGGACGGTTTGAGGCCCATGGTGATAAAGGGAATATCTTCCCCTACAAGCTAGAAAGAAGCATTCTGTGAAACTTGTTTGTGATGTGTGTACTCAACTAACAGAGTTGAACCTTTCTTTTTACAGAGCAGTTTTGAAACACTCTTTCTGTAGAATCTGCGAGGGGATATTTGGATACATTTCAGGATTTCGTTGGAAACGGGAATATCTTCATATAAAATCTCGACAGAAGCATTCTCAGAAACTTCATTGTGATATCTGCATTCAAGTCACAGAGCGGAATATTCCCTTTCACAGAGTAGGTTTCAAACACTCTTTTTGTAGTATCTGGAAGTGGACATTTGGAGCGCATTGACACCTACGGTGAAAAGGGAAATATCTTCCCGTAAAAACTAGACAGAAGCAATCTCAGAATCTTCTTTGGGATATATGCACGCAGCTAACAGAGTTGAACCTTTCTATTGACTGAGCAGATTTGAAACAGTCTTTCTGTGGAATCTGCAAGTGGATATTTGGATAGATTGGAGGATTTCGTTGGAAACGGGATTACGTATCAAAAGTAGACAGCAGCATCCTCAGAAACTTCTTTGTGATGTGTGCATTCAAGTCACAGAGTTGAACATTCCCTTTCCTACAGCAGTTTTGAAACACTCTTTCTGTAGTATCTGGAAGTGAACATTAGGACAGCTTTCAGCTCTATGGTGAGAAAGGAAATATCTTCAAATAAAAACTAGACAGAAGCATTCTCAGAAACTTGTTTGTGATGTGTGAACTCAGCTAACAGAGGTGGATCTTTCTTTTGATAGAGCAGTTCTGAAAAACACTTTTTGTTGAATCTGCAAGTGGGCATTTGGATAGATTTGAAGATTTCGTTGGAAACGGGAATATCTTCATATCAAATCTAGACAGAAGCATTCTCAGAAACGTCTTTGTGATGTTTGCATTCAACTTATAGAGTTGAACATTCCGTTTCAGAGAGCAGGTTTGAAGCACTCTTTTTGTAGTATGTGCAAGTGGATATTTGGAGCGATCTGAGGCCTACGGTGAAAAAGCAAATATCTTCCCATAACCACTAGACAGAAACATTCTCAGAAACTTCTTTATGATGTATGTACTCAAGTAGCAGAGAAGAACTTTCCTTTTGACAGAGCACTTTGGATACACACTTTTTGTAGTATCTGCAAGTGGATATGTGGATAGCTGTGAAGATTTCGTTGGAAACGGGAATATCTTCCTATAAAGTCTGGACAGAAGCATTCTCAGAAACTGCTCTGTGATGTCTGGATTCAAGTCACAGAGTTGAACATTGCCTTTCATAGAGCAGGTTTCAAACACTCTTTTTTTAGTATATGGAAGTGGACGATTCGGACGGTTTGAGGACCATGGTGATAAAGGAAATATCTTCCCCTACAAGCTAGAAAGAAGCATTCTGTGAAACTTGTTTGTGATGTGTGTACTCAAGTAACAGAGTTGAACCTTTCTTTTTACAGAGCAGTTTTGAAACACTCTTTTTGTAGAATCTGCGAGGGGATATTTGGATACATTTCAGGATTTCGTTGGAAACGGGAATATCTTCATATAAAATCTCGACAGAAGCATTCTCAGAAACTTCTTTGTGATATGTGCATTCAAGTCACAGAGTTGAATATTCCCTTTCACAGAGTAGGTTTGAAACACTCTTTTTGTAGTATCTGGAAGTGGACATTTGGAGCGCCTTGACACCTACGGTGAAAAGGGAAATAACTTCTCATAAAAAGTAGACAGAAGCAATCTCAGAATCTTCTTTGGGATATATGCACGCAGCTAACAGAGTTGAGCCTTTCTATTGACAGAGCAGTTTTGAAACAGTCTTTCTGTGGAATCTGCAAGTGGATATTTAGATAGCTTGGAGGATTTCATTGGAAACGGGATTACGTATAAAAAGTAGACAGCAGCATCCTCAGAAACTTCTTTGTGATGTGTGCATTCAAGTCACAGAGTTGAACATTCCCTTTCATACAGCAGTTTTGAAACACTGTTTCTGTAGTATCTGGAAGTGAACATTAGGACAGCTTTCAGGTCTATGGTGAGAAAGGAAATATCTTCAAATAAAAACTAGACAGAAGCATTCTCATAAACTTGTTCGTGATGCGTGAACTCAGCTAACACACGTGGATCTTTCTTTTGATAGAGCAGTTCTGAAAAACACTTTTTGTTGAATATGCAAGAGGACATTTGGATAGATTTGAAGATTTCGTTGGAAACGGGAATATCTTCATATCAAATCTAGACAGAAGCATTCTCAGAAACGTCTTTGTGATGTTAGCATTCAACTCATAGAGTTGAACATTCCCTTTCAGAGAGCAGCTTTGAAGCACTCTTTTTGTAGTATGTGCAAGTGGATATATGGAGCCCTCTGAGGCCTATGGTGAAAAAGCAAATATCTTCCCATAACCACTAGACAGAAACATTCTCAGAAACTCCTTTATGACGTATGCACTCACCTAACAGAGAAGAACCTTCCTTTTGACAGAGCAGTTTTGATACACTCTTTTTGTAGAATCTGCAAGTGGATATTTGGATAGCTGTGAAGATTTCGTTGGAAACGGGAAATTCTTCCTATAAAATCTAGACAGAAGCATTCTCAGAAACTGCTCTGTGATGTCTGCATTCAAGTCACAGAGTTGAACATTGCCTTTCCTAGAGCAGGTTTGAAACGCTCTTTTTGTACTATATGGAAGTGGACGTTTCGGACGGTTTGAGGCCCATGGTGATAAAGGGAATATCTTCCCCTACAAGCTAGAAAGAAGCATTCTGTGAAACTTGTTTGTGATGTGTGTACTGAAGTAACAGAGTTGAACCTTTCTTTTTACAGAGCAGTTTTGAAACACTCTTTTTGTAGAATCTGCGAGGGGATATTTGGATAGATTTCAGGATTTCGTTGGAAACGGGAATATCTTCATATAAAATCTCGACAGAAGCATTCTCAGAAACTTCTTTGTGATATGTGCATTCAAGTCACAGAGTTGAATATTCCCTTTCACAGAGTAGGTTTGAAACACTCTTTTTGTAGTATCTGGAAGTGGACATTTGTAGCGCCTTGACGCCTACGGTGAAAAGGGAAATATCTCCCCATAAAAACTAGACAGAAGCAATCTCAGAATCTTCTTTGGGATATATGCACGCAGCTAACAGAGTTGAACCTTTCTATTGACAGAGCAGTTTTGAAACAGTCTTTCTGTGGAATCTGGAAGTGGATATTTGGATAGCTTGGAGGATTTCGTTGGAAACGGGATTATGTATAAAAAGTAGACAGCAGCATCCTCAGAAACTTCTTTGTGATGTGTGCATTCAAGTCACAGAGTTGAACATTCCCTTTCGTACAGCAGTTTTGAAACACTCTTTCTGTAGTATCTGGAAGTGAACATTAGGACAGCTTTCGGGTCTATGGTGAGAAAGGCAATATCTTCAAATAAAAACTAGACAGAAGCATTCTCATAAACTTGTTTGTGATGTGTGAACTCAGCTAACAGAGGTGGATCTTTCTTTTGATAGAGCAGTTCTGAAAAACACTTTTTGTTGAATCTGCAAGTGGACATTTGGATAGATTTGAAGATTTCGTTGGAAACGGGAATATCTTCATATAAAATCTAGACAGAAGCATTCTCAGAAACGTCTTTGTCCTGTTTGCATTCAACTCATAGAGTTGAACATTCCCTTTCAGAGAGCAGCTTTGAAACACTCTTTTTGTAGTATGTGCAAGTGGATATTTGGAGCGCTCTGAGGCCTACGGTGAAAAAGAAAATATCTTCCCATAACCACTAGACAGAAACATTCTCAGAAACTCCTTTATGACGTATGTACTCAACTAACAGAGAAGAACCTTCCTTTAGACAGAGCAGTTTTGATACACTCTTTTTGTAGAATCTGCAAGTGGATATTTGGATAGCTGTGAAGATTTCGTTGGATACGGGAATATCTTCCTATAAAATCTAGACAGAAGCATTCTCAGAAACTGCTCTGTGATGTCTGCATTCAAGTCACAGAGTTGAACATTGCCTTTCATAGAGCAGGTTTGAAACGCTCTTTTTGTAGTATATGGAAGTGGACTTTTCGGAAGGTTTGAGGCCCATGGTGATAAAGGGAATATCTTCCCCTACAAGCTAGAAAGAAGCATTCTGTGAAACTTGTTTGTGATGTGTGTACTCAACTAACAGAGTTGAACCTTTCTTTTTACAGAGCAGTTTTGAAACACTCTTTTTGTAGAATCTGCGAGGGGATATTTTGATAGATTTCAGGGTTTCGTTGGAAACGGGAATATCTTCATATAAAATCTCGACAGAAGCATTCTCAGAAACTTCTTTGTGATATCTGCATTCCAGGCACAGAGTTGAATATTCCCTTTCACAGAGTAGGTTTGAAACACTCTTTTTGCAGTATCTGGAAGTGGACATTTGGAGCGCCTTGACGCCTACGGTGAAAAGGGAAATATCTTCCCATCAAAACTAGACAGAAGCAATCTCAGAATCTTCTTTGGGATATATGCGCGCAGCTAGCAGAGTTGATCCTTTCTATTGGCAGAGTAGTTTTGAAACAGTCTTTCTGTGGAATCTGCAAGTGGATATTTGGATAGCTTGGAGGATTTCGTTGGAAACGGGATTACGTATAAAAATTAGACAGCAGCATCCTCAGAAACTTCTTTGTGATGTGTGCATTCAAGTCACAGAGTTGAACATTCCCTTTCGTACAGCAGTTTTGAAACACTCTTTCTGTAGTATCTGGAAGTGAACATTAGGACAGCTTTCAGGTCTATGGTGAGAAAGGTAATATCTTCAAATAAAAACTAGACAGAAGCATTCTCATAAACTTGTTTGTGATGTGTGAACTCAGCTAACAGATGTGGATCTTTCTTTTGATAGAGCAGTTCGGAAAAACACTTTTTGTTGAATCTGCAAGTGGACATTTGGATAGATTTGAAGATTTCGTTGGAAACGGGAATATCTTCATATCAAATCTAGACAGAAGCATTCCCAGATACGTCTTTGTGATGTTTGCATTCAACTCATAGATTTGAACATTCCGTTTCAGGGAGCAGCTTTGAAACACTCTTTTTGTAGTATGTGCAAAAGGATATTTGGAGCACTCTGAGGCGTAAGGTGAAAAAGCAAATATCTTCCCATAACCACTAGACAGAAACATTCTCAGAAACTCCTTTATGACGTATGCACTCACCTAACAGAGAAGAACCTTCCTTTTGACAGAGCAGTTTTGATACACTGTTTTTGTAGAATCTGCAAGTGGATATTTGGATAGCTGTGAAGATTTCGTTGGAAACGGGAATATCTTCCTATAAAATCTAGACAGAAGCATTCTCAGAAACTGCTCTGTGATGGCTGCATTCAAGTCACAGAGTTGAACATTGCCTTTCATAGAGCAGGTTTGAAATGCTCTTTTTGTAGTATATGGAAGTGGACTTTTCGGACGGTTTGAGGCCCATGGTGATAAAGGGAATATCTTCCCCTACAAGCTAGAAAGAAGCATTCTGTGAAACTTGTTTGTGATGTGTTTACTCAACTAACAGAGTTGAACCTTTCTTTTTACAGAGCAGTTTTGAAACACTCTTTTTGTAGAATCTGCGAGGGGATATTTGGATAGATTTCAGGATTTCGTTGGAAAGGGGAATATCTTCATATAAAATCTCGACAGAAGCATTCTCAGAAACTTCTTTGTGATATGTGCATTCAAGTCACAGAGTTGAATATTCGCTTTCACAGAGTATGTTTGAAACACTCTTTTTGTAGTATCTGGAAGTGGACATTTGGAGCGCCTTGACGCCTACGGTGAAAAGGGAAATATCTTCCCATAAAAACTAGACAGAAGCAATCTCAGAATCTTCTTTGGGATATATGTACGCAGCTAATAGAGTTGAACCTTTCTATTGACAGAGCAGTTTTGAAACAGTCTTTCTGTGGAATCTGCAAGTGGATATTTGGATAGCTTGGGGGATTTCGTTGGAAACGGGATTACGTATAAAAAGTAGACAGCAGCATCCTCAGAAACATCCTTGTGATGTGTGCATTCAAGTCACAGAGTTGAACATTCCCTTTCGTACAGCAGTTTTGAAACACTCTTTCTGTAGTATCTGGAAGTGAACTTTAGGACAGATTTCAGGTCTATAGTGAGAAAGGATATATCTTCAAATAAAAACTAGACAGAAGCATTCTCATAAATTGTTTGTGATGTGTGAACTCAGCTAACAGAGGTGGATCTTTCTTTTGATAGAGCAGTTCTGAAAAACACTTTTTGTTGAATCTGCAAGTGGACATTTGGATAGATTTGAAGATTTCGTTGGAAACGGGAATATCTTCATATCAAATCTAGACAGAAGCATTCTCAGAAACGTCTTTGTGATGTTTGCATTCAACTCATAGAGTTGAACATTCCGTTTCAGAGACCAGATTTGAAGCACTCTTTTTGTAGTATGTGCAAGTGGATATTTGGAGCGCTCTGAGGCCTACGGTGAAAAAGCAAATATCTTCCCATAACCACTAGACAGAAACATTCTCAGAAACTCCTTTATGACGTATGCATTCACCTAACAGAGAAGAACCTTCCTTTTGACAGAGCAGTTTTGATACACTCTTTTTGTAGAATCTGCAAGTGGATATTTGGATAGCTGTGAAGATTTCGTTGGAAACGGGAATATCTTCCTATAAAATCTAGAGAGAAGCATTCTCAGAAACTGCTCTGTGATGTCTGCATTCAAGTCACAGAGTTGAACATTGCCTTTCATAGAGCAGGTTTGAAACGCTCTTTTTGTAGTATATGGAAGTGGATGTTTCGGACGGTTGGAGGCCCATGGTAATAAAGGGAATATCTTCCCCTACAAGCTAGAAAGAAGCATTCTGTGAAACTTGTTTGTGATGTGTGTACTCAACTAACAGAGTTGAACCTCTCTTTTTACAGAGCAGTTTTGAAACACTCTTTTTGTAGAATCTGCGAGGGGATATTTGATACATTTCAGCATTTCGTTGGAAACGGGAATATCTTCATATAAAATCTCGACAGAAGCATTCTCAGAAACTTCTTTGTAATATGTGCATTCAAGTCACAGAGTTGAATATTCCCTTTCACAGAGTAGGTTTGAAACACTCTTTTTGTAGTATCTGGAAGTGGACATTTGGAGCGCCTTGACACCTACGGTGAAAAGGGAAATATCTTCCCATAAAAACTAGACAGAAGCAATCTCAGAATCTTCTTTGGGATATATGCATGCAGCTAACAGAGTTGAACCTTTCTATTGACAGAGCAGTTTTGAAACAGTCTTTCTGTGGAATCTGCAAGTGGATATTTGGATAGCTTGGAGGATTTCCGTTGGAAACGGGATTACGTATAAAAAGTAGACAGCAGCATCCTCAGAAACTACTTTGTGATGTGTGCATTCAAGTCACAGAGTTGAACATTCCCTTTCGTACAGCAGTTTTGAAACACTCTTTCTGTAGTATCTGGAAGTGAACATTAGGACAGCTTTCAGGTCTATGGTGAGAAAGGCAATATCTTCAAATAAAAACTAGACAGAAGCATTCTCATAAACTTGTTTGCGAAGTGTGAACTCAGGTAACAGAGGTGGATCTTTCTTTTGATACAGCAGTTTTGAGAAACACTTTGTTGAATCTGCAAGTGGACATTTGGATAGATTTGAAGATTTCGTTGGAAACGGGAATATCTTCATATCAAATCTAGACAGAAGCATTCCCAGAAACGTCTTTGTGATGTTTGCATTCAACTCATAGATTTGAACATTCCGTTTCAGAGAGCAGCTTTGAAGCACTCTTTTTGTAGTATGTGCAAGGGGATATTTGGAGCGCTCTGAGGCCTACGGTGAAAAAGCAAATATCTTCCCATAACCACTAGACAGAAACATTCTCAGAAACTCCTTTATGACGGTATGCACTCACCTAACAGAGAAGAACCTTCCTTTTGACAGAGCAGTTTTGATACACTCTTTTTGTAGAATCTGCAAGTGGATATTGGGATAGCTGTGAAGATATCGTTGGAAACGGGAATATCTTCCTATAAAATCTAGACAGAAGCATTCTCAGAAACTGCTCTGTGATGTCTGTATTCAAGTCACAGAGTTGAACATTGCCTTTCATAGAGCAGGTTTGAAATGCTCTTTTTGTAGTATATGGAAGTGGACGTTTCAGACGGTTTGAGGCCCATGGTGATAAAGGGAATATCTTCCCCTACAAGCTAGAAAGAAGCATTCTGTGAAACTTCTTTGTGATGTGTGTACTCAACTAACAGAGTTGAACCTTTCTTTTTACAGAGCAGTTTTGAAACACTCTTTTTGTAGAATCTGCGAGGGGATATTTGGATAGATTTCAGGATTTCGTTGGAAAGGGGAATATCTTCATATAAAATCTCGACAGAAGCATTCTCAGCAAACTTCTTTGTGATATCTGCATTCAAGTCACAGGAGTTGAATATTCCCTTTCACAGAGTAGGTTTGAAACACTCTTTTTGTAGTATCTGGAAGTGGACATTTGGAGCGCCTTGACGCCTACAGTGAAAAGGGAAATATCTTCCCATAAAAACTAGACAGAAGCAATCTCAGAATCTTCTTTGGGATATATGCACGCAGCTAACGGAGTTGAACCTTTCTATTGACAGAGCAGTTTTGAAACAGTCTTTCTGTGGAATCTGCAAGTGGATATTTGGATAGCTTGGAGGATTTTGTTGGAAACGGGATTACGTATAAAAAGTAGACAGCAGCATCCTCAGAAACTTCTTTGTGATGTGTGCATTCAAGTCACAGAGTTGAACATTCCCTTTCGTAGAGCAGTTTTGAAACACTCTTTCTGTAGTATCTGGAAGTGAACATTAGGACAGCTTTCAGGTCTATGGTGAGAAAGGAAATATCTTCAAATAAAAACTAGACAGAAGCATTCTCATAAACTTGTTTTTGATGTGTGAACTCAGCTAACAGAGGTGGATATTTCTTTTGATAGAGCAGTTCTGAAAAACACTTTTTGTTGAATCTGCAAGTGGACATTTGGATAGATTTGAAGATTTCGTTGGAAACGGGAATATCTTCCTATCAAATCTAGACAGAAGCATTCTCAGAAACGTCTTTGTGATGTTTGAATTCAACTCATAGAGTTGAACATTCCGTTTCAGAGAGCAGCTTTGAGGCACTCTTTTTGTAGTATGTGCAAGTGGATATTTGGAGCGCTCTGAGGCCTACGGTGAAAAAGCAAATATCTTCCCATAACCACTAGACAGAAACATTCTCAGAAACTCCTTTATGACGTATGTACTCAACTAACAGAGAAGAACCTTCCTTTTGACAGAGCAGTTTTGATACACACTTTTTGTAGAATCTGCAAGTGGATATTTGGATAGCTGTGAAGATTTCGTTGGAAACGGGAATATCTTCCTATAAAACCTAGACAGAAGCATTCTCAGAAACTGCTCTGTGATGTCTGCATTCAAGTCACAGAGTTGAACATTGCCTTTCCTAGAGCAGGTTTGAAACGCTCTTTTTGTAGTATATGGAAGTGGACGTTTCGGACGGTTTGAGGCCCATGGTGATAAAGGGAATACCTTCCCCTACAAGCTAGAAAGAAGCATTCTGTGAAACTTGTTTGTGATGTGTGTACTCAACTAACAGAGTTGAACCGTTCTTTTTACAGAGCAGTTTTGAAACACTCTTTTTGTAGAATCTGCGAGGCGATATTTGGATAGATTTCAGGATTTCGTTGGAAACGGGAATATCTTCATATAAAATCTCGACAGAAGCATTCTCAGAATCTTCTTTGTGATATCTGCATTCAAGTCACAGAGTTGAATATTCCCTTTCACAGAGTAGGTTTGAAACACTCCTTTTGTAGTATCTGGAAGTGGACATTTGGAGCGCCTTGACACCTACGGTGAAAAGGGAAATATCTTCCCATAAAAACTAGACAGAAGCAATCTCAGAATCTTCTTTGGGATATATGTACGCAGCTAATAGAGTTGAACCTTTCTATTGACAGAGCAGTTTTGAAACAGTCTTTCTGTGGAATCTGCAGGTGGATATTTGGATAGCTTGGAGGATTTCGTTGGAAACGGGATTACGTATAAAAAGTAGACAGCAGCATCCTCAGAAACTTCTTTGTGATGTGTGCATTCAAGTCACAGAGTTGAACATTCCCTTTCGTACAGCAGTTTTGAAACACTCTTTCTGTAGTATCTGGAAGTGAATATTAGGACAGCTTTCAGCTCTATGGTGAGAAAGGAAATATCTTTAAATAAAAACTAGACAGAAGCATTCTCATAAACTTGTTTGTGATGTGTGAACTCAGCTAACAGAGGTGGATCTTTCCTTTTGATAGAGCAGTTCTGAAAAACACTTTTTGTTGAATCTGCAAGTGGACATTTGGATAGATTTGAAGATTTCGTTGGAAACGGGAATATCTTCATATCAAATCTAGACAGAAGCATTCTCAGAAACGTCTTTGTGATGTTTGCATTCAACTCAGAGTTGAACATTCCGTTTCAGAGAGCAGGTTTGAAGCACTCTTTTTGTAGTATGTGCAAGTGGATATTTGGAGGGCTCTGAGGCCTACGGTGAAAAAGCAAATATCTTCCCATAACCACTAGACAGAAACATTCTCAGAAATTCCTTTATGACGTATGCACTCACCTAAAAGAGAAGAACCTTCCTTTTGACAGAGCAGTTTTGATACACTCTTTTTGTAGAATCTGCAAGTGGATATTTGGATAGCTGTGAAGATTTCGTTGGAAACGGGAATATCTTCCTGTAAAATCTAGACAGAAGCATTCTCAGAAACTGCTCTGTGATGTCTGCATTCAAGTCACAGAGTTGAACATTGTCTTTCATAGAGCAGGTTTGAAGCGTTCTTTTTGTATTATATGGAAGTGGACGTTTCGGACGGTTTGAGGCCCATGGTGATAAAGGGAATATCTTCCCCTACAAGCTAGAAAGAAGCATTCTGTGAAACTTGTTTGTGATGTGTGTACTCAACTAACAGAGTTGAACCTTTCTTTTTACAGAGCACTTTTGAAACACTCTTTTTGTAGAATCTGCGAGGGGATATTTGGATAGATTTCAGGATTTCGTTGGAAACGTGAATATATTCATATAAAATCCCGACAGAAGCATTCTCAGAAACTTCTTTGTGATATGTGCATTCAAGTCACAGAGTTGAATATTCCCTTTCACAGAGTAGGTTTGAAACACTCTTTTTGTAGTATCTGGAAGTGGACATTTGGAGCGCCTTGACACCTACCGTGAAAAGGGAAATATCTTCTCATAAAAAGTAGACAGAAGCAATCTCAGAATCCTCTTTGAGATATATGGACGCAGCTAACAGAGTTGAACCTTTCTATTGACAGAGCAGTTTTGAAACAGTCTTTCTGTGGTATCTGCAAGTGGATATTTGGATAGCTTGGAGGATTTCTTTGGAAACGGGATTACGTATAAAAAGTAGACAGCAGCATCCTCAGAAACTTCTTTGTGATGTGTGCATTCAAGTCACAGAGTTGAACATTCCCTTTCGTACAGCAGTTTTGAAACACTCTTTCTGTAGTATCTGGAAGTGAACATTAGGACAGCTTTCAGCTCTATGGTGAGAAAGGAAATATCTACAAATAAAAACTAGACAGAAGCATTCTCATAAACTTTTTTGTGATGTGTGAACTCAGCTAACAGAGGTGGATCTTTCTTTTGATAGAGCAGTTCTGAAAAACACGTTTTGTTGAATCTGCAAGTGGACATTTGGATAGATTTGAAGATGTCATTGGAAACGGGAATATCTTCATATCAAATCTAGACAGAAGCATTCTCAGAAACGTCTTTGTCATGTTTGCATTCAACTCATAGAGTTGAACATTCCGTTTCAGAGAGCAGCTTTGAAGCACTCTTTTTGTAGTATGTGCAAGCGGATATTTGCAGCGCTCTGAGGCCTACGGTGAAAAAGCAAATATCTTCCCATAACCACTAGACAGAAACATTCTCAGAAACTCCTTTATGACGTATGTACTCAACTAACAGAGAAGAACCTTCCTTTTGACAGAGCAGTTTTGATACACTCTTTTTGTAGAATCTGCCAGTGGATATTTGGATAGCTGTGAAGATTTCGTTGGAAACGGGAATATCTTCCTATAAAATCTAGACAGAAGCATTCTCAGAAACTGCTATGTGATGTCTGCATTCAAGTCACAGAGTTGAACATTGCCTTTCCTAGAGCAGGTTTGAAACGCTCTTTTTGTAGTATATGGAAGTGGACGTTTCGGACGGTTTGAGGCCCATGGTGATAAAGGGAATATCTTCCCCTACAAGCTAGAAAGAAACATTCTGTGAAACTTGTTTGTGATGTGTGTACTCAACTAACAGAGTTGAACCTTTCTTTTTACAGAGCAGTTTTGAAACACTCTTTTTGTAGAATCTGCGAGGGGATATTTGGATAGATTTCAGGATTTCGTTGGAAACGGGAATATCTTCATATAAAATCTCGACAGAAGCATTCTCAGAAACTTCTTTGTGATATGTGCATTCAAGTCACAGAGTTGAATATTCCCTTTCACAGAGTAGGTTTGAAACACTCTTTTTGTAGTATTTGGAAGTGGACATTTGGAGCGCCTTGACGCCTACGGTGAAAAGGGAAATATCTTCCCATAAAAACTAGACAGAAGCAATCTCAGAATCTTCTTTGGGATATATGCACGCAGCTAACAGAGTTGAACCTTCCTATTGACAGAGCAGTTTTGACACAGTCTTTCTGTGGAATCTGCAAGTGGATATTTGGATAGCTTGGAGGATTTCGTTGGAAACGGGATTACGTATAAAAAGTAGACAGCAGCATCCTCAGAAACTTCTTTGTGATGTGTGCATTCAAGTCACAGAGTTGAACATTCCCTTTCGTACAGCAGTTTTGAAGCACTCTTTCTGTAGTATCTGGAAGTGAACATTAGGACAGCTTTCAGGTCTATGGTGAGAAAGGAAATATCTTCAAATAAAAACTAGACAGAAGCATTCTCATAAACTTGTTTGTGATGTGTGAACTCAGCTAACAGAGGTGGATCTTTCTTTTGATACAGCAGTTTTGAAAAACACTTTTCGTTGAATCTGCAAGTGGACATTTGGATAGATTTGAAGATTTCATTGGAAACGGGAATATCTTCATATCAAATCTAGACAGAAGCATTCTCAGAAACGTCTTTGTGATGTTTGCATTCAACTCATAGAGTTGAACATTCCGTTTCAGAGAGCAGCTTTGAAGCACTCTTTTTGTAGTATGTGCAAGTGGATATTTGGAGCGCTCTGAGGCCTACGGGGAAAAAGCAAATATCTTCCCATAACCACTACACAGAAACATTCTCAGAAACTCCTTTATGACGTATGCACTCATCTAACAGAGAAGAACCTTCCTTTTGACAGAGCAGTTTTGATACACTCTTTTTGTAGAATCTGCAAGTGGATATTTGGATAGCTGTGAAGATTTCGTTGGAAACGGGAATATCCTCCTATAATATCTAGACAGAAGCATTCTCAGAAACTACTCTGTGATGTCTGCATTCAAGTCACAGAGTTGAACATTGCCTTTCCTAGAGCAGGTTTGAAACGCTCTTTTTGTAGTATATGGAAGTGGACGTTTCGGACGCTTTGAGGCCCATGGTGATAAAGGGAATATCTTTCCCTACAAGCTAGAAAGAAGCATTCTGTGAAACTTGTTTGTGGTGTGTGTACTCATCTTACAGAGTTGAACCTTTCTTTTTACAGAGCAGTTTTGAAACACTCTTTTTGTAGAATCTGCGAGGGGTTATTTGGATAGATTTCAGGATTTCGTTGGAAACGGGAATATCTTCCTATAAAATCTCGACAGAAGCATTTTCAGAAACTTCTTTGTGATATCTGCATTCAAGTCACAGAGTTCAATATTCCCTTCCATAGAGAAGGTTTGAAACACTCTTTTTGTAGTATCTGGAAGTGGACATTTGGAGCGCCTTGACACCTACGGTGAAAAGGGAAATATCTTCCCATAAAAACTAGACAGAAGCAATCTCAGAATCTTCTTTGGGATATATGCATGCAGCTAACAGAGTTGAACCTTTCTATTGACAGAGCAGTTTTGAAACAGTCTTTCTGTGGAATCTGCAAGTGGATATTTGGATAGCTTGGAGGATTTCGTTGGAAATGGGATTACGTATAAAAAGTAGACAGCAGTATCCTCAGAAACTTCTTTGTGATGTGTGCATTCAAGTCACAGAGTTGAACATTCCCTTTCGTACAGCAGTTTTGAAACACTCTTTCTGTAGTATCTGGAAGTGAACATTAGGACAGCTTTCAGGTCTATGGTGAGAAAGGAAATATCTTCAAATAAAAACTAGACAGAAGCATTCTCATAAACTTGTTTGTGATGTGTGAACTCAGCTAACAGAGGTGGATCTTTCTTTTGATAGAGCAGTTCTGAAAAACACTTTTTGTTGAATCTGCAAGTGGACATTTGGATAGATTTGAAGATTTCGTTGGAAACGGGAATATCTTCATATCAAACCTAGACAGAAGCATTCTCAGAAACGTCTTTGTGATGTTTGCATTCAACTCATAGAGTTGAACATTCCCTTCCAGAGAGTAGCTTTGAAGCACTCTTTTTGTAGCATGTGCAAGTGGACATTTGGAGTGCCCTGAGGCCTACGGGGAAAAAGCAAATATCTTCCCATAACCACTAGACAGAAACATTCTCAGAAACTCCTTTATGACGTATGCACTCACCTAACAGAAAAGAACCTTCCTTTTGACAGAGCAGTTTTGATACACTCTTTTTATAGAATCTGCAAGTGGATATTTGGATAGCTGTGAAGATTTCGTTGGAAACGGGAATATCTTCCTATAAAATCTAGACAGAAGCATTCTCAGAAACTGCTCTGTGATGTCTGCATTCAAGTCACAGAGTTGAACGTTGTCTTTCATAGAGCAGGTTTGAAACGCTCTTTTTGTAGTATATGGAAGTGGACTTATCGGACGGTTTGAGGCCCATGGTGATAAAGGGAATATCTTCCCCTACAAGCTAGAAAGAAGCATTCTGTGAAACTTGTTTGTGATGTGTGTACTCAACTAACAGAGTTGAACCTTTCTTTTTAAAGAGCAGTTTTGAAACACTCTTTTTGTAGAATCTGCGAGGGGATATTTGGATAGATTTCAGGATTTCGTTGGAAACGGGAATATCTTCATATAAAATCTCGACAGAAGCATTCTCAGAAACTTCTTTGTGATATCTACATTCAAGTCACAGAGTTGAATATTCCCTTTCACAGAGTAGGTTTGAAACACTCTTTTTGTAGTATCTGGAATTGGACATTTGGAGCACCTTGACACCTACGGTGAAAAGGGAAATATCTTCCCATAAAAACTAGACAGAAGCAATCTCAGAATCTTCTTTGGGATATATGCACACAGCTAACAGAGTTGAACTTTTCTATTGACATAGCAGTTTTGAAACAGTCTTTCTGTGGAACCTGCAAGTGGATATTTGGATAGCTTGGAGGATTTCGTTGGAAACGGGATTACGTATAAAAAGTAGACAGCAGCATCCTCAGAAACTTCTTTGTGATGTGTGCATTCAAGTCACAGAGTTGAACATTCCCTTTCATACAGCAGTTTTGAAACACTCTTTCTGTAGTATCTGAAAGTGAATATTAGGACAGCTTTCAGGTCTATATTGAGAAAGGAAATATCTTCAAATAAAAACTAGACAGAAGCATTCTCATAAACTTGTTTGTGATGTGTGAACTCAGCTAACAGAGGCGGATCTTTCTTTTGATAGAGCAGTTCGGAAAAACACATTTTGTTGAATCTGCAAGTGGACATTTGGATAGATTTGAAGATTTCGTTGGAAACGGGAATATCTTCATATCAAATCTAGACAGAAGCATTCTCAGAAACGTCTTTGTGATGTTTGCATTCAACTCATAGAGTTGAACATTCCGTTTCAGAGAGCAGCTTTGAAGCACTCTTTTTGTAGTATGTGCAAGTGGATATTTGGAGCGTTCTGAGGCCTACGGGGAAGAAGCAAATATCTTCCCATAACCACTAGACAAAAGCATTCTCAGAAAATCCTTTATGACGTATGCACTCACCTAACAGAAAAGAACCTTCCTTTTGACAGAGCAGTTTTGATACACTCTTTTTGTAGAATCTGCAAGTGGATATTTGGATAGCTGTGAAGATTTCGTTGGAAACGGGAATATCTTCCTATAAAATCTATACAGAAGCATTCTCAGAAACTGCTCTGTGATGTCTGCATTCAAGTCACAGAGTTGAACATTGCCTTTCATAGAGCAGGTTTGAAACGCTCTTTTTGGAGTATATGGAAGTGGATGTTTCGGACGGTTGGAGGCCCATGGTGATAAAGGGAATATCTTCCCCTACAAGCTAGAAAGAAACATTCTCAGAAACTTCTTTATGACGTATGTACTCAACTAGCAGAGAAGAACTTTCCTTTTGACAGAGCATTTTTGATACACTCTTTTTGTACTATCTGCAAGTGGATATTTGTATAGCTGTGAAGATTTCGTTGGAAACGGGAATATCTTCCTATAAAATCTAGACAGAAGCATTCTCAGAAACTTCTTTGTGATATGTGCATTCAAGTCACAGAGTTGAATATTCCCTTTCACAGAGTAGGTTTGAAACACTCTTTTTGTAGTATCTGGAAGTGGACATTTGGAGCGCCTTGACGTCTACGGTGAAAAGGGAAATATCTTCCCATAAAAACTAGACAGAAGCAATCTCAGAATCTTCTTTGGGATACATGCACGCAGCTAACAGAGTTGAACCTTTCTATTGACAGAGCAGTTTTGAAACAGTCTTTCTGTGGAATCTGCAAGTGGATATTTGGATAGCTTGGAGGATTTCGTTGGAAACGGGATTACGTATAAAAAGTAGACAGCAGCATCCTCAGAATCTTCTTTGTGATGTGTGCATTCAAGTCACAGAGTTGAACATTCCCTTTCGTACAGCAGTTTTGAAACACTCTTTCTGTAGTATCTGGAAGTGAACATTAGGACAGCTTTCAGGTCTATGGTGAGAAAGGAAATATCTTCAAATATAAACTAGACAGAAGCATTCTCATAAACTTGTTTGTGATGTGTGAACTCAGCTAACAGAGGTGGATCTTTCTTTTGATAGAGCAGTTCTGAAAAACATTTTTTGTTGAATCTGCAAGTGGACATTTGGATAGATTTGAAGATTTCGTTGGAAACGGGAATATCTTCATATCAAATCTAGACAGAAGCATTCTCAGAAACGTCTTTGTGATGTTTGCATTCAACTCATAGAGTTGAACATTCCCTTTCAGAGAGCAGCTTTGAAGCACTCTTTTTGTAGTATGTGCAAGTGGACATTTGGAGCGCTTTGAGGCCTACGGGGAAAAAGCAAATATCTCCCATAACCACTAGACAGAAACATTCTCAGAAACTCCTTTATGACGTATGCACTCACCTAACACAGAAGAACCTTCCTTTTGACAGAGCAGTTTTGATACACTCTTTTTGTAGAATCTGCAAGTGGATATTTGGATAGCTGTGAAGATTTCGTTGGAAACGGGAATATCTTCCTATAAAATCTAGACAGAAGAATTCTCAGAAACTGCTCTGTGATGTCTGCATTCAAGTCACAGAGTTGAACATTGCCTTTCATAGAGCAGGTTTGAAACCCTCTTTTTGTAGTATATGGAAGTGGACGTTTCGGGCGGTTTGAGGCCCATGGTGATAAAGGGAATATCTTCCCCTACAAGCTAGAAAGAAGCATTCTGTGAAACTTGTTTGTGATGTGTGTACTCAACTAACAGAGTTGAACCTTCCTTTTTACAGAGCAGTTTTGAAACACTCTTTTTGTAGAATCTGCGAGGGGATATTTGGATAGATTTCAGCATTTCGTTGGAAACGGGAATATCTTCATATAAAATCTCGACAGAAGCATTCTCAGAAACTTCATTGTGATATCTGCATTCAAGTCACAGAGTTGAATATTCCCTTTCAGAGAGTAGGTTTGAAACACTCTTTTTGTAATATCTGGAAGTGGACATTTGGAGCGCCTTGACACCTACGGTGAAAAGGGAAATATCTTCCCATAAAAACTAGACAGAAGCAATCTCAGAATCTTCTTTGGGATATATGCACACAGCTAACAGAGTTGAACTTTTCTATTGACATAGCAGTTTTGAAACAGTCTTTCTGTGGAATCTGCAAGTGGATATTTGGATAGCTTGGAGGATTTCGTTGGAAACAGGATTACGTATAAAAAGTAGACAGCAGCATTCTCAGAAACTTCTTTGTGATGTGTGCATTCAAGTCAAAGAGTTGAACATTCCCTTTCGTACAGCAGGTTTGAAACACTCTTTCTCTAGTACCTGGAAGTGAACGGGACGAGAGCTTTCAGGTCTATTGTGAGAAAGGAAATATCTTCAAATAAAAACTAGACAGAAGCATTCTCATAAACTTGTTTTGATGTGTGAACTCAACTAACAGAGGTGGATCTTTCTTTTTATACAGCCCTTTTGAAAAACACTTTTTGTTGAATCTGCAAGTGGACACTTGAATAGATTTGAAGATTTCATTGGAAACGGAAATATCTTCATATCAAATCTAGACAGAAGCATTCTCAGAAAACGTCTTTGTGATGTTTGCATTCAACTCACAGAGTTGAACATTCCCTTTCAGAGCGCAGCTTTGAAGCACTCTTTTTGTAGTATGTGCAAGGGGATATTTGGAGCGCTCTGAGGCCTACGGTGAAAAAGCAAATATCTTCCCATAACCACTAGACAGAAACATTCTCAGAAACTCCTTTATGACGTATGTACTCAACTAACAGAGAAGAACCCTCCTTTTGACAGAGCAGTTTTGATACACTCTTTTTGTAGAATCTGCAAGTGGATATTTGGATAGCTGTGAAGATTTCGTTGGAAACGGGAATATCTTCCTATAAAATCTAGACAGAAGCATTCTCAGAAACTGCTCTGTGATGTCTGCATTCAAGTCACAGAGTTGAACATTGCCTTTGATAGAGCAGGTTTGAAACGCTCTTTTTGTAGTATATGGAAGTGGACGTTTCGGACGGTTTGAGGCCCATGATGATAAAGGGAATATCTTCCCCTACAAGCTAGAAAGAAGCATTCTGTGAAACTTGTTTGTGAGGTGTGTACTCAACTAACAGAGTTGAACCTTTCTTTTTACAGAGCAGTTTTGAAACACTCTTTTTGTAGAATCTGCGAGGGGATATTTGGATAGATTTCAGGATGTCGTTGGAAACGGGAATATCTTCATATAAAATCTCGACAGAAGCATTCTCAGAAACTTCTTTGTGATATCTGCCTTCAAGTCACAGGAGTTGAATATTCCCTTTCACAGAGTAGGTTTGAAACACTCTTTTTGTAGTATCTGGAAGTGGACATTTGGAGCGCCTTGACGCCTACGGTGAAAAGGGAAATATCTTCCCATAAAAACTAGACAGAAGGAATCTCAGAATCTTCTTTGGGATATATGCACGCAGCTAACAGAGTTGAACCTTTCTATTGACAGAGCAGTTTAGAAACAGTCTTTCTGTGGAATCTGCAAGTGGATATTTGGATAGCTTGGAGGATTTCGTTGGAAACGGGATTACGTATAAAAAGTAGACAGCAGCATCCTCAGAAACTTCTTTGTGATGTGTGCATTAAAGTCACAGAGTTGAACATTCCCTTTCGTACAGCAGTTTTGAAACACTCTTTCTGTAGTATCTGGAAGTGAACATTAGGACAGATTTCAGCTCTATGGTGAGAAAGGAAATATCTTCAAATAAAAACTACACAGAAGCATTCTCATAAAGTTGTTTGTGATGTGTGAACTCAGCTAACAGATGTGGATCTTTCTTTTGATAGAGCAGTTCTGAAAAACACTTTTTGTTGAATCTGCAAGTGGACATTTGGATAGATTTGAAGATTTCGTTGGAAACGGGAATATCTTCATATCAAATCTAGACAGAAGCATTCTCAGAAACGTCTTTGTGATGTTTGCATTCAACTCATAGAGTTGAACATTCCCTTTCAGAGAGCAGCTTTGAAGCACTCTTTTTGTAGTATGTGCAAGGGGATATTTGGAGCACTCTGAGGCCTAAGGTGAAAAAGCAAATATCTTCCCATAACCACTAGACAGAAACATTCTCAGAAACTCCTTTATGACGTATGCACTCACCTAACAGAGAAGAACCTTCCTTTTGACAGAGCAGTTTTGATACACTCTTTTTGTAGAATCTGCAAGTGGATATTTGGATAGCTGTGAAGATTTCGTTGGAAACGGGAATATCTTCCTATACAATCTAGACAGAAGCATTCTCAGAAACTGCTCTGTGATGTCTGCATTCAAGTCACAGAGTTGAACATTGCCTTTCCTAGAACAGGTTTGAAACGCTCTTTTTGTAGTATATGGAAGTGGACGTTTCGGACGGTTTGAGGCCCATGGTGATAAAGGGAATATCTTCCCCTACAAGCTAGAAAGAAGCATTCTGTGAAACTTGTTTGTGATATGTGCACTCAACTAACAGAGTTGAACCTTTCTTTTTACAGAGCAGTTTTGAAACACTCTTTTTGTAGAATCTGCGAGGGGATATTTGGATAGATTTCAGGATTTCGTTGGAAACGGGAATATCTTCATATAAAATCTCGACAGAAGCATTCTCAGAAAACTTCCTTGTGATATGTGCATTCAAGTCACAGAGTTGAATATTCCCTTTCACAGAGTAGGTTTGAAACACTCTTTTTGTAGTATCTGGAAGTGGACATTTGGAGCGCCTTGACGCCCACGGTGAAAAGGGAAATATCTTCCCATAAAAACTAGACAGAAGCAATCTCAGAATCTTCTTTGGGATATATGCACGCAGCTAACAGAATTGAACCTTTCTATTGACAGAGCAGTTTTGAAACAGTCTTTCTGTGGAATCTGCAAGTGGATATTTGGATAGCTTGGAGGATTTCGTTGGAAACGGGATTAAGTATAAAAAGTAGACAGCAGCATCCTCAGAAACTTCTTTGTGATGTGTGCATTCAAGTCACAGAAGTTGAACATTCCCTTTCGTACAGCAGTTTTGAAACACTCTTTCTGTAGTAACTGGAAGTGAACATTAGGACAGCTTTCAGGTCTATGGTGAGAAAGGAAATATCTTCAAATAAAAACTAGACAGAAGCATTCTCATAAACTTGTTTGTGATGTGTGAACTCAGCTAACAGAGGTGGATCTTTCTTTTGATAGAGCAGTTCTGAAAAACACTTTTTGTTGAATCTGCAAGTGGACATTTGGATAGATTTGAAGATTTCGTTGGAAACGGGAATATCTTCATATCAAATCTAGAGAGAAGCATTCTCAGAAACGTCTTTGTGATGTTTGCATTCAACTCATACAGTTGAACATTCCGTTTCAGAGAGCAGCTTTGAAGCACTCTTTTTGTAGTATGTGCAAGGGGATATTTGGAGCGCTGTGAGGCCTAAGGTGAAAAAGCAAATATCTTCCCCTAACCACTAGACAGAAACATTCTCAGAAACTCCTGTATGACGTATGCACTCACCTAACAGAGAAGAACCTTCCTTTTGACAGAGCAGTTTTGATACACTCTTTTTGTAGAATCTGCAAGTGGATATTTGGATAGCTGTGAAGCTTTCGTTGGAAACGGGAATATCTTCCTATAAAATCTAGACAGAAGCATTCTCAGAAACTGCTCTGTGATGTCTCCATTCAAGTCACAGAGTTGAACATTGCCTTTCATAGAGCAGGTTGGAAACGCTCTTTTTGTAGTATATGGAAGTGGATGTTTCGGACGGTTTGAGGCCCATGGTGATAAAGGGAATATCTTCCCCTACAAGCTAGAAAGAAGCATTCTGTGAAACTTGTTTGTGATGTGTGTACTCAACTAACAGAGATGAACCTTTCTTTTTACAGAGCAGTTTTGAAACACTCTTTTTGTAGAATCTGCGAGGGGATATTTGGATACATTTCAGCATTTCGTTGGAAACGGGAATATCTTCATATAAAATCTCGACAGAAGCATTCTCATAAACTTCTTTGTGATATCTGCATTCAAGTCACAGAGTTGAATATTCCCTTTCACAGAGTAGGTTTGAAACACTCTTTTTGTAGTATCTGGAAGTGGACATTTGGAGCGCCTTGACGCCTACGGTGAAAAGGGAAATATCTTCCCATAAAAACTAGACAGAAGCAATCTCAGAATCTTCTTTGGGATATATGCACGCAGCTAACAGAGTTGAACCTTTCTATTGACAGAGCAGTTTTGAAACAGTCTTTCTGTGGAATCTGCAAGTGGATATTTGGATAGCTTGGAGGATTTCGTTGGAAACGGCATTACGTATAAAAAGTAGACAGCAGCATCCTCAGAAACTTCTTTGTGATGTGTGCATTCAAGTCACACAGTTGAACATTCCCTTTCGTACAGCAGTTTTGAAACACTCTTTCTGTAGTATCTGGAAGTGAACATTAGGACAGCTTTCAGGTCTATGGTGAGAAAGGAAATATCTTCAAATAAAAACTAGACAGAAGCATTCTCATAAACTTGTTTGTGATGTGTGAACTGAGCTAACAGACGTGGATCTTTCTTTTGATACAGCAGTTTTGAAAAACACTTTTTGTTGAATCTGCAAGTAGACATTTGGATAGATTTGAAGATTTCGTTGGAAACGGGAATATCTTCATATCAAATCTAGACAGAAGCATTCTCGGAAACGTCTTTGTGATGTTTGCATTCAACTCATAGAGTTGAACATTCACTTTCAGAGAGCAGCTTTGAAGCACTCTTTTTGTAGTATGTGCAAGTGGATATTTGGATCGCTCTGAGGCCTAAGGTGAAAAAGCAAATATCTTCCCATAACCACTAGACAGAAACATTCTCAGAAACTCCTTTCTGACGTATGCACTCACCCAACAGAGAAGAACCTTCCTTTTGACAGAGCAGTTTTGATACACTCTTTTTGTAGAATCTGCAAGTGGATATTTGGATAGCTGTGAAGATTTCGTTGGAAACGGGAATATCTTCCTATAAAATCTAGACAGAAGCATTCTCAGAAACTGCTCTGTGATGTCTGCATTCAAGTCACAGAGTTGAACATTGCCTTTCATAGAGCAGGTTTGAAACGCTCTTTTTGTAGTATATGGAAGTGGATGTTTCGGACGGTTGGAGGCCCATGGTGATAAAGGGAATATATTCCCCTACAAGCTAGAAAGAAGCATTCTGTGAAACTTGTTTGTGATGTGTGTACTCAACTAACAGAGTTGAACCTTTCTTTTTACAGAGCAGTTTTGAAACACTCTTTTTGTAGAATCTGCGAGGAGATATTTGGAAAGATTTCAGGATTTTGTTGGAAACGGGAATATCTTCATATAAAATCGCGACAGAAGCATTCTCAGAAACTTCTTTGTGATATGTGCATTCAATCACAGAGTTGAATATTCCCTTTCACAGAGTAGGTTTGAAACACTCTTTTTGTAGTATCTGGAAGTGGACATTTGGAGCGCCTTGACACCTACGGTGAAAAGGGAAATATCTTCCCATAAAAACTAGACAGAAGCAATCTCAGAATCTTCTTTGGGATATATGCACGCAGCTAACAGAGTTGAACCTTTCTATTGACTGAGCAGATTTGAAACAGTCTTTCTGTGGAATCTGCAAGTGGATATTTGGATAGATTGGAGGATTTCGTTGGAAACGGGATTACGTATAAAAAGTAGACAGCAGCATCCTCAGAAACTTCTTTGTGATGTGTGCATTCAAGTCACAGAGTTGAACATTACCTTTCGTACAGCAGTTTTGAAACACTCTTTCTGTAGTATCTGGAAGTGAACATTAGGACAGCTTTCAGGTCTATGGTGAGAAAGGAAATATCTTCAAATAAAAACTAGACAGAAGCATTCTCATAAACTTGTTCGTGATGTGTGAACTCAGCTAAGAGCCGTGGATCTTTCTTTTGATAGAGCAGTTTTGAAAAACACTTTTTGTTGAATCTGCAAGTGGACATTTGGATAGATTTGAAGATTTCTTTGGAAACGGGAATATCTTCATATCAAATCTAGACAGAAGCATTCTCAGAAACGTCTTTGTGATGTTTGCATTCAACTCATAGAGTTGAACATTCCCTTTCAGAGAGCAGCTTTGAAGCACTCTTTTTGTAGTATGTGCAAGGGGATATATGGAGCCGCTCTGAGGCCTAAGGTGAAAAAGCAAATATCTTCCCATAACCACTAGACAGAAAACATTCTCAGAAACTCCTTTATGACGTATGTACTCAACTAACAGAGAAGAACCTTCCTTTTGACAGAGCACTTTTGATACACTCTTTTTGTAGAATCTGCAAGTGCATATTTGGATAGCTGTGAAGATTTCGTTGGAAACGGGAATATCTTCCTATAAAGTCTAGACAGAAGCATTCTCAGAAACTGCTCTGTGATGTCTGCATTCAAGTCAAAGAGTTGAACATTGCCTTTCATAGAGCAGGTTTGAAACGCTCTTTTTGTAGTATATGGAAGTGGACGTTTCGGACGGTTTGAGGCCCATGGTGATAAAGGGAATATCTTCCCCTACAAGCTAGAAAGAAGCATTCTGTGAAACTTGTTTGTGATGTGTGTACTGAAGTAACAGAGTTGAACCTTTCTTTTTACAGAGCAGTTTTGAAACACTCTTTTTGTAGAATCTGCGAGGGGATATTTGGATAGATTTCAGGATTTCGTTGGAAACGGGAATATCTTCATAGAAAATTCTCGACAGAAAGCATTCTCAGAAACTTCTTTGTGATATGTGCATTCAAGTCACAGAGTTGAATATTCCCTTTCACAGAGTAGGTTTGAAACACTCTTTTTGTAGTATCTGGAAGTGGACATTTGGAGCGCCTTGACACCTACGGTGAAAAGGGAAATAACTTCTCATAAAAAGTAGACAGAAGCAATCTCAGAATCTTCTTTGGGATATATGCACGCAGCTCACAGAGTTGAACCTTTCTATTGACAGAGCAGTTTAGAAACAGTCCTTCTGTGGAATCTGCAAGTGGATATTTGGATAGCTTGGAGGATCTCTTTGGAAACGGGATTACGTATAAAAAGTAGACAGCAGCATCCTCAGAAACTTCTTTGTGATGTGTGCATTCAAGTCACAGAGTTGAACATTCCCTTTCGTACAGCAGTTTTGAAACACTCTTTCTGTAGTATCTGGAAGTGAACAATAGGACAGCTTTCAGGTCTATGGTGAGAAAGGAAATATCTTCAAATAAAAACTAGACAGAAGCATTCTCATAAACTTGTTTGTGATGTGTGAACTCAGCTAACGGACGTGGATCTTTCTTTTGATACAGCAGTTTTGAAAAACACTTTTTGTTGAATCTGCAAGTGGACATTTGGATAGATATGAAGATTCCGTTGGAAACGGGAATATCTTCATATCAAATCTAGACAGAAGCATTCCCAGAAACGTCTTTGTGATGTTTGCATTCAACTCATAGAGTTGAACATTCCCTTTCAGAGAGCAGCTTTGAAGCACTCTTTTTGTAGTATGTGCAAGGGGATATTTGGAGCGCTCTGAGGCCTAAGGTGAAAAAGCAAATATCTTCCCATAACCACTAGACAGAAACATTCTCAGAAACTCCTTTATGACGTATGCACTCACCTAACAGAAAAGAACCTTCCTTTTGACAGAGCAGTTTTGATACACTCTTTTTGTAGAATCTGCAAGTGGATATTTGGATAGCTGTGAAGATTTCGTTGGAAACGGGAATATCTTCCTATAAAATATAGACAGAAGCATTCTCAGAAATTGCTCTGTGATGTCTGCATTCAAGTCACAGAGTTGAACATTGCCTTTCCTAGAGCAGGTTTGAAACGCTCTTTTTGTAGTATATGGAAGTGGACGTTTCGGACGGTTTGAGGCCCATGGTGATAAAGGGAATATCTTCCCCTACAAGCTAGAAAGAAGCATTCTGTGAAACTTGTTTGTGATGTGTGTACTCAACTAACAGAGTTGAACCTTTCTTTTTACAGAGCAGTTTTGAAACACTCTTTTTGTAGAATCTGAGAGGGGATATTTGGATAGATTTCAGGATTTCGTTGGAAATGGGAATATCTTCATATAAAATCTCGACAGAAGCATTCTCAGAAAGCTTCTTTGTGATATGTGCATTCAAGTCACAGAGTTGAATATTCCCTTTCACAGAGTAGGTTTGAAACACTCTTTTTGTAGTATCTGGAAGTGGACATTTGGAGCGCCTTGACGCCTACGGTGAAAAGGGAAATATCTTCTCATAAAAAGTAGACAGAAGCAATCTCAGAATCTTCTTTGGGATATATGCACGCAGCTAACAGAGTTGAACCTTTCTATTGACAGAGCAGTTTTGAAACAGTCTTTCTGTGGAATCTGCAAGTGGATATTTGTATAGATTGGAGGATTTCGTTGGAAACGGGATTACGTATAAAAAGTAGACAGCAGCATCCTCCGAAACTTCTTTGTGATGTGTGCATTCAAGTCACAGAGTTGAACATTCCCTTTGGTACAGCAGTTTTGAAACACTCTTTCTGTAGTATCTGGAAGTGAACATTAGGACAGCTTTCAGCTCTATGGTGAGAAAGGAAATATCTTCAAATAAAAACTAGACAGAAGCATTTTCATAAACTTGTTTGTGATGTGTGAACTCAGCTAAGAGAGGTGGATCTTTCTTTTGATAGAGCAGTTCTGAAAAACACTTTTTGTTGAATCTGCAAGTGGACATTTGGATAGATTTGAAGATTTCGTTGGAAACGGGAATATCTTCATATCAAATCTAGACAGAAGCATTCTCAGAAACGTCTTTGTGATGTTTGCATTCAACTCATAGAGTTGAACATTCCGTTTCAGAGAGCAGCTTTGAAGTACTCTTTTTGTAGTATGTGCAAGTGGATATTTGGAGCGCTCTGAGGCCTACGGGGAAAAAGCAAATATCTTCCCATAACCACTACACTGAAACATTCTCAGAAACTCCTTTATGACGTGTGCACTCACCTAACGGAGAAGAACCTTCCTTTTGACAGAGCAGTTTTGATACACTCTTTTTGTAGAATCTGCAAGTGGATATTTGGATAGCTGTGAAGATTTCGTTGGAAACGGGAATATCTTCCTATAAAATCTAGACAGAAGCATTCTCAGAAACTGCTCTGTGATGTCTGCATTCAAGTCACAGAGTTGAACATTGCCTTTCATAGAGCAGGTTTGAAATGCTTTTTTGTAGTATATGGAAGAGAATGTTTCGGACGGTTGGAGGCCCATGGTGATAAAGGGAATATCTTCCCCTACAAGCTAGAAAGAAGCATTCTGTGAAAGTTGTTTTTGATGTGTGTACTCAACTAACAGAGTTGAACCTTTCTTTTTACAGAGCAGTTTTGAAACACTCTTTTTGTAGAATCTGCGAGAGGATATTTGGATAGATTTCAGGATTTCGTTGGAAACGGGAATATCTTCATATAAAATCTCGACAGAAAGCATTCTCAGAAACTTCTTTGTGATATCTGCCTTCAAGTCACAGTAGTTGAATATTCCCTTTCACAGAGTAGGTTTGAAACACTCTTTTTGTAGTATCTGGAAGTGGACATTTGGAGCGCCTTGACGCCTACGGTGAAAAGGGAAATATCTTCCCATAAAAACTAGACAGAAGCAATCTCAGCATCTTCTTTGGGATATATGCACGCAGCTAACAGAGTTGAACCTTTCTATTGACAGAGCAGTTTTGAAACAGTCTTTCTGTGGAATCTGCAAGTGGATATTTGGATAGCTTGGAGGATTTCGTTGGAAACGGGATTACGTATAAAAAGTAGACAGCAGCATCCTCAGAAACTTCTTTGTGATGTGTGCATTCAAGTCACAGAGTTGAACATTCCCTTTCGTACAGCAGTTTTGAAACACTCTTTCTGTAGTACATGGAAGTGAACATTAGGACAGCTTTCAGGTCTATGGTGAGAAAGGAAATATCTTCAAATAAAAACTAGACAGAAGCATTCTCATAAACCTCTTTGTGATGTGTGAACTCAGCTAACAGAGGTGGATCTTTCTTTTGATAGAGCAGTTCTGAAAAACACTTTTTGTTGAATCTGCCAGTGGACATTTGGATAGATTTGAAGATTTCGTTGGAAACGGGAATATCTTCATATCAAATCTAGACAGAAGCATTCCCAGAAACGTCTTTGTGATGTTTGCATTCAACTCATAGAGTTGAACATTCCGTTTCAGAGAGCAGCTTTGAAGCACTCTTTTTGTAGTATGTGCAAAAGGATATTTGGAGCACTCTGAGGCCTAAGGTGAAAAAGCAAATATCTTCCCATAACCACTAGACAGAAACATTCTCAGAAACTCCTTTATGACGTATGCACTCACCTAACAGAGAAGAACCTTCCTTTTGCCAGAGCAGTTTGGATACACTCTTTTTGTAGAATCTGCAAGTGGATATTTGGATAGCTGTGAAGATTTCGTTGGAAACGGGAATATCATCCTATAAAATCTAGACAGAAGCATTCTCAGAAACAGCTCTGTGATGTCTGCATTCAAGTCACAGAGTTGAACATTGCCTTTCATAGAGCAGGTTTGAACCGCTCTTTTTGTAGTATATGGAAGTGGACGTTTCGGACGGTTTGAGACCCATGGTGATAAAGGGAATATATTCCCCTACAAGCTAGAAAGAAGCATTCTGTGAAACTTGTTGTGATGTGTGTACTCAACTAACAGAGTTGAACCTTTCTTTTTACAGAGCAGTTTTGAAACACTCTTTTTGTAGAATCTGCGAGGGGATATTTGGATAGATTTCAGGATTTCGTTGGAAACGGGAATATCTTCATATAAAATACTCGACAGAAGCATTCTCAGAAACTTCCTTGTGATATGTGCATTCAAGTCACAGAGTTGAATATTCCCTTTCACAGAGTAGGTTTGAAACACTCTTTTTGTAGTATCTGGAAGTGGACATTTGGAGCGCCTTGATGCCCACGGTGAAAAGGGAAATATCTTCCCATAAAAACTAGACAGAAGCAATCTCAGAATCTTCTTTGGGATATATGCACGCAGCTAACAGAGTTAAACCTTTCTATTGACAGAGCAGTTTTGAAACAGTCTTTCTGTGGAATCTGCAAGTGGATATTTGGATAGCTTGGAGGATTTCGTTGGAAACGGGATTACGTATAAAAAGTAGACAGCAGCATCCTCAGGAAACTTCTTTGTGATGTGTTCATTCAAGTCACAGAGTTGAACATTCCCTTTCGTACAGCAGTTTTGAAACACTCTTTCTGTAGTATCTGGAAGTGAACATTAGGACAGCTTTCAGGTCTATGGTGAGAAAGGCAATATCTTCAAATAAAAACTAGACAGAAACATTTTCATAAACTTGTTTGTGATGTGTGAACTCAGCTAACAGAGGTGGATCTTTCTTTTGATAGAGCAGTTCTGAAAAACACTTTTTGTTGAATCTGCAAGTGGACATTTGGATAGATTTGAAGATTTCGTTGGAAACGGGAATATCTTCATATCAAATCTAGACAGAAGCATTCTCAGAAACGTCTTTGTGATGTTTGCATTCAACTCATAGAGTTGAACATTCCGTTTCAAAGAGCAGCTTTGAGGCACTCTTTTTGTAGTATGTGCAAGTGGATATTTGGAGCGCTCTGAGGCCTACGGTGAAAAAGCAAATATCTTCCCATAACCACTAGACAGAAAACATTCTCAGAAACTCCTTTATGACGTATGCACTCACCTAACAGAGAAGAACCTTCCTTTTGACAGAGCAGTTTTGATACACTCTTTTTGTAGAATCTGCAAGTGGATATTTGGATAGCTGTGAAGATTTCGTTGGAAACGGGAATATCTTCCTATAAAATCTAGACAGAAGCATTCTCAGAAACTGCCTCTGTGATGTCTGCATTCAAGTCACAGAGTTGAACATTGCCTTTCATAGAGCAGGTTTGAAACGCTCTTTTTGTAGTATATGGAAGTGGACTTTTCGGACGGTTTGAGGCCCATGGTGATAAAGGGAATATCTTCCCCTACAAGCTAGAAAGAAGCATTCTGTGAAACTTGTTTGTGATGTGTGTACTCAACTAACAGAGTTGAACCTTTCTTTTCACAGAGCAGTTTTGAAACACTCTTTTTGTATAATCTGCGAGGGGAAATTTGGATAGATTTCAGGATTTCGTTGGAAACGGGAATATCTTCATACAAAATCTCGACAGAAGCATTCTCAGAAACTTCCTTGTGATATGTGCATTCAAGTCACAGAGTTGAATATTCCCTTTCACAGAGTAGGTTTGAAACACTCTTTTTGTAGTATCTGGAAGTAGACATTTGGAGCGCCTTGACACCTACGGTGAAAAGGGAAATATCTTCCCATAAAAACTAGACAGAAGCAATCTCAGAATCTTCTTTGGGATATATGCACGCAGCTAACAGAGTTGAACCTTTCTATTGACAGAGCAGTTTTGAAACAGTCTTTCTGTGGAATCTGCAAGTGGATATTGGGATAGCTTGGAGGATTTCGTTGGAAACGGGATTACGCATAAAAAGTAGACAGCAGCATCCTCAGAAACTTCTTTGTGATGTGTGCATTCAAGTCACAGAGTTGAACATTCCCTTTCGTACAGCAGTTTTGAAACACTCTTTCTGTAGTATCTGGAAGTGAACATTAGGACAGCTTTCAGGTCTATGGTGAGAAAGAAAATATCTTCAAATAAAAACTAGACAGAAGCATTCTCATAAACTTGTTTGTGATGTGTGAACTCAGCTAACAGAGGTGGATCTTTCTTTTGATAGAGCAGTTCTGAAAAACACTTTTTGTTGAATCTGCAAGTGGACATTTGGATAAATTTGAAGATTTCGTTGGAAACGGGAATATCTTCATATCAAATCTAGACAGAAGCATTCTCAGAAACGTCTTTGCGATGTTTGCATTCAACTCATAGAGTTGAACATTCCCTTTCAGAGAGCAGCTTTGAGGCACTCTTTTTGTAGTATGTGCAAGTGGATATTTGGAGCGCTCTGTGGCCTACGGTGAAAAAGCAAATGTCTTCCCATAACCACTAGACAGAAACATTCTCAGAAACTCCTTTATGACGTATGCACTCACCTAACAGAGAAGAACCTTCCTTTTGACAGAGCAGTTTTGATACACTCTTTTTGTAGAATCTGCAAGTGGATATTTTGATACCTGTGAAGATTTCGTTGGAAACGGGAATATCTTCGTATAAAATCTAGACAGAAGCATTCTCAGAAACTGCTCTGTGATGTCTGCATTCAAGTCACAGAGTTGAACATTGCCTTTCATAGAGCAGGTTTGAAACGCTCTTTTTGTAGTATATGGAAGTGGACTTTTCGGACGGTTTGAGGCCCATGGTGATAAAGGGAATATCTTCCCCTACAAGCTAGAAAGAAAGCATTCTGTGAAACTTGTTTGTGATGTGTGTACTCAACTAACAGAGTTGAACCTTTCTTTTTACAGAGCAGTTTTGAAACACTCTTTTTGTAGAATCTGCGAGGGGATATTTGGATACATTTCAGCATTTCGTTGGAAACGGGAATATCTTCATATAAAATCTCGACAGGAAGCATTCTCAGAAACTTCCTTGTGATATGTGCATTCAAGTCACAGAGTTGAATATTCCCTTTCACAGAGTAGGTTTGAAACACTCTTTTTGTAGTATCTGGAAGTGGACATTTGGAGCGCCTTGACGCCTACGGTGAAAAGGGAAATATCTTCCCATAAAAACAAGACAGAAGCAATCTCAGAATTTTCTTTGAGATATATGCACACAGCTAACAGAGTTGAACCTTTCTATTGACAGAGCAGTTTTGAAACAGTCTTTCTGTGGAATCTGCAAGTGGATATTTGGATAGCATGGAGGATTTCGTTGGAAACGGGATTACGTATAAAAAGTAGACAGCAGCATCCTCAGAAACTTCTTTGTGATGTGTGCATTCAAGTCACAGAGTTGAACATTCCCTTTCATACAGCAGTTTTGAAACACTCTTTCTGTAGTATCTGGAAGTGAACATTAGGAGAGCTTTCAGGTCTATGGTGAGAAAGGAAATATCTTCAAATAAAAACTAGACAGAAGCATTCTCATAAACTTGTTTGTGATGTGTGAACTCAGCTAACAGAGGTGGATCTTTCTTTTGATAGAGCAGTTCTGAAAAACTCTTTTGTTGAATCTGCAAGTGGACATTTGGATAGATTTGAAGATTTCGTTGGAAACGGGAATATCTTCATATCAAATCTAGACAGAAGCATTCTCAGAAACGTCTTTGTGATGGTTGCATTCAACTCATAGAGTTGAACATTCCGTTTCAGAGAGCAGCTTTGAATCACTCTTTTTGTAGTATGTTCAAGTGGATATTTGGAGCGCTCTGAGGCCTACGGTGAAAAAGCAAATATCTTCCCATAACCACTAGACAGAAACATTCTCAGAAACTCCTTTATGACGTATGTACTCAACTAACAGAGAAGAACATTCTTTTTCACAGAGCAGTTTTGATACACTCTTTTTGTAGAATCTGCAAGTGCATATTTGGATAGCTGTGAAGATTTCGTTGGAAACGGGAATATCTTCCTATAAAATCTAGACAGAAGCATTCTCAGAAACTGCTCTGTGATGTGTGCATTCAAGTCACAGAGTTGAACATTGCCTTTCATAGAGCAGGTTTGAAATGCTCTTTTTGTAGTATATGGAAGTGGACGTTTCAGACGGTTTGAGGCCCATGGTGATAAAGGGAATATCTTCCCCTACAAGCTAGAAAGAAGCATTCTGTGAAACTTGTTTTTGATGTGTGTACTCAACTAACAGAGTTGAACCTTTCTTTTTACAGAGCAGTTTTGAAACACTCTTTTTGTAGAATCTGCGAGGGGATATTTGGAGAGATTTCAGGATTTCGTTGGAAACGGGAATATCTTCATATAAAATCTCGACAGAAGCATTCTCAGAAACTTCTTTGTGATATCTGCATTCAAGTCACAGAGTTGAATATTCCCTTTCACAGAGTAGGTTTGAAACACTCTTTTTGCAGTATCTGGAAGTGGACATTTGGAGCGCCTTGACGCCTACGGTGAAAAGGGAAATATCTTCCCATAAAAACTAGATAGAAGTAATCTCAGAATCTTCTTTGGGATATATGCACGCAGCTAACAGAGTTGAACCTTTCTATTGACAGAGCAGTTTTGAAACAGTCTTTCTGTGGAATCTGCAATTGGATATTTGGATAGCTTGGAGGATTTCGTTGGAAACGGGATTACGTATAAAAAGTAGACAGCAGCATCCTCAGAAACTTCTTTGTGATGTGTGCATTCAAGTCACAGAGTTGAACATTCCCTTTCGTACAGCAGTTTTGAAACACTCTTTCTGTAGTATCTGGAAGTGAACATTAGGACAGCTTTCAGGTCTATGGTGAGAAAGGAAATACCTTCAAATAAAAACTAGACAGAAGCATTCTCATAAATTTGTTTGTGATGTGTGAACTCAGCTAACAGAGGTGGATCTTTCGATAGAGCAGTTCTGAAAAACACTTTTTGTTGAATCTGCAAGTGGACATTTGGATAGATTTGAAGATTTCGTTGGAAACGGGAATATCTTCATATCAAATCTAGACAGAAGCATTCTCAGAAACGTCTTTGTGATGTTTGCATTCAACTCATAGAGTTGAACATTCCCTTCCAGTGAGTAGCTTTGAAGCACTCTTTTTGTAGCATGTGCAAGTGGACATTTGGAGCGCCCTGAGGCCTACGGGGAAAAAGCAAATATCTTCCCATAACCACTAGACAGAAACATTCTCAGAAACTCCTTTATGACGTATGCACTCACCTAACAGAGAAGAACCTTCCTTTTGACAGAGCAGTTTTGATACACTCTTTTTGTAGAATCTGCAGGTGGATATTTGGATACCTGTGAAGATTTCGTTGGAAACGGGAATATCTTCCTATAAAATCTAGACAGAAGCATTCTCAGAAACTGCTCTGTGATGTCTGCATTCAAGTCACAGAGCTGAACATTGCCTTTCATAGAGCAGGTTTGAAACGCTCTTTTTGTAGTATATGGAAGTAGACGTTTCGGACAGTTTGAGGCCCATGGTGATAAAGGAATATCTTCCCCTACAAGCTAGAAAGAAGCATTCTGTGAAACTTGTTTGTGAGGTGTGTACTCAACTAACAGAGTTGAACCTTTCTTTTTACAGAGCAGTTTTGAAACACTCTTTTTGTAGAATCTGCGAGGGGATATTTGGATAGATTTCAGGATTTCGTTGGAAACGGGAATATCTTCATATAAAATCTCGACAGAAGCATTCTCAGAAACTTCTTTGTGATATGTGCATTCAAGTCACAGAGTTGAATATTCCCTTTCACAGAATAGGTTTGAAACACTCTTTTTGTAGTATCTGGAAGTGGACATTTGGAGCGCCTTGACGCCTACGGTGAAAAGGGAAATATCTTCCCATAAAAACTAGACAGAAGCAATCTCAGAATCTTCTTTGGGATATATGGACGCAGCTAACAGAGTTGAACCTTTCTATTGACAGAGCAGTTTTGAAACAGTCTTTCTGTGGAATCTGCAAGTGGATATTTGGATAACTTGGAGGATTTCGTTGGAAACGGGATTACGTATAAAAAGTAGACAGCAGCATCCTCAGAAACTTCTTTGTGATGTGTGCATTCAAGTCACAGAGTTGAACATTCCCTTTCGTACAGCAGTTTTGAAACACTCTTTCTGTAGTATCTGGAAGTGAACATTAGGACACCTTTCAGGTCTATGGTGAGAAAGGAAATATCTTCAAATAAAAACTAGACAGAAGCATTCTCATAAACTTGTTTGTGATGTGTGAACTCAGCTAACAGAGGCGGATCTTTCTTTTGTTACAGCAGTTTTGAAAAACACTTTTTGTTGAATCTGCAAGTGGACATTTGGATAGATTTGAAGATTTCGTTGGAAACGGGAATATCTTCATATCAAATCTAGACAGAAGCATTCTCAGAAACGTCTTTGCGATGTTTGCATTCAACTCATAGAGTTGAACATTCCCTTTGAGAGAGCAGCTTTTAAGCACTCTTTTTGTAGCATGTGCAAGAGAAAATTTGGAGCGCCCTGAGGCCTACGGTGAAAAAGCAAATATCTTCCCATAACCACTAGACAGAAACATTCTCAGAAACTCCTGTATGACGTATGTACTCAACTAACAGAGAAGAACCTTCCTTTTGACAGAGCAGTTTTGATACACTCTTTTTGTAGAATCTGCAAGTGGATATTTGGATAGCTGTGAAGATTTCGTTGGAAACGGGAATATCTTCCTATAAAATCTCGACAGAGGCATTCTCAGAAACTGCTCTGTGATGTCTGTATTCAAGTCACAGAGTTGAACATTGCCTTTCATAGAGCAGGTTTGAAACGCTCTTTTTGTAGTATATGGAAGTGGATGTTTCGGACGGTTGGAGGCCCATGGTGATAAAGGGAATATCTTCCCCTACAAGCTAGAAAGAAGCATTCTGTGAAACTTGTTTGTGATGTGTGTACTCAAGTAACAGAGTAGAACCTTTCTTTTTACAGAGCAGTTTTGAAACTCTCTTTCTGTAGAATCTGCGAGGGGATATTTGGATAGATTTCAGGATTTCGTTGGAAACGGGAATATCTTCATATAAAATCTCGACAGAAGCATTCTCAGAAACTTCTTTGTGATATGTGCATTCAAGTCACAGAGTTGAATATTCCCTTTCACAGAGTAGGTTTGAAACACTCTTGTTGTAGTATCTGGAAGTGGACATTTGGAGCGCCTTGACGCCTACGGTGAAAAGGGAAATATCTTCCCATAAAAACTAGACAGAAGCAATCTCAGAATCTTCTTTGGGATATATTCACGCAGCTAAAAGAGTTGAACCTTTCTATTGACAGAGCAGTTTTGAAACAGTCTTTCTGTGGAATCTGCAAGTGGATATTTGGATAGCTTGGAGGATTTCGTTGGAAACGGGATTACGTATAAAAAGTAGACAGCAGCATCCTCAGAAACTTCTTTGTGATGTGTGCATTCAAGTCACAGAGTTGAACATTCCCTTTCGTACAGCAGTTTTGAAACACTCTTTCTGTAGTATCTGGACGTGAACATTAGGACAGCTTTCAGGTCTATGGTGAGAAAGGAAATATCTTCAAATAAAAACTAGACAGAAGCATTCTCATAAACTTGTTTGTGATGTGTCAACTCAGCTAAGAGAGGTGGATCTTTCTTTTGATAGAGCAGTTCTGAAAAACACTTTTTGTTGAATCTGCAAGTGGACATTTCGATAGATTTGAAGATTTCGTTGGAAACGGGAATATCTTCATATCAAATCTAGACAGAAGCATTCTCAGAAACGTCTTTGTGATGTTTGCATTCAACTCATACAGTTGAACATTCCCTTTCAGAGAGCAGCTTTGAAGCACTCTTTTTGTAGTATGTGCAAGTGGACAATTGGAGCGCTTTGAGGCCTACGGGGAAAAAGCAAATATCTTCTCATAACCACTAGACAGGAACATTCTCAGAAACTCCTTTATGACGTATGCACTCACCTAACAGAAAAGAACCTTCCTTTTGACAGAGCAGTTTTGATACACTCTTTTTGTGGAATCTGCAAGTGGATATTTGGATAGCTGTGAAGATTTCGTTGGAAACGGGAATATATTCCTATAAAATCTAGACAGAAGCATTCTCAGAAACTGCTCTGTGATGTCTGCATTCAAGTCACAGAGCTGAACATTGCCTTTCATAGAGCAGGTTTGAAACGCTCTTTTTGTAGTATATGGAAGTGGACGTTTCGGACAGTTTGAGGCCCATGGTGATAAAGGGAATATCTTCCCCTACAAGCTAGAAAGAAGCATTCTCAGGAACTTCTTTGTGATGTGTGTACTCAACTAATGGAGTTGAACCTTTCTTTTACAGAACAGTTTTGAAAAACTCTTTTTGTAGAACCTGCAAGTGGATATTTGGATAGATTTAAAGATTTCGTCGGAAACGGGGATGTCTTAATATAAAATCTAGACCGAAGCATTCTCAGAAACTTCTTTGTGATATCTGCATTCAAGTCACAGAGTTGAATATTCCCTTTCACAGAGTAGGTTTGAAACACTCTTTTTGTAGTATCTGGAAGTGGACATTTGGAGCGCCTTGACGCCTACGGTGAAAAGGGAAATATCTTCCCATAAAAACTTGACAGAAGCAATCTCAGAATCTTCTTTGGGATATATGCACGCAGCTAACAGAGTTGAACCTTTCTATTGACAGAGCAGTTTTGAAACAGTCTTTCTGTGGAATCTGCAAGTGGATATTTGGATAGCTTGGAGGATTTCTTTGGAAACGGGACTACGTGTAAAAAGTAGACAGCAGCATCCTCAGAAACATCCTTGTGATGTGTGCATTCAAGTCACAGAGTTGAACATTCCCTTTCGTACAGCAGTTTTGAAACACTCTTTCTGTAGTATCTGGAAGTGAACATTAGGACAGCTTTCAGGTCTATAGTGAGAAAGGATATATCTTCAAATAAAAACTAGACAGAAGCATTCTGATAAACTTGTTTGTGAAGTGTGAACTCAGCTAACAGAGGTGGATCTTTCCTTTGATAGAGCAGTTCTGAAAAACACTTTTTGTTGAATCTGCAAGTGGACATTTGGATAGATTTGAAGATTTCGTTGGAAACGGGAATATCTTCATATCAAATCTAGACAGAAGCATTCTCAGAAACGTCTTTGCGATGTTTGCATTCAACTCATAGAGTTGAACATTCCGTTTCAGAGTGCAGCTTTGAGGCACTCTTTTTGTAGTATGTGCAAGTGGATATTTGGAGCGCTCTGAGGCCTTCGGTGAAAAAGCAAATATCTTCCCATAACCACTAGATGGAAACATTCTCAGAAACTCCTTTATGACGTATGCACTCACCTAACAGAGAAGAACCTTCCTTTTGACAGAGCAGTTTTGATACACTCTTTTTGTAGAATCTGCGAGGGGATATTTGGATAGATTTCAGGATTTCGTTGGAAACGGGAATATCTTCATATAAAATCTCGACAGAAGCATTGCTCAGAAACTGCTCTTTGATGTTTGCATTCAAGTCACAGAGTTGAACATTGCCTTTCATAGAGCAGGTTTCAAGCACTCTTTTTTTAGTATATGGAAGTGGACGTTTCGGACGGTTTGAGGCCCATGGTGATAAAGGAAATATCTTCCCCTACAAGCTAGAAAGAAGCATTCTGTGAAACTTGTTTGTGATGTGTGTACTCAACTAACAGAGTTGAACCTTTCTTTTTACAGAGCAGTTTTGAAACACTCTTTTTGTAGAATCTGCGAGGGGATATTTGGATAGATTTCAGGATTCCGTTGGAAACGGGAATATCTTCATATAAAATCTCGACAGAAGCATTCTCAGAAACTTCTTTTGTGATATCTGCATTCAAGTCACAGAGTTGAATATTCCCTTTCACAGAGTAGGTTTGAAACACTCTTTTTGTAGTATCTGGAAGTGGACATTTGGAGCGCCTTGACACCTACGGTGAAAAGGGAAATATCTTCCCATAAAAACTAGACAGAAGCAATCTCAGAATCTTCTTTGGGATATATGCACGCAGCTAACAGAGTTGAACCTTTCTATTGACAGAGCAGTTTTGAAACAGTCTTTCTGTGGAATCTGTCAAGTGGATATTTGGATAGCTTGGAGGATTTCGTTGGAAACGGGATTACTTATAAAAAGTAGACAGCAGCATCCTCAGAAACTTCTTTGTGATGTGTGCATTCAAGTCACAGAGTTGAACATTCCCTTTCGTACAGCAGTTTTGAAACACTCTTTCTGTAGTATCTGGAAGTGAACATTAGGACAGCTTTCAGGTCTATGGTGAGAAAGGAAATATCTTCAAATAAAAACTAGACAAAAGCATTCTCATAAACTTGTTTGTGATGTGTGAACTCAGCTAACAGAGGTGGATCTTTCTTTTGGTAGACCAGTTCTGAAAAACACTTTTTGTTGAATCTGCAAGTGGACATTTGGATAGATTTGAAGATTTCGTTGGAAACGGGAATATCTTCATATCAAATCTAGACAGAAGCATTCTCAGAAACGTCTTTGTGATATTTGCATTCAACTCATAGAGTTGAACATTCCCTTTCAGAGAGCAGCTTTGAAGCACTCTTTTTGTAGTATGTGCAAGTGGAGATTTGGAGCGCTTTGAGGCCTACGGTGAAAAAGCAAATATCTTCCCATAACCACTAGACAGAAACATTCTCAGAAACTCCTTTATGACGTGTGCACTCACCTAACAGAGAAGAACCTTCCTTTTGACAGAGCAGTTTTGATACACTCTTTTTGTAGAATCTGCAAGTGGATATTTGGATAGCTGTGAAGATTTCGTTGGAAACGGGAATATCTTCCTATAAAATCTAGACAGAAGCATTCTCAGAAACTGCTCTGTGATGTCTGCATTCAAGTCACAGAGTTGAACATTGCCTTTCATAGAGCAGGTTTGAAACGCTCTTTTTGTACTATATGGAAGAGGACGTTTCGAACGGTTTGAGGACCATGGTGATAAAGGGTATATCTTCCCCTACAAGCTAGAAAGAAGCATTCTGTGAAACTTGTTTGTGATGTGTGTACTCAACTAACAGAGTTGAACCTTTCTTTTTACAGAGCAGTTTTGAAACACTCTTTTTGTAGAATCTGCGAGGGGATATTTGGATAGATTTCAAGATTTCGTTGGAAACGGGAATATCTTCATATAAAATCTCGACAGAAGCATTCTCAGAAACTTCTTTGTGATATGTGCATTCAAGTCACAGAGTTGAATATTCCCTTTTACAGAGTAGGTTTGAAACACTCTTTTTGTAGTATCTGGAAGTGAACATTTGGAGCGCCTTGACGCCTACGGTGAAAAGGGAAATATCTTCTCATAAAAAGTAGACAGAAGCAATCTCAGAATCTTCTTTGGGATATATGCACGCAGCTAACAGAGTTGAACCTTTCTATTGACAGAGCAGTTTTGAAACAGTCTTTCTGTGGAATCTGCAAGTGGATATCTGGATAGCTTGGAGGATTTCTTTGGAAACGGGATTACGTATAAAAAGTAGACAGCAGCATCCTCAGAAACTTCTTTGTGATGTGTGCATTCAAGTCACAGAGTTGAACATTCCCTTTCGTACAGCAGTTTTGAAACACTCTTTCTGTAGTATCTGGAAGTGAACATTAGGACAGCTTTCAGGTCTATGGTGAGAAAGGAAACATCTTCAAATAAAAACTAGACAGAAGCATTCTCATAAACTTGTTTGTGATGTGTGAACTCAGCTAACAGAGTTGGATCTTTCTTTTGATAGAGCAGTTCTTAAAAACACGTTTTGTTGAATCTGCAAGTGGACATTTGGATAGATTTGAAGATTTCGTTGGAAACGGGAATATCTTCATGTAAAATCTAGACAGAAGCATTCTCAGAAACGTCTTTGTGATGTTTGCATTCAACTCATAGAGTTGAACATTCCGTTTCAGAGAGCAGCTTTGAGGCACTCTTTTTGTAGTATGTGCAAGGGGATATTTGGAGCGCTGTGAGGCCTACGGTGAAAAAGCAAATATCTTCCCATAACCACTAGACAGAAACATTCTCAGAAACTCCTTTATGACGTATGCACTCACCTAACAGAAAAGAACCTTCCTTTTGACAGAGCAGTTTTGATACACTCTTTTTGTAGAATCTGCAAGTGGATATTTGGATAGCTGTGAAGATTTCGTTGGAAACGGGAATATCTTCCTATAAAATCTAGACAGGAAGCATTCTCAGAAACTGCTCTGTGATGTCTGCATTCAAGTCACAGAGTTGAACATTGCCTTTCCTAGAGCAGGTTTGAAACACTCTTTTTGTAGTATATGAAAGTGGACGTTTCGGACGGTTTGAGGACCATGGTGATAAAGGGAATATCTTCCCCTACAAGCTAGAAAGAAGCATTCTGTGAAACTTGTTTGTGATGTGTGTACTCAACTAACAGAGTTAAACCTTTCTTTTTACAGAACAGTTTTGAAACACTCTTTTTGTAGAATCTGCGAGGGGATATTTGGATAGATTTCAGGATTTCGTTGGAAACGGGAATATCTTCATATAAAATCTCGACAGAAACATTCTCAGAAACTTCTTTGTGATATCTGCATTCAAGTCACAGAGTTGAATATTCCCTTTCACAGAGTAGGTTTGAAACACTCCTTTTGTAGTATCTGGAAGTGGACATTTGGAGCACCTTGACGCCTACGGTGAAAAGGGAAATATCTTCCCATAAAAACTAGACAGAAGCAATCTCAGAATCTTCTTTGGGATATATGCACGCAGCTAACAGAGTTGAACCTTTCTATTGACAGAGCAGTTTTGAAACAGTCTTTCTGTGGAATCTGCAAGTGGATATTTTGATAGCTTGGAGGATTTCGTTGGAAACGGGATTACGTATAAAAAGTAGACAGCAGCATCCTCAGAAACTTCTTTGTGATATGTGCATTCAAGTAACAGAGTTGTTTCGTACAGCATTTTTGAAACACTCTTTCTGTAGTATCTGGGAGTGAACATTAGGACAGCTTTCAGGTCTATGGTGAGAAAGGAAATATCTTCAAATAAAAACTAGACAGAAGCATTCTCATAAACTTGTTTGTAATGTGTGAACTCAGCTAACACACGTGGATCTTTCTTTTGATAGAGCAGTTCTGAAAAACACTTTTTGTTTAATCTGCAAGTGGACATTTGGATAGATTTGAAGATTTCGTTGGAAACGGGAATATCTTCATATCAAATCTAGACAGAAGCATTCTCAGAGACGTCTTTGTGATGTTTGCATTCAACTCATAGAGTTGAACATTCCCTTTCAGAGAGCAGCTTTGAAGCACTCTTTTTGTAGTATGTGCAAGTGGATATTTTGAGCGCTCTGAGGCCTACGGTGAAAAAGCAAATATCTTCCCATAACCACTAGACAGAAACATTCTCAGAAACTCCTTTATGACGTATGTACTCAACTAGCAGAGAAGAACTTTCCTTTTGACAGAGCATTTTTGATACACTCTTTTTGTACTATCTGCAAGTGGATATTTGGATAGCTGTGAAGATTTCGTTGGAAACGGGAATATCTTCCTATAAATTCTGGACAGAAGCATTCTCAGAAACTGCTCTGTGATGTCTGCATTCAAGTCACAGAGTTGAACATTGCCTTTCATAGAGCAGGTTTGAAACACTCTTTTTTTAGTATATGGAAGTGGACGTTTCGGACGGTTTGAGGCCCATGGTGATAAAGGGAATATCTTCCCCTACAAGCTAGAAAGAAGCATTCTGTGAAACTTGTTTGTGATGTGTGTACTCAACTAACAGAGTTGAACCTTTCTTTTTACAGAGCAGTTTTGAAACACTCTTTTTGTAGAATCTGCGAGGGGATATTTGGATAGATTTCAGGATTTCGTTGGAAACGGGAGTATCTTCATATAAAATCTCGACAGAAGCATTCTGAGAAACTTCTTTGTGATATCTGCCTTCAAGTCACAGAGTTGAATATTCCCTTTCACAGAGTAGGTTTGAAACACTCTTTTTGTAGTATCTGGAAGTGGACATTTGGAGCGCCTTGACGCCTACGGTGAAAAGGGAAATATCTTCCCATAAAAACTAGACAGAAGGAATCTCAGAATCAGCTTTGGGATATATGCACGCAGCTAACAGAGTTGAACCTTTCTATTGACAGAGCAGTTTTGAAACAGTCTTTCTGTGGAATCTGCAAGTGGATATTTGGATAGCTTGGAGGATTTCGTTGGAAACGGGATTACGTATAAATAGTAGACAGCCAGCATCCTCAGAAACTTCTTTGTGATGTGTGCATTCAAGTCACAGAGTTGAACATTCCCTTTCGTACAGCAGTTTTGAAACACTCTTTCTGTAGTATCTGGAAGTGAACATTAGGACAGCTTTCAGCTCTATGGTGAGAAAGGAAATATCTTCAAATAAAAACTAGACAGAAGCATTCTCATAAACTTGTTTGTGATGTGTGAACTCAGGCTAACAGAGGTGGATCTTTCTTTTGATAGAGCAGTTCTGAAAAACACTTTTTGTTGAATCTGCAAGTGGACATTTGGATAGATTTGAAGATTTCGTTGGAAACGGGAATATCTTCATATCAAATCTAGACAGAAGCATTCTCAGAAACGTCTTTGTGATGTTAGCATTCAACTCATAGAGTTGAACATTCCCTTTCAGAGAGCAGCTTTGAAGCACTCTTTTTGTAGTATGTGCAAGTGGATATTTGGAGCGCTCTGAGGCCTATGGTGAAAAAGCAAATATCTTCCCATAACCACTAGACAGAAACATTCTCAGAAACTCCTTCATGACGTATGCACTCACCTAACAGAGAAGAACCTTCCTTTTGACAGAGCACTTTTGATACACTCTTTTTGTAGAATCTGCAAGTGGATATTTGGATAGCTGTGAAGATTTCGTTGGAAACGGGAATATCTTCCTATAAAATCTATACAGAAGCATTCTCTGAAACTGCTCTGTGATGTCTGCATTCAAGTCACAGAGTTGAACGTTGCCTTTCATAGAGCAGGTTTCAAACACTCTTTTTTTAGTATATGGAAGTGGACGTTTCGGACGGTTTGAGGACCATGGTGATAAAGGAAATATCTTCCCCTACAAGCTAGAAAGAAGCATTCTGTGAAACTTGTTTATGATGTGTGTACTCAACTAACAGAGTTGAACCTTTCTTTTCACAGAGCAGTTTTGAAACACTCTTTTTGTAGAATCTGCGAGGGGAAATTTGGATAGATTTCAGGATTTCGTTGGAATCGGGAATATCTTCATACAAAATCTCGACAGAAGCATTCTCAGAAACTTCTTTGTGATATGTGCATTCAAGTCACAGAGTTGAATATTCCCTTTCACAGAGTAGGTTTGAAACACTCTTTTTGTAGTATCTGGAAGTGGACATTTGGAGCGCCTTGACACCTACGGTGAAAATGGAAATATCTTCCCATAAAAACTAGACAGAAGCAATCTCAGAATCCTCTTTGAGATATATGGACGCAGCTAACAGTGTTGAACCTTTCTATTGACAGAGCAGTTTTGAAACAGTCTTTCTGTGGTATCTGCAAGTGGATATTTGGATAGCTTGGAGGATTTCTTTGGAAACGGGATTACGTATAAAAAGTAGACAGCAGCATCCTCAGAAACATCCCTTGTGATGTGTGCATTCAAGTCACAGAGTTGAACATTCCCTTTCGTACAGCAGTTTTGAAACACTCTTTCTGTAGTATCTGGAAGTGAACTTTAGGACAGCTTTCAGGTCTATAGTGAGAAAGGATATATCTTCAAATAAAAACTAGACAGAAAGCATTCTCATAAACTTGTTTGTGATGTCTGAACTCAGCTAACAGAGGTGGATCTTTCTTTTGATAGAGCAGTTCTGAAAAACACTTTTTGTTGAATCTGCAAGTGGACATTTGGATAGATTTGAAGATTTCGTTGGAAACGGGAATATCTTCATATCAAATCTAGACAGAGCATTCTCGGAAACGTCTTTGTGATGTTTGCATTCAACTCATAGAGTTGAACATTCCGTTTCAGAGAGCAGCTTTGAGGCACTCTTTTTGTAGTATGTGCAAGTGGATATTTGGAGCGCTCTGAGGCCTTCGGTGAAAAAGCAAATATCTTCCCATAACCACTAGACAGAAACATTCTCAGAAACTCCTTTATGACGTATGCACTCACCTAACAGAGAAGAACCTTCCTTTTGACAGAGCAGTTTTGAGATACTCTTTTTGTAGAATCTGCAAGTGGATATTGGGATAGCTGTGAAGCTTTCGTTGGAAACGGGAATATCTTCCTATAAAATCTAGACAGAAGCATTCTCAGAAACTGCTCTGTGATGTCTGCATTCAAGTCACAGAGTTGAACATTGCCTTTCATAGAGCAGGTTTGAAACGCTCTTTTTGTAGTATATGGAAGTGGAAGTTTCGGACGGTTTGAGGCCCATGGTGATAAAGGGAATATCTTCCCCTACAAGCTAGAAAGAAGCATTCTGTGAAACTTGTTTGTGATGTGTGTACTCAACTAACAGAGTTGAACCTTTCTTTTTACAGAGCAGTTTTGAAACACTCTTTTTGTAGAATCTGCGAGGGGATATTTGGATAGATTTCAGGATTTCATTGGAAACGAGAATATCTTCATATAAAATCTCGACAGAAGCATTCTCAGAAGCTTCTTTGTGATATGTGCATTCAAGTCACAGAGTTGAATATTCCCTTTCACAGAGTAGGTTTGAAACAATCTTTTTGTAGTATCTGGAAGTGGACATTTAGAGCGCCTTGACGCCTACGGTGAAAAGGGAAATATCTTCTCATAAAAAGTAGACAGAAGCAATCTCAGAATCTTCTTTGGGATATATGCACGCAGCTAACAGATTTGAACCTTTCTATTGACAGAGCAGTTTTGAAACAGTCTTTCTGTGGAATCTGCAAGTGGATATTTGGATAGCTTGGAGGATTTCGTTGGAAACGGGATTACGCATAAAAAGTAGACAGCAGCATCCTCCGAAACTTCTTTGTGATGTGTGCATTCAAGTCACAGAGTTGAACATTCCCTTTCGTACAGCAGTTTTCAAACACTCTTTCTGTAGTATCTGGAAGTGAACATTAGGACAGCTTTCAGCTCTATGGTGAGAAAGGAAATATCTTCAAATAAAAACTAGACAGAAGCATTCTCATAAACTTCTTTGTGATGTGTGAACTCAGCTAACAGAGGTGGATCTTTCTTTTGATAGAGCAGTTCTGAAAAACACTTTTTGTTGAATCTGCAAGTGGACATTTGGATAGATTTGAAGATTTCGTTGGAAACGGGAATATCTTCATATCAAATCTAGACAGAAGCATTCTCAGAAAAGTCTTTGTGATGTTTGCATTCAACTCACAGAGTTGAACATTCCCTTTCAGAGAGCAGCTTTGAAGCACTCTTTTTGTAGTATGTGCAAGGGGATATTTGGAGCGCTCTGAGGCCTACGGTGAAAAAGCAAATATCTTCCCATAACCACTAGACAGAAAACATTATCAGAAACTCCTTTATGACGTATGCACTCACCTAACAGAAAAGAACCTTCCTTTTGACAGAGCAGTTTTGATACACTCTTTTTGTAGAATCTGCAAGAGGATATTTGGATAGCTGTGAAGATTTCGTTGGAAACGGGAATATCTTCCTATAAAATCTAGACAGAAGCATTCTCAGAAACTGCTCTGTGATGTCTGCATTCAAGTCACAGAGTTGAACATTGTCTTTCATAGAGCAGGTTTGAAGCGTTCTTTTTGTAGTATATGGAAGTGGACGTTTCGGACGGTTTGAGGCCCATGGTGATAAAGGGAATATCTTCCCCTACAAGCTAGAAAGAAGCATTCTGTGAAACTTGTTTGTGATGTGTGTACTCAACTAACAGAGTTGAACCTTTCTTTTTACAGAGCAGTTTTGAAACACTCTTTTTGTAGAATCTGCGAGGGGATATTTGGATGGATTTCAGGATTTCGTTGGAACGGGAATATCTTCATATAAAATCTCGACAGAAGCATTCTCAGAAACTTCTTTGTGATATGTGCATTCAAGTCACAGAGTTGAATATTCCCTTTCAGAGAGTAGGTTTGAAACACTCTTTTTGTAGTATCTGGAAGTGGACATTTGGAGCGCCTTGACACCTACGGTGAAAAGGGAAATATCTTCCCATAAAAACTAGACAGAAGCAATCTCAGAATCTTCTTTGGGATATATGCACGCAGCTAACAGAGTTGAACCTTTCTATTGACGGAGCAGTTTTGAAACAGTCTTTCTGTGGAATCTGCAAGTGGATATTTGGATAGCTTGGAGGATTTCGTTGGAAACGGGATTACGTATAAAAAGTAGACAGCAGCATCCTCAGAAACTTCTTTGTGATGTGTGCATTCAAGTCACAGAGTTGAACATTCCCTTTCGTACAGCAGTTTTGAAACACTCTTTCTGTAGTATCTGGAAGTGAACATTAGGACAGCTTTCGGGTCTATGGTGAGAAAGGAAATATCTTCAAATAAAAACTAGACAGAAAGCATTCTCATAAACTTGTTTGTGATGTGTGAACTCAGCTAACAGCAGGTGGATCTTTCTTTTGATACAGCAGTTCTGAAAAACACTTTTTGTTGAATCTGCAAGTGGACATTAGGATAGATTTGAAGATTTCGTTGGAAACGGGAATATCTTCATATCAAATCTAGACAGAAGCATTCCCAGAAACGTCTTTGTGATGTTTGCATTCAACTCATAGAGTTGAACATTCCGTTTCAGAGAGCAGCTTTGAAGCACTCTTTTTGTAGTATGTGCAAGGGGATATTTGGAGCACTCTGAGGCCTAAGGTGAAAAAGCAAATATCTTCCCATAACCACTAGACAGAAACATTCTCAGAAACTCCTTTATGACGTATGCACTCAGCTAACAGAGAAGAACCTTCCTTTTGACAGAGCAGTTTTGATACACTCTTTTTGTAGAATCTGCAAGTGGATATTTGGATAGCTGTGAAGATTTCTTTGGAAACGGGAATATCTTCCTATAAAATCTATACAGAAGCATTCTCAGAAACTGCTCTGTGATGTCTGCATTCAAGTCACAGAGTTGAACATTGCCTTTCATAGAGCAGGTTTGAAACGCTCTTTTTGTAGTATATGGAAGTGGACGTTTCGTACGGTTTGAGGCCCATGATGATAAAGGGAATATCTTCCCCTACAAGCTAGAAAGAAGCATTCTGTGAAACTTGTTTGTGATGTGTGTACTCAACTAACAGAGTTGAACCTTTCTTTTCACAGAGCAGTTTTGAAACACTCTTTTTGTAGAATCTGCGAGCGGAAATTTGGATAGATTTCAGGATTTCGTTGGAAACGGGAATATCTTCATACAAAATCTCGACAGAAGCATTCTCAGAAACTTCTTTGTGATATGTGCATTCAAGTCACAGAGTTGAATATTCCCTTTCACAGAGTAGGTTTGAAACACTCTTTTTGTAGTATCTGGAAGTGGACATTTGGAGCGCCTTGACGCCTACGGTGAAAAGGGAAATATCTTCCATAAAAACTAGACAGAAGCAATCTCAGAATCTTCTTTGGGATATATGCATGCAGCTAACAGAGTTGAACCTTTCTATTGACAGAGCAGTTTTGAAACAGTCTTTCTGTGGAATCTGCAAGTGGATATTTGGATAGCTTAGAGGATTTCGTTGGAAACGGGATTACGTATAAAAAGTAGACAGCAGCATCCTCAGAAACTTCTTTGTGATGTGTGCATTCAAGTCACAGAGTTGAACATTCCCTTTCGTACAGCAGTTTTGAAACACTCTTTCTGTAGTATCTGAAAGTGAATATTAGGACAGCTTTCAGGTCTATATTGAGAAAGGAAATATCTTCAAATAAAAACTAGACAGAAGCATTCTCATAAACTTGTTTGTGATGTGTGAACTCAGCTAACCGAGGTGGATCTTTCTTTTGATAGAGCAGTTCTGAAAAACACTTTTTGTTGAATCTGCAAGTGGACATTTGGATAGATTTGAAGATGTCGTTGGAAACGGGAATATCTTCATATCAAATCTAGACGGAAGCATTCTCAGAAACGTCTTTGTGATGTTTGCATTCAACTCATAGAGTTGAACATTCCCTTCCAGAGAGTAGCTTTGAAGCACTCATTTTGTAGCATGTGCAAGTGGACATTTGGAGCGCCCTGAGGCCTACGGGGAAAAAGCAAATATCTTCCCATAACCACTAGACAGAAACATTCTCAGAAACTCCTTTATGACGTATGCACTCACCTAACAGAGAAGAACCTTCCTTTTGACAGAGCAGTTTTGATACACTCTTTTTGTAGAATCTGCAAGTGGATATTTGGATAGGTGTGAAGATTTCGTTGGAAACGGGAATATCTTCCTATAAAATCTAGACAGAAGCATTCTCTGAAACTGCTCTGGGATGTCTGCATTCAAGTCACGGAGTTGAACATTGCCTTTCCTAGAGCAGGTTTGAAACGCTCTTTTTGTAGTATATGGAAGTGGACGTTTCGGACTGTTTGAGGCCCATGGTGATAAAGGGAATATCTTCCCCTACAAGCTAGAAAGAAGCATTCTGTGAAACTTGTTTGTGATGTGTGTACTCAACTAACAGAGTTGAACCTTTCCTTTTACAGAGTAGTTTTGAAACACTCTTTTTGTAGAATCTGCGAGGGGATATTTGGATAGATTTCAGGATTTCGTTGGAAACGGGAGTATCTTCATATAAAATCTCGACAGAAGCATTCTCAGAAACTTCTTTGTGATATCTGCATTCAAGTCACAGAGTTGAATATTCCCTTTCACAGAGTAGGTTTGAAACACTCTTTTTGTAGTATCTGGAAGTGGACATTTTGAGCGCCTTGACGCCTACGGTGAAAAGGGAAATATCTTCTCATAAAAAGTAGACAGAAGCAATCTCAGAATCTTCTTTGGGATATATGCACGCAGCTAACAGAGTTGAACCTTTCTATTGACAGAGCCGTTTTGAAACAGTCTTTCTGTGGAATCTGCAAGTGGATATTTGGATAGCTTGGAGGATTTCGTTGGAAACGGGATTACGTATAAAAAGTAGACAGCAGCATCCTCAGAAACTACTTTGTGATGTGTGCATTCAAGTCACAGAGTTGAACATTCCCTTTCGTACAGCAGTTTTGAAACACTCTTTCTGTAGTATCTGGAAGTGAACATTAGGACAGATTTCAGCTCTATGGTGAGAAAGGAAATATCTTCAAATAAAAACTAGACAGAAGCATTCTCATAAACTTGTTTGTGATGTGTGAACTCAGCTAACAGAGATGGATCTTTCTTTTGATAGAGCGGTTCTGAAAAACACTTTTTGTTGAATCTGCAAGTGGACATTTGGATAGATTTGAAGATTTCGTTGGAAACGGGAATATCTTCATATCAAATCTAGACAGAAGCATTCTCAGAAACGTCTTTGTGATGTTTACATTCAACTCATAGAGTTGAACATTCCCTTGCAGAGAGCAGCTTTGAAGCACTCTTTTTGTAGCATGTGCAAGTGGACATTTGGAGCGCTCTGAGGCCTACGGGGAAAAAGCAAATATCTTCCCATAACCAATAGACAGAAACATTCTCAGAAACTTCTTTATGACGTATGTACTCAACTAGCAGAGAAGAACTTTCCTTTTGACAGAGCATTTTTGATACATTCTTTTTGTAGTATCTGCAAGTGGATATTTGGATAGCTGTGAAGATTTCGTTGGAAACCGGAATATCTTCCTATAAAGTCTGGACAGAAGCATCCTCAGAAACTTCTTTGTGATGTGTGCATTCAAGTCACAGAGTTGAACATTGCCTTTCATAGAGCAGGTTTCAAACACTCTTTTTTTACTATATGGAAGTGGACGTTTCGGACGGTTTGAGGACCATGGTGATAAAGGAAATATCTTCCCCTACAAGCTAGAAAGAAGCATTCTGTGAAACTTGTTTGTGATGTGTGTACTCAACTAATAGATTTGAACCTTTCTTTTTACAGAGCAGTTTTGAAACACTCTTTTTGTAGAATCTGCGAGGGGATATTTGGATAGATTTCAGGATTTCGTTGGAAACGGGAATATCTTCATATAAAATCTCGACAGAAGCATTCTCAGAAACTTCTTTGTGATATGTGCATTCAAGTCACAGAGTTCAATGTTCCCTTTCACAGAGTAGGTTTGAAACACTCTTTTTGTAGTATCTGGAAGTGGACATTTGGAGCGCCTTGACGCCTACGGTGAAAAGGGCAAATATCTTCTCATAAAAAGTAGACAGAAGCAATCTCAGAATCTTCTTTGGGATATATGTACGCAGCTAACAGAGTTGAACCTTTCTATTGACAGAGCAGTTTTGAAACAGTCTTTCTGTGGAAACTGCAAGTGGATATTTGGATAGCTTGGAGGATTTCGTTGGAAACGGGATTACGTATAAAAAGTAGACAGCAGCATCCTCAGTAAACTTCTTTGTGATGTGTGCATTCAAGTCACAGAGTTGAACATTCCCTTTCGTACAGCAGTTTTGAAACACTCTTTCTGTAGTATCTGGAAGTGAACATTAGGACAGCTTTCAGGACTATGGTGAGAAAGGAAATATCTTCAAATAAAAACTAGACAGAAGCATTCTCATAAACTTGTTTGTGATGTGTGAACTCAGCTAACAGAGGTGGATCTTTGTTTTGATAGAGCAGTTCTGAAAAACACTTTTTGTTGAATCTGCAAGTGGACATTTGGATAGATTTGAAGATTTCGTTGGAAACGGGAATATCTTCATATCAAATCTAGACAGAAGCATTCTCAGAAACGGCTTTGTGATGTTTGCATTCAACTCATAGAGTTGAACATTCCCTTTCAGAGTGCAGCTTTGAAGAACTCTTTTTGTGGTATGTGCAAGTGGACAATTGGAGCGCTTTGAGGCCTACGGGGAAAAAGCAAATATCTCCCATAACCACTAGACAGAAACATTCTCAGAAACTCCTTTATGACGTATGCACTCACCTAACAGAAAAGAACCTTCCTTTTCACAGAGCAGTTTTGATACACTCTTTTTGTAGAATCTGCAAGTGGATATTTGGATAGCTGTGAAGATTTCGTTGGAAACGGGAATATCTTCCTATAAAATCTAGACAGAAGCATTCTCAGAAACTGCTCTGTGATGTCTGCATTCAAGTCACAGAGTTGAACATTGCCTTTCATAGAGCAGGTTTGGAACGCTCTTTTTGTAGTATATGGAACCGGATGTTTCCGACGGTTGGAGGCCCATGGTGATAAAGGGAATATCTTCCCCTACAAGCTAGAAAGAAGCATTGTGTGAAACTTATTTGTGATGTGTGTACTCAACTAACAGAGTTGAACCTTTCTTTTTACAGAGCAGTTTTGAAACACTCTTTTTGTAGAATCTGCGAGGGGATATTTGGATACATTTCAGGATTTCGTTGGAAACGGGAATATCTTCATATAAAATCCTCGACAGAAGCATTCTCAGAAACTTCTTTGTGATATGTGCATTCAAGTCACAGAGTTGAATATTCGCTTTCACAGAGTAGGTTTGAAACACTCTTTTTGTAGTATCTGGAAGTGGACATTTGGAGCGCCTTGATGCCTACGGTGAAAAGGGAAATATCTTCCCATAAAAACTAGACAGAAGCAATCTCAGAATCTTCTTTGGGATATATGCACGCAGCTAACAGAGTTGAACCTTTCTATTGACAGAGCAGTTTTGAAACAGTCTTTCTGTGGAATCTGCAAGTGAATATTTGGATAGCTTGGAGGATTTCGTTGGAAACGGGATTAAGTATAAAAAGTAGACAGCAGCATCCTCAGAAACATCCTTGTGATGTGTGCATTCAAGTCACAGAGTTGAACATTCCCTTTCGTACAGCAGTTTTGAAACACTCTTTCTGTAGTATCTGGAAGTGAAATTTAGGAGAGCTTTCAGGTCTATAGTGAGAAAGGATATATCTTCAAATAAAAACTAGACAGAAGCATTCTCATAAACTTGTTTGTGATGTGTGAACTCAGCTAACAGAGGTGGATCTTTCTTTTGATAGAGCACTTCTGAAAAACACTTTTTGTTGAATCTGCAAGTGGACATTTGGATAGATTTGAAGATTTCGTTGGAAACGGGAATATCTTCATATCAAATCTAGACAGAAGCATTCTCAGAAACGTCTTTGTGATGTTTGCATTCAACTCATAGAGTTGAACATTCTCTTTCAGAGAGCAGCTTTGAAGCACTCTTTTTGTAGTATGTGCAAGTGGATATTTGGAGCGCTCTGAGGCCTACGGTGGAAAAGCAAATATCTTCCCATAACCACTAGACAGAAACATTCTCAGAAACTCCTTTATGACGTATGCACTCACCTAACAGAGAAGAACCTTCCTTTTGACAGAGCGGTTTTGATACACTCTTTTTGTAGAATCTGCAAGTGGATATTTGGATAGCTGTGAAGATTTCGTTGGAAACGAGAATATCTTCCTATAAAATCTAGACAGAAGCATTCTCAGAAACTGCTCTGTGATGTCTGCATTCAAGTCACAGAGTTGAACATTGCCGTTCATAGAGCAGGTTTGAAACACTCTTTTTGTAGTATATGGAAGTGGACGTTTCGGACGGTTTGAGGCCCATGGTGATAAAGGGAATATCTTCCCCTACAAGCTAGAAAAGAAGCATTCTGTGAAACTTGTTTGTGATGTGTGTACTCAACTAACAGAGTTGAACCTTTCTTTTTACAGAGCAGTTTTGAAACCCTCTTTTTGTAGAATCTGCGAGGGGATATTTGGATAGATTTCAGGATTTCGTTGGAAACGGGAATATCTTCATATAAAATCTCGACAGAAGCATTCTCAGAAACTTCTTTGTGATATGTGCATTCAAGTCACAGAGTTGAATATTCCCTTTCACAGACTAGGTTTGAAAAACCCTTTTTGTAGTAGTCTGGAAGTGGACATTTGGAGCGCCTTGATGCCTACGGTGAAAAGGGAAATATCTTCCCATAAAAACTAGACAGAAGCAATCTCAGAATCTTCTTTGGGATATATGCACGCAGCTAACAGAGTTGAACCTTTCTATTCACAGAGCAGTTTTGAAACAGTCTTTCTGTGGAATCTGCAAGTGGATATTTGGATAGCTTGGAGGATTTCGTTGGAAACGGGATTACGTATAAAAAGTAGACAGCAGCATCCTCAGAAACTTCTTTGTGATCTGTGCATTCAAGTCACAGAGTTGAACATTCCCTTTCGTACAGCAGTTTTGAAACACTCTTTCTGTAGTAACTGGAAGTGAACATTAGGACAGCTTTCAGGTCTATGGTGAGAAAGGAAATATCTTCAAATAAAAACTAGACAGAAGCATTCTCATAAACTTGTTTGTGATGTGTGAACTCAGCTAACAGAGGTGGATCTTTCTTTTGATAGAGCAGTTCTGAAAAACACTTTTTGTTGAATCTGCAAGTGGACATTTGAATAGATTTGAAGATTTCGTTGGAAACGGGAATATCTTCATATCAAATCTAGTCAGAAGCATTCTCAGAAACGTCGTTGTGATGTTTGCATTCAACTCATAGAGTTGAACATTCCGATTCAGAGAGCAGCTTTGAGGCACTCTTTTTGTAGTATGTGCAAGTGGATATTTGGAGCGCTCTGAGGCCTTCGGTGAAAAAGCAAATATCTTCCCATAACCACTAGATGGAAACATTCTCAGAAACTCGTTTATGACGTATGCACTCACCTAACAGAGAAGAACCTTCCATTTGACAGAGCAGTTTTGATACACTCTTTTTGTAGAATCTGCAAGTGGATATTTGGATAGCTGTGAAGATTTTGCTGGAAACGGGAATATCTTCCTATAAAATACTAGACAGAAGCATTCTCAGAAACTGCTCTGTGATGTCTGCATTCAAGTCACAGAGTTGAACATTGCCTTTCCTAGAGCAGGTTTGAAACGCTCTTTTTGTAGTATATGGAAGTGGACGTTTCGGACGGTTTGAGGACCATGGTGATAAAGGGAATATCTTCCCCTACAAGCTAGAAAGAAGCATTCTGTGAAACATGTTTGTGATGCGTGTACTCAACTAACAGAGTTGAACCTTTCTTTTTACAGAGCAGTTTTGAAACACTCTTTTTGTAGAATCTGCGAGGGGATATTTGGATAGATTTCAGGATTTCGTTGGAAACGGGAATATCTTCATATAAAATCTCGACAGAAGCATTCTCAGAAACTTCTTTGTGATATGTGCATTCAAGTCACAGAGTTGAATATTCCGTTTCACAGAGTAGGTTTGAAACACTCTTTTTGTAGTATCTGGAAGTGGACATTTGGAGCGCCTTGACACCTACGGTGAAAAGGGAAATATCTTCCCATAAAAACTAGACAGAAGCAATCTCAGAATCTTCTTTGGGATATATGCACGCAGCTAATAGAGTTGAACCTTTCTATTGACAGAGCAGTTTTGAAACAGTCTTTCTGTGGAATCTGCAAGTGGATATTTGGATAGCTTGGAGGATTTCGTAGGAAACGGGATTACGTATAGAAAGTAGACAGCAGCATCCTCAGAAACTTCTTTGTGATGTGTGCATTCAAGTCACAGAGTTGAACATTCCCTTTCGTACAGCAGTTTTGAAACACTCTTTCTGTAATATCTGGAAGTGAACATTAGGACAGCTTTCAGCTCTATGGTGAGAAAGGAAATATCTTCAAATAAAAACTAGACAGAAAGCATTCTCAAGAACTTGTTTGTGATGTGTGAACTCAGCTAACAGAGGTGGATGTTTCTTTTGATAGAGCAGTTCTGAAAAACACGTTTTGTTGAATCTGCAAGTGGACATTTGGATAGATATGAAGATTTCGTTGGAAACGGGAATATCTTCATATCAAATCTAGACAGAGCATTCTCAGAAACGTCTTTGTGATGTTTGCATTCAACTCATAGAGTTGAACATTCCCTTTCAGAGAGCAGCTTTGAAGCACTCTTTTTGTAGTATGTGCAAGGGGGTATTTGGAGCGCTCTGAGGCCTAAGGTGAAAAAGCAAATATCTTCCCATAACCACTAGACAGAAACATTCTCAGAAACTCCTTTATGACGTGTGCACTCACCTAACAGAGAAGAACCTTCCTTTTGACAGAGCATTTTTGATACACACTTTTTGTAGAATCTGCAAGTGGATATTTGGATAGCTGTGAAGATTTCGTTGGAAACGGGAATATCTTCCTATAAAATCTAGACAGAAGCATTCTCAGAAACTGCTCTGTGATGTCTGCATTCAAGTCACAGAGTTGAACTCTGCCTTTCCTAGAGCAGGTTTGAAACGCTCTTTTTGTAGTATATGGAAGTGGACGTTTCGGACGGTTTGAGGCCCATGGTGATAAAGGGAATATCTTCCCCTACAAGCTAGAAAGAAGCATTCTGTGAAACTTGTTTGTGATGTGTGTACTCAACTAACAGAGTTGAACCTTTCTTTTTACAGAGCAGTTTTGAAACACTCTTTTTGTAGAATATGCGAGGGGATATTTGGATAGATTTCAGGATTTCGTTGGAAACGGGAATATCTTCATATAAAATCTCGACAGAAGACCGAAGCATTCTCAGAAACTTCATTGTGATATCTGCATTGAAGTCACAGACTTGAATACTCCCTTTCACAGAGTAGGTTTGAAACACTCTTTTTGTAGTATCTGGAATTGGACATTTGGATCGCTTTGACGCCTATTGTGAAAAAGGAAATATCTTCCCCTAAAAACTAGACAGAAGCAATCTCAGAATCTTCTTTGGGATATATGCACGCAGCTAACAGAGTTGAACCTTTCTATTGACAGAGCAGTTTAGAAACAGTCTTTCTGTGGAATCTGCAAGTGGATATTTGGATAGATTGGAGGATTTCTTTGGAAACGGGATTACGTATAAAAAGTAGACAGCAGCATCCTCAGAAACTTCTTTGTGATGTGTGCATTCAAGTCACAGAGTTGAACATTCCCTTTCGTACAGCAGTTTTGAAACGCTCTTTCTGTAGTATCTGGAAGTGAACATTAGGACAGCTTTCAGGTCTATGGTGAGAAAGGAAATATCTTCAAATAAAAACTAGACAGAAGCATTCTCATAAACTTGTTTGTGATGTGTGAACTCAGCTAACAGAGGTGGATCTTTCTTTTGATAGAGCAGTTCTGAAAAACACTTTTTGTTGAATCTGCAGTGGACATTTGGATAGATTTGAAGATTTCGTTGGAAACGGGAATATCTTCATATCAAATCTAGACAGAAGCATTCTCAGAAACGTCTTTGTGATGTTGGCATTCAACTCATAGAGTTGAACATTCCGTTTCAGAGAGCAGCTTTGAGGCACTCTTTTTGTAGTATGTGCAAGGGGATATATGGAGCGCTCTGAGGCCTAAGGTGAAAAAGCAAATATCTTCCCATAACCACTAGACAGAAACATTCTCAGAAACTCCTTTATGACGTTTGTACTCAACTAACAGAGAAGAACCTTCCTTTTGACAGAGCAGTTTTGATACACTCTTTTTGTAGAATCTGCAAGTGGATATTTGGATAGCTGTGAAGATTTCGTTGGAAACGGGAATATCTTCCTATAAAATCTAGACAGAAGCATTCTCAGAAACTGCTCTGTGATGTCTGCATTCAAGTCACAGAGTTGAACATTGCCTTTCATAGAGCAGTTTTGAAATGCTCTTTTTGTAGTATATGGAAGTGGACGTTTCGGACGGTTTGAGGCCCATGGTGATAAAGGAAATATCTTCGCTACAAGCTAGAAAGAAGCATTCTGTGAAACTTGTTTGTGATGTGTGTACTCAACTAACAGAGTTGAACCTTTCTTTTTACAGAGCAGTTTTGAGACACTCTTTTTGTAGAATCTGCGAGGGGATATTTGGATAGATTTCAGGATTTCGTTGGAACGGGAATATCTTCATATAAAATCTCGACAGAAGCATTCTCAGAAACTTCTTTGTGATATCTGCCTTTAAGTCACAGAGTTGAATATTCCCTTTCACAGAGTAGGTTTGAAACACTCTTTTTGTAGTATCTGGAAGTGGACATTTGGAGCCCCTTGAGACCTACGGTGAAAAGGGAAATATCTTCCCATAAAAACAAGACAGAAGCAATCTCAGAATTTTCTTTGGGATATATGCACACAGCTAACAGAGTTGAACTTTTCTATTGACATAGCAGTTTTGAAACAGTCTTTCTGTGGAATATGCAAGTGGATATTTGGATAGCTTGGAGGATTTCGTTGGAAACGGGATTATGTATAAAAAGTAGACAGCAGCATCCTCAGAAACATCTTTGTGATGTGTGCATTCAAGTCACAGAGTTGAACATTCCCTTTCGTACAGCAGTTTTGAAACACTCTTTCTGTAGTATCTGGAAGTGAACATTAGGACAGCTTTCAGGTCTATGGTGAGAAAGGAAATATCTTCAAATAAAAACTAGACAGAAGCATTCTCATAAACTTGTTTGTGATGTGTGAACTCAGCTAACAGAGGTGGATCTTTCTTTTGATAGAGCAGTTCTGAAAAACACTTTTTGTTGAATCTGCAAGTCGACATTTGGATAGATTTGAAGATTTCGTTGGAAACGGGAATATCTTCATATCAAATCTAGACAGAAGCATTCTCAGAAACGTCTTTGCGATGTTTGCATTCAACTCATAGAGTTGAACATTCCGTTTCAGAGAGCAGCTGTGAGGCACTCTTTTTGTAGTATGTGCAAGTGGATATTTGGAGCGCTCTGAGGCCTACGGTGAAAAAGCAAATATCTTCCCATAACCACTACACAGAAACATTCTCAGAAACTCCTTTATGACGTATGTACTCAACTAACAGAGAAGAACCTTCCTTTTGACAGAGTAGTTTTGATACACTCTTTTTGTAGAATCTGCAAGTGGATATTTGGATAGCTGTGAAGATTTCGTTGGAAACGGGAATATCTTCCTATAAAATCTAGACAGAAGCATTCTCAGAAACTGCTATCTGATGTCTGCATTCAAGTCACAGAGTTGAACATTGCTTTTCATAGAGCAGGTTTGAAACGCTCTTTTTGTAGTATATGGAAGTAGACGTTTCGGACGGTTTGAGGCCCATGGTGATAAAGGGAATATCTTCCCCTACAAGCTAGAAAGAAGCATTCTGTGAAACTTGTTTGTGATGTGTGTACTCAACTAACAGAGTTGAACCTTTCTTTTTATAGAGCAGTTTTGAAACACTCTTTTTGTAGAATCTGCGAGGGGATATTTGGATAGATTTCAGGATTTCGTTGGAAAGGGGAATATCTTCATATAAAATCTCGACAGAAGCATTCTCAGAAAGCTTCTTTGTGATATGTGCATTCAAGTCACAGAGTTCAATATTCCCTTTCACAGAGTAGGTTTGAAACACTCTTTTTGTAGTATCTGGAAGTGGACATTTGGAGCGCCTTGACGCCTACGGTGAAAAGGGAAATATCTTCTCATAAAAAGTAGACAGAAGCAATCTCAGAATCTTCTTTGGGATATATGCACGCAGCTAACAGAGTTGAACCTTTCTATTGACAGAGCAGTTTTGAAACAGTCTTTCTGTGGAATCTGCAAGTGGATATTTGGATAGCTTGGAGGATTTCGTTGGAAATGGGATTAAGTATAAAAAGTAGACAGCAGCATCCTCAGAATCTTCTTTGTGATGTGTGCATTCAAGTCACAGAGTTGAACATTCCCTTTCGTACAGCAGTTTTGAAACACTCTTTCTGTAGTATCTGGGAGTGAACATTAGGACAGCTTTCAGGTCTATGGTTAGAAAGGAAATATCTTCAAATAAAAACTAGACAGAAGCATTCTCATAAACTTGTTTGTGATGTCTGAACTCAGCTAACAGAGGTGGATCTTTCTTTTGATAGAGCAGTTCTGAAAAACACTTTTTGTTGAATCTGCAAGTGGACATTTGGATAGATTTGAAGATTTCGTTGGAAACGGGAATATCTTCATATCACATCTAGACAGAAGCATTCTCAGAAACGTCTTTGCGATGTTTGCATTCAACTCATAGAGTTGAACATTCCCTTTGAGAGAGCAGATTTGAAGCACTCTTTTTGTAGCATGTGCAAGTGGACATTTGGAGCGCCCTGAGGCCTACGGGGAAAAAGCAAATATCTTCCCATAACCACTAGACAGAAACATTCTCAGAAACTTCTTTATGACGTATGTACTCAACTAGCAGAGAAGAACTTTCCTTTTGACAGAGCATTTTTGATACACTCTTTTTGTACTATCTGCAAGTGGATATTTGGATATCTGTGAAGATTTCGTTGGAAACGGGAATATCTTCCTATAAAGTCTGGACAGAAGCATTCTCAGAAACTGCTCTGTGATGTCTGCATTCAAGTCACAGAGTTGAACATTGCCTTTCATAGAGCAGGTTTGAAACGCTCTTTTTGTAGTATATGGAAGTGGACGTTTCGGACGGTTTGAGGCACATGGTGATAAAGGGAATATCTTCCCCTACAAGCTAGAAAGAAGCATTCTGTGAAACTTGTTTGTGTGTACTCAACTAACAGAGTTGAACCTTTCTTTTCACAGAGCAGTTTTGAAACACTCTTTTTGTAGAATCTGCGAGGGGATATTTGGATACATTTCAGGATTTCGTTGGAAACGGGAATATCTTCATATAAAATCTCGACAGAAGCATTCTCAGAAACTTCCTTGTGATATGTGCATTCAAGTCACAGAGTTGAATATTCCCTTTCACAGAGGAGGTTTGAAACACTCTTTTTGTAGTATCTGGAAGTGGACATTTGGAGCGCCTTGACGCCCACGGTGAAAAGGGAAATATCTTCCCATAAAAACTAGACAGAAGCAATCTCAGAATCTTCTTCGGGATATATGCACGCAGCTAACAGAGTTGAACCTTTCTATTGACAGAGCAGTTTTGAAACAGTCTTTCTGTGGAATCTGCAAGTGGATATTTGGATAGCTTGGAGGATTTCGTTGGAAACGGGATTACGTATAAAAGTAGACAGCAGCATCCTCAGAAACTTCTTTGTGATGTGTGCATTCAAGTCACAAAGTTGAACATTCCCTTTCGTACAGCAGTTTTGAAACACTCTTTCTGTAGTATCTGGAAGTGAACATTAGGACAGCTTTCAGGTCTATGATGAGAAAGGAAATATCTTCAAATAAAAACTAGACAGAAGCATTCTCATAAACTTGTTTGTGATGTGTGAACTCATCTAACAGGGGTGGATCTTTCTTTTGATAGAGCAGTTCTGAAAAACACTTTTTGTTGAATCTGCAAGTGGACATTTGGATAGATTTGAAGATTTCGTTGGAAACGGGAATATCTTCATATCAAATCTAGACAGAAGCATTCTCAGAAACGTCTTTGTGATGTTTGCATTCAACTCATAGAGTTGAACATTCCGTTTCAGAGAGCAGCTTTGAAGCACTCTTTTTGTAGTATGTGCAAGTGGATATTTGGAGCGCTCTTAGGCCTACGGGGAAAAAGCAAATATCTTCCCATAACCACTAGACAGAAACATTCTGAGAAACTCCTTTATGACGTATGCACTCACCTAACCGAGAAGAACCTTCCTTTTGACAGAGCAGTTTTGATACACTCTTTTTGTAGAATCTGCAAGTGGATATTTGGATAGCTGTGAAGATTTCGTTGGAAACGGGAATATCTTCCTATAAAATCTAGACAGAAGCATTCTCAGAAACTGCTCTGTGATGTCTGCATTCAAGTCACAGAGTTGAACATTGCCTTTCATAGAGCAGGTTTGAAACCCTCTTTTTGTAGTATATGGAAGTGGACGTTTCGGAAGGTTTGAGGCCCATGTTGATAAAGGGAATATCTTCCCCTACAAGCTAGAAAGAAGCATTCTGTGAAACTTGTTTGTGATGTTTGTACTCAACTAACAGAGTTGAACCTTTCTTTTTACAGAGCAGTTTTGAAACACTCTTTTTGTAGAATCTGCGAGGGGATATTTGGATACATTTCAGGATTTCGTTGGAAACGGGAATATCTTCATATAAAATCTCGACAGAAGCATTCTCAGAAACTTCTTTGTGATATGTGCATTCAAGTCACAGAGTTGAATATTCCCTTTCACAGAGTAGGTTTGAAACACTGTTTTTGTAGTATCTGGAAGTGGACATTTGGAGCGCCTTGACACCTACGGTGAAAAGGGAAATATCTTCCCATAAAAACTAGACAGAAGCAATCTCAGAATCTTCTTTGGGATATATGCACGCAGCTAACAGAGTTGAACCTTTCTATTGACAGAGCAGTTTTGAAACAGTCTTTCTGTGGAATCTGTAAGTGGATATTTGGATAGCTTGGAGGATTTCGTTGGTAACGGGATTACGTATAAAAATTAGACAGCAGCATCCTCCGAAACTTCTTTGTGATGTGTGCATTGAAGTCACAGAGTTGAACATTCCCTTTCGTACAGCAGTTTTGAAACACTCTTTCTGTAGTATCTGGAAGTGAACATTAGGACAGCTTTCAGCTCTATGGTGAGAAAGGAAATATCTTCAAATAAAAACTAGACAGAAGCATTCTCATAAACTTGTTCGTGATGTGTGAACTCAGCTAACACACGTGGATCTTTCTTTTGATAGAGCAGTTCTGAAAAACACTTTTTGTTGAATCTGCAAGAGGACATTTGGATAGATTTGAAGATTTCGTTGGAAACGGGAGTATCTTCATATCAAATCTAGACAGAAGCATTCTCAGAAACGTCTTTGTGATGTTTGCATTCATCTCATAGAGTTGAACATTCCGTTTCAGAGAGCAGGTTTGAAGCACTCTTTTTGTAGTATGTGCAAGTGGATATTTGGAGCGCTCTGAGGCCTACGGTGAAAAAGCAAATATCTTCCCATAACCACTAGACAGAAACATTCTCAGAAACTCCTTTATGACGTATGTACTCAACTGACAGAGAAGAACTTTCCTTTTGACGGAGCATTTTTGATACACTCTTTTTGTACTGTCTGCAAGTGGATATTTGGATAGCTGTGAAGATTTCGTTGGAAACGGGAATATCTTCCTATAAAACCTAGACAGAAGCATTCTCAGAAACTGCTCTGTGATGTCTGCATTCAAGTCACAGAGTTGAACATTGCCTTTCATAGAGCAGGTTTGAAACGCTCTTTTTGTAGTATATTGAAGTGGACTTTTCGGACGGTTTGAGGCCCATGGTGATAAAGGGAATATCTTCCCCTACAAGCTAGAAAGAAGCATTCTGTGAAACTTGTTTGTGATGTGTGTACTCAACTAACAGAGTTGAACCTTTCTTTTTACAGAGCAGTTTTGAAACACTCTTTTTGTAGAATCTGCGAGGGGATATTTGGATAGATTTCAGGATTTCGTTGGAAATGGGAATATCTTCATATAAAATCTCGACAGAAAGCATTCTCAGAAACTTCCTTGTGATATGTGCATTCAAGTCACAGAGTTGAATATTCCCTTTCACAGAGTAGGTTTGAAACACTCTTTTTGTAGTATCTGGAAGTGGACATTTGGAGCGCCTTGACGCCTACGGTGAAAAGGGAAATATCTTCCCATAAAAATTAGACAGAAGCAATCTCAGAATCTTCTTTGGGATATATGCACGCAGCTAACAGAGTTGAACCTTTCTATTGACAGAACAGTTTTGAAACAGTCTTTCTGTGGAATCTGCAAGTGGATATTTGGATAGCTTGGAGGATTTCGTTGGAAACGGGATTACGTAGAAAAAGTAGACAGCAGCATCCTCAGAAACTTCTTTCTGATGTGTGCATTCAAGTCACAGAGTTGAACATTCCCTTTCGTACAGCAGTTTTGAAACACTCTTTCTGTAGTATCTGGAAGTGAACATTAGGACAGCTTTCAGCTCTATGGTGAGAAAGGAAATATCTTCAAATAAAAACTAGACAGAAGCATTCTCATAAACTTGTTTGTGATGTGTGAACTCAGCTAACAGAGGTGGATCTTTCTTTTGATAGAGCAGTTCTGAAAAACACTTTTTGTTGAATCTGCAAGTGGACATTTGGATAGATTTGAAGATTTCGTTGGAAACGGGAATATCTTCATATCCAATCTAGACAGAAGCATTCTCAGAAACGTCTTTGTGATGTTTGCATTCAACTCATAGAGTTGAACATTCCGTTTCAGAGAGCAGCTTTGAGGCACTCTTTTTGTAGTATGTGCAAGTGGATATTTGGAGCGCTCTGAGGCCTACGGTGAAAAAGCAAATATCTTCCCATAACCACTAGACAGAAAACATTCTCAGAAACTCCTTTATGACGTATGCACTCACCTAACAGAGAAGAACCTTCCTTTTGACAGAGCAGTTTTGATACACTCTTTTTGTAGAATCTGCAAGTGGATATTTGGATACCTGTGAAGATTTCATTGGAAACGGGAATATCTTCCTATAAAATCTAGACAGAAGCATTCTCAGAAACTGCTCTGTGATGTCTGCATTCAAGTCACAGAGTTGAACATTGCCTTTCATAGAGCAGGTTTGAAACGCTCTTTTTGTAGTATATGGAAGTGGATGTTTCGGACGGTTGGAGGCCCATGGTGATAAAGGGAATATTCTTCCTCTACAAGCTAGAAAGAAGCATTCTGTGAAACTTGTTTGTGATGTGTGTACTCAACTAACAGAGTTGAACCTTTCTTTTACAGAGCAGTTTTGAAACACTCTTTTTGTAGAATCTGCGAGGGGATATTTGGATAGATTTCAGGATTTCGTTGGAAACGGGAATATCTTCATATAAAATCTCGACAGAAGCATTCTCAGAAGCTTCTTTGTGATATGTGCATTCAAGTCACAGAGTTGAATATTCCCTTTCACAGAGTAGGTTTGAAACACTCTTTTTGTAGTATCTGGAAGTGGACATTTGGAGCACCTTGACGCCTACGGTGAAAAGGGAAATATCTTCTCATGAAAAGTAGACAGAAGCAATCTCAGAATCTTCTTTGGGATATATGCACGCAGCTAACAGAGTTGAACCTTTCTATTGACAGAGCAGTTTTGAAACTGTCTTTCTGTGGAATCTGCAAGTGGATATTTGGATACCTTGGAGGATTTCGTTGGAAACGGGATTACGTATAAAAAGTAGACAGCAGCATCCTCAGAAACTTCTTTTTGATGTGTGCATTCAAGTCACAGAGTTGAACATTCCCTTTCATACAGCAGTTTTGAAACACTCTTTCTGTAGTATCTGGAAGTGAACATTAGGACAGCTTTCAGGTCTATGGTGAGAAAGGAAATATCTTCAAATAAAAACTAGACAGAAGCATTCTCATAAACTTGTTTGTTATGTGTGAACTCAGCTAACACACGTGGATCTTTCTTTTGATAGAGCAGTTCTGAAAAACAATTTTTGTTGAATCTGCAAGTGGACATTTGGATAGATTTGAAGATTTCGTTGGAAACGGGAATATCTTCATATCAAATCTAGACAGAAGCATTCTCAGAAACGTCTTTGTGATGTTTGCATTCAACTCATAGAGTTGAACATTCCCTTTCAGAGAGCAGCTTTGAAGCACTCTTTTTGTAGTATGTGCAAGTGGATATTTTGAGCGCTCTGAGGCCTACGGTGAAAAAGCAAATATCTTCCCATAACCACTAGACAGAAGCATTCTCAGAAACTGCTCTGTGATGTCTGCATTCAACTCACGGAGTTGAACATTGCCTTTCATAGAGCAGGTTTGAAACGCTCTTTTTGTAGTATATGGAAGTGGACGTTTCGGACGGTTTGAGGCCCATGGTGATAAAGGGAATATCTTCCCCTACAAGCTAGAAAGAAGCATTCTGTGAAACTTGTTTGTGATGTGTGTACTCAACTAACAGAGTTGAACCTTTCTTTTTACAGAGCAGTTTTGAAACACTCTTTTTGTAGAATCTGCGAGGGGATATTTGGATAGATTTCAGGATTTCGTTGGAAACGGGAATACCTTCATATAAAATCTCGACAGAAGCATTCTCAGAAACTTCCTTGTGATATGTGCATTCAAGTCACAGAGTTGAATATTCCCTTTCACAGAGTAGGTTTGAAACACTCTTTTTGTAGTATCTGGAAGTGGACATTTGGAGCGCCTTGATGCCTACGGTGAAAAGGGAAATATCTTCCCATAAAAACTAGACAGAAGCAACCTCAGAATGTTCTTTGGGATGTATGCACGCAGCTAACAGAGTTGAACCTTTCTATTGACAGAGCGGTTTTGAAACAGTCTTTTTGTGGAATCTGCAAGTGGATATTTGGATAGCTTGGAGGATTTCGTTGGAAACGGGATTACGTATAAAAAGTAGACAGCAGCATCCTCAGAACCTTCTTTGTGATGTGTGCATTCAAGTCACAGAGTTGAACATTCCCTTTCGTACAGCAGTTTTCAAACACTCTTTCTGTAGTATCTGGAAGTGAACATTAGGACAGCTTTCAGCTCTATGGTGAGAAAGGAAATATCTTCAAATAAAAACTAGACAGAAGCATTGTCATAAACATGTTTGTGATGTGTGAACTCAGCTAACAGAGGTGGATCTTTCTTTTGATAGAGCAGTTCTGAAAAACACTTTTTGTTGAATCTGGAAGTGGACATTTGGATAGATTTGAAGATTTCGTTGGAAACGGGAATATCTTCATATCAAATCTAGACAGAAGCATACTCAGAAACGTCTTTGTGATGTTTGCATTCAACTCATAGAGTTGAACATTCCGTTTCAGAGAGCAGCTTTGAAGCACTCTTTTTGTAGTATGTGCAAGTGGATATTTGGAGCGCTCTGAGGCCTACGGTGAAAAAGCAAATATCTTCCCATAACCACTAGACAGAAACATTCTCAGAAACTCCTTTATGACGTATGCACTCACCTAACAGAGAAGAACCTTCCTTTTGACAGAGCACTTTTGATACACTCTTTTTGTGGAATCTGACAGTGGATATTTGGATAGCTGTGAAGATTTCGTTGGAAACGGGAATATCTTCCTATAAAATCTAGACAGAAGGATTCTCAGAAACTGCTCTGTGATGTCTGCATTCAAGTCACAGAGTTGAACATTGCCTTTCATAGAGCATGTTTGAAAGGCTCTTTTTGTAGTATATGGAAGTGGACGTTTCGGACGGTTTGAGGCCCATGGTGATAAAGGGAATATCTTCCCCTACAAGCTAGAAAGAAGCATTCTGTGAAACTTGTTTGTGATGTGTGTACTCAACTAACAGAGTTGAACCTTTCTTTTTACAGAGCAGTTTTGAAACACTCTTTTTGTAGAATCTGCGAGGGGATATTTGGATAGATTTCAGGATTTCGTTGTAAACGGGAATATCTTCATATAAAATCTCGACAGAAGCATTCTCAGAAACTTCTTTGTGATATCTGCCTTCAAGTCACAGAGTTGAATATTCCCTTTCACAGAGTAGGTTTGAAACACTCTTTTTGTAGTATCTGGAAGTGGACATTTGGAGCGCCTTGACGCCTACGGTGAAAAGGGAAATATCTTCCCATAAAAACTAGACAAAAGCAATCTCAGAATCTTCTTTGGGATATATGCACGCAGCTAACAGAGTTGAACCTTTCTATTGACAGAGCAGTTTTGAAACAGTCTATCTGTGGAATCTGCAAGTGGATATTTGGATAGCTTGGAGGATTTCGTTGGAAACGGGATTACGTATAAAAAGTAGACAGCAGCATCCTCAGAAACTTCTTTGTGATGTGTGCATTCAAGTCACATAGTTGAACATTCCCTTTCATACAGCAGTTTTGAAACACTCTTTCTGTAGTATCTGGAAGTGAACATTAGGACAGCTTTCAGCTCTATGGTGAGAAAGGAAATATCTTCAAATAAAAACTAGACAGAAGCATTCTCATAAACTTGTTTGTGATGTGTGAACTCAGCTAACAGAGGTGGATCTTTCTTTTGATATAGCAGTTCTGAAAAACACTTTTTGTTGAATCTGCAAGTGGACATTTGGATAGATTTGAAGATTTCGTTGGAAACGGGAATATCTTCATATCAAATCTAGACAGAAGCATTCTCAGAAACGTCTTTGTGATGTTTGCATTCAACTCATAGAGTTGAACATTCCCTTTCAGAGAGCAGGTTTGAAGCACTCTTTTTGTAGTATGTGCAAGTGGACATTTGGAGCGCTCTGAGGCCTACGGTGAAAAAGCAAATATCTTCCCATAACCACTAGACAGAAACATTCTCAGAAACTCCTTTATGACGTATGCACTCACCTAACAGAGAAGAACCTTCCTTTTGACAGAGCAGTTTTGATAAACTCATTTTGTAGAATCTGCAAGTGGATATTTGGATAGCTGTGAAGATTTCGCTGGAAACGGGAATATCTTCCTATAAAATCTAGACAGAAGCATTCTCAGAAACTGCTCTGTGATGTCTGCATTCAAGTCACAGAGTTGAACATTGCCTTTCATAGAGCAGGTTTGAAACGCTCTTTTTGTAGTATATGGAAGTAGACGTTTCGGACGGTTTGAGGCCCAATGGTGATAAAGGGAATATCTTCCCCTACAAGCTAGAAAGAAGCATTCTGTGAAACTTGTTTGTGATGTGTGTACTCAACTAACAGAGTTGAACCTTTCTTTTTACAGAGCAGTTTTGAAACACTCTTTTTGTAGAATCTGCGAGGGGATATTTGGATAGATTTCAGGATTTCGTTGGCAACGGGAATATCTTCATATAAAATCTCGACAGAAGCATTCTCAGAAACTTCTTGGTGATATCTGCATTGAAGTCACAGAGTTGAATATTCCCTTTCACAGAGTAGGTTTGAAACACTCTTTTTGTAGTATCTAGAAGTGGACTTTTGGAGCGCCTTGACGCCTATGGTGAGAAGGGAAATATCTTCCCATAAAAACTAGACAGAAGCAATCTCAGAATCTTCTTTGGGATATATGCACGCAGCTAACAGAGTTGAACCTTTCCATTGACAGAGCAGTTTTGAAACAGTCTTTCTGTGGAATCTGCAAGTGGATATTTGGATAGCTTGGAGGATTTCGTTGGAAACGGGATTAAGTATAAAAAGTAGACAGCAGCATCCTCAGAAACTTCTTTGTGATGTGTGCATTCAAGTCACAGAGTTGAACATTCCCTTTCGTACAGCAGTTTTGAAAAACTCTTTCTGTAGTATCTGGAAGTGAACATTAGGACAGCTTTCAGCTCTATGGTGAGAAAGGAAATATCTTCAAATAAAAACTAGACAGAAGCATTCTGATAAACTTGTTTGTGAAGTGTGATCTCAGCTAACAGAGGTGGATCTTTCTTTTGATAGAGCAGTTCTGAAAAACACTTTGTTGAATCTGCAAGTAGACATTTGGATAGATTTGAAGATTTCGTTGGAAACGGGAATATCGTCATAAATCTAGACAGAAGCATTCTCAGAAACGTCTTTGTGATGTTTGCATTCAACTCATAGAGTTGAACATTCCGTTTCAGAGACCAGCTTTGAAGCACTCTTTTTGTAGTATGTGCAAGTGGATATTTGGAGCGCTCTGAGGCCTACGGTGAAAAAGCAAATATCTTCCGATAACCACTAGACAGAAACATTCTCAGAAACTCCTTTATGACGTATGTACTCAACTAACAGAGAAGAACCTTCCTTTTGACAGAGCAGTTTTGATAAACTCTTTTTGTAGAATCTGCAAGTGGATATTTGGATAGCTGTGAAGATTTCGTTGGAAACGGGAATATCTTCCTATAAAATCTAGACAGAAGCATTCTCAGAAACTGCTCTGTGATGTCTGCATTCAAGTTACAGAGTTGAACGTTGCCTTTCATAGAGCAGGTTTGAAACGCTCTTTTTGTAGTATATGGAAGTGGACTTATCGGACGGTTTGAGGCCCATGGTGATAAAGGGAATATCTTCCCCTACAAGCTAGAAAGAAGCATTCTGTGAAACTTGTTTGTGATGTGTGTACTCAACTAACAGAGTTGAACCTTTCTTTTTACAGAGCAGTTTTGAAACACTCTTTTTGTAGAATCTGCGGGGGGAAATTTGGATAGATTTCAGGATTTCGTTGGAAACGGGAATATCTTCATACAAAATCTCGACAGAAGCATTCTCAGAAACTTCTTTGTGATATGTGCATTCAAGTCACAGAGTTGAATATTCCCTTTCACAGGGTAGGTTTGAAACACTCTTTTTGTAGTATCTGGAAGTGGACATTTGGAGCGCCTTGACGCCTACGGTGAAAAGGGAAATATCTTCCCATAAAAACTAGACAGAAGCAATCTCAGAATCTTCTTTGGGATATATGCACGCAGCTAACAGAGTTGAACCTTTCTATTGACAGAGGAGTTTTGAAACAGTCTTTCTGTGGAATCTGGAAGTGGATATTTGGATAGCTTGGAGGATTTCGTTGGAAACGGGATTACATATAAAAAGTAGACAGCAGCATCCTCAGAAACTTCTTTGTGATGTGTGCATTCAAGTCACAGAGTTCAACATTCCCTTTCGTACAGCAGTTTTGAAACACTCTTTCTGTAGTATCTGGAAGTGAACATTAGGACAGCTTTCAGCTCTATGGTGAGAAAGGAAATATCTTCAAATAAAAACTAGACAGAAGCATTCTCATAAAGTTGTTTGTGAGGTGTGAACTCAGCTAACAGAGGTGGATCTTTCTTTTGATAGAGCAGTTCTGAAAAACACTTTTTGTTGAATCTGCAAGTGGACATTTGCATAGATTTGAAGATTTCGTTGGAAACGGGAATATCTTCATATCAAATCTAGACAGAAGCATTCTCAGAAACGTCTTTGCGATGTTTGCATTCAACCCATAGAGTTGAACATTCCGTTTCAGAGAGCAGCTGTGAGGCACTCTTTTTGTAGTATGTGCAAGTGGATATTTGGAGCGCTCTGAGGCCTACGGTGAAAAAGCAAATATCTTCCCATAACCACTAGACAGAAACATTCTCAGAAACTCCTTTATGAAGTATGCACTCACCTAACAGAGAAGAACCTTCCTTTTCACAGAGCAGTTTTGATACACTCTTTTTGTAGAATCTGCAAGTGGATATTTGGATAGCTGTGAAGATTTCGTTGGAAACGAGAATATCTTCCTATAAAATCTAGACAGAAGCATTCCCAGAAACTGCTCTGTGATGTCTGCATTCAAGTCACAGAGTTGAACATTGCCTTTCATAGAGCAGGTTTGAAACACTCTTTTTTTAGTATATGGAAGTGGACGTTTCGGACGGTTTGAGGACCATGGTGATAAAGGAAATATCTTCCCCTACAAGCTAGAAAGAAGCATTCTGTGAAACTTGTTTGTGATGTGTGTACTCAACTAACAGAGTTGAACCTTTCTTTTCACAGAGCAGTTTTGAAACACTCTTTTTGTAGAATCTGCGAGGGGAAATTTGGATAGATTTCAGGATTTCGTTGGAATCGGGAATATCTTCATACAAAATCTCGACAGAAGCATTCTCAGAAACTTCTTTGTGATATCTGCATTCAAGTCACAGAGTTGAATATTCCCTTTCACAGAGTAGGTTTGAAACACTCTTTTTGTATACCTGGAAGTGGACATTTGGAGCGCCTTGACGCCTATGGTGAAAAGGGAAATATCTTCCCATAAAAACTAGACAGAAGCAATCTCAGAATCTTCTTTGGAATATATGCACGCAGCTAACAGAGTTGAACCTTTCTATTGACAGAGCAGTTTTGAAACAGTCTTTCTGTGGAATCTGCAAGTGGATATTTGGATAGCTTGGAGGATTTCGTTGGAAACGGGATTACGTATAAAAAGAAGACAGCAGCATCCTCAGAAACTTCTTTGTGATGTGTGCATTCAAGTCACAGAGTTGAACATTCCCTTTCGTACAGCAGTTTTGAAACACTCTTTCTGTAGTATCTGTAAGTGAACATTAGGACAGCTTTCAGGTCTATGGTGAGAAAGGAAATATCTTCAAATAAAAACTAGACAGAAGCATTCTCATAAACTTGTTTGTGATGTGTGAACTCATCTAACAGAGGTGGATCTTTCTTTTGATAGAGCAGTTCTGAAAAACACTTTTTGTTGAATCTGCAAGTGGACATTTGGATAGATTTGAAGATTTCGTTGGAAACGGGAATATCTTCATATCAAATATAGACAGAAGCATTCTCAGAAACGTCTTTGTGATGTTTGCATTCAACTCATAGTGTTGAACATTCCCTTTCAGAGAGCAGATTTGAAGCACTCTTTTTGTAGTATGTGCAAGTGGATATTTGGAGCGCTCTGAGGCCTACGGTGAAAAAGCAAATATCTTCCCATAACCACTAGACAGAAACATTCTCAGAAACTCCTTTATGACGTATGCACTCACCTAACAGAAAAGAACCTTCCTTTTGACAGAGCAGTTTTGGTACACTCTTTTTGTAGAATCTGCAAGTGGATATTTGGATAGCTGTGAAGATTTCGTTGGAAACGGGAATATCTTCCTATAAAATCTAGACAGAAGCATTCTCAGAAACTGCTCTGTGATGTCTGCATTCAAGTCACAGAGTTGAACATTGCCTTTCATAGAGCAGGTTTGAAACACTCTTTTTGTAGTATATGGAAGTGGACATTTCGGACGGTTTGAGGCCCATGGTGATAAAGGGAATATCTTCCCCTACAAGGTAGAAAGAAGCATTCTGTGAAACTTGTTTGTGATGTGTGTACTCAACTAAAAGAGTTGAACCTTTCTTTTTACAGAGCAGTTTTGAAACACTCTTTTTGTAGAATCTGCGAGGGGATATTTGGATAGATTTCAGGATTTCGTTGCAAACGGGAATATCTTCACATAAAATCTCGACAGAAGCATTCTCAGAAACTTCCTTTGTGATATGTGCATTCAAGTCACAGAGTTGAATATTCCCTTTCACAGAGTAGGTTTGAAACACTCTTTTTGTAGTATCTGGAAGTGGACATTTGGAGCGCCTTGACGCCTACGGTGAAAAGGGAAATATCTTCCCATAAAAACTAGACAGAAGCAATCTCAGAATCTTCTTTGGGATATATGCACGCAGCTAACAGAGTTGAACCTTTCTATTGACAGAGCAGTTTTGAAACAGTCTTTCTGTGGAATCTGCAAGTGGATATTTGGATAGATTGGAGGATTTCGTTGGAAACGGGATTACGTATAAAAATTAGACAGCAGCATCCTCAGAAACTTCCTTGTGATGTGTGCATTCAAGTCACAGAGTTGAACATTCCCTTTCGTACAGCAGTTTTGAAACACTCTTTCTGTAGTATCTGGAAGTGAACTTTAGGAGAGCTTTCAGGTCTATAGTGAGAAAGGAAATATCTTCAAATAAAAACTAGACAGAAGCATTCTCATAAACTTGTTTGTGATGTGTGAACTCAGCTAACAGAGGCGGATCTTTCTTTTGATAGAGCAGTTCGGAAAAACACTTTTTGTTGAATCTGCAAGTGGACATTTCGATAGATTTGAAGATTTCGTTGGAAACGGGAATATCTTCATATCAAATCTAGACAGAAGCATTCTCAGAAACGTCTTTGTGATGTTTGCATTCAACTCATAGAGTTGAACATTCCCTTTCAGAGAGCAGCTTTGAAGCACTCTTTTTGTAGTCTGTGCAAGTGGATATTTGGAGCGCTGTGAGGCCTACGGTGAAAAAGCAAATATCTTCCCATAACCACTAGACAGAAACATTCTCAGAAACTCCTTTATGACGTATGCACTCACCTAACAGAGAAGAACCTTCCTTTTGACAGAGCAGTTTTGATACACTCTTTTTGTAGAATCTGCAAGTGGATATTTGGATAGCTGTGAAGATTTCATTGGAAACGGGAATATCTTCCTATAAAATCTAGACAGAAGCATTCTCAGAAACTGCTCTGTGATGTCTGCATTCAAGTCACAGAGTTGAACATTGCCTTTCATAGAGCAGGTTTGAAACACTCTTTTTGTAGTATATGGAAGTGGACGTTTCGGACAGTTTGAGGCCCATGGTGATAAAGGGAATATCTTCCCCTACAAGCTAGAAAGAAGCATTCTGTGAAACTTGCTTGTGATGTGTGTACTCAACTAACAGAGTTGAACCTTTCTTTTTACAGAGCAGTTTTGATACACTCTTTTTGTAGAATCTGAGAGGGGATATTTGGATAGATTTCAGGATTTCGTTGGAAACGGGAATATCTTCATATAAAATATCGACAGAAGCATTCTCAGAAACTTCTTTGTGATATCTGCCTTTAAGTCACAGAGTTGAATATTCCCTTTCACAGAGTAGGTTTGAAACACTCTTTTTGTAGTATCTGGAAGTGGACATTTGGAGCCCCTTGAGACCTACGGTGAAAAGGGAAATATCTTCCCATAAAAACTAGACAGAAGCAATCTCAGAATCTTCTTTGGGATATATGCACGCAGCTAACAGAGTTGAACCTTTCTATTGACAGAGCAGTTTTGAAACAGTCTTTCTGTGGAATCTGCAAGTAGATATTTGGATAGCTTGGAGGATTTCGTTGGAAACGGGATTACGTATGAAAAGTAGACAGCAGCATCCTCAGAAACTTCTTTGTGATGTGTGCATTCAAGTCACAGAGTTGAACATTCCCTTTCGTACAGCAGTTTTCAAACACTCTTTCTGTAGTAACTGGAAGTGAACATTAGGACAGCTTTCAGGTCTACGGTGAGAAAGGAAATATCTTCAAATAAAAACTAGACAAAAGCATTCTCATAAACTTGTTTGTGATGTGTGAACTCAGCTAACAGAGGTGGATCTTTCTTTTGATAGAGCAGTTCTGAAAAACACTTTTTGTTGAATCTGCAAGTGGACATTTGGATAGATTTGAAGATTTCGTTGGAAACGGGAATATCTTCATGTCAAATCTAGACAGAAGCATTCTCAGAAACGTCTTTGCGATGTTTGCATTCAACTCATAGAGTTGAACATTCCGTTTCAGAGAGCAGCTTTGAGGCACTCTTTTTGTAGTATGTGCAAGTGGATATTTGGAGCGCTCTGAGGCCTACGGTGAAAAAGCAAATATCTTCCCATAACCACTAGACGGAAACATTCTCAGAAACTCCTTTATGACGTATGCACTCACCTAACAGAGAAGAACCTTCCTTTTGACTGAGCAGTTTTTATACACTCTTTTTGCAGAATCTGCAAGTGGATATTTGGATAGCTGTGAAGATTTCGTTGGAAACGGGAATATCTTCCTATAAAATCTAGACAGAAGCATTCTCAGAAACTGCTCTGTGATGTCTGCATTCAAGTCACAGAGTTGAACATTGCCTTTCATAGAGCAGGTTTGAAACGCTCTTTTTGTAGTGTATGGAAGTGGATGTTTCGGACGGTTGGAGGCCCATGGTGATAAAGGGAATATCTTCCCCTACAAGCTAGAAAGAAGCATTCTGTGAAACTTGTTTGTGATGTGTGTACTCAACTAACAGAGTTGAACCTTTCTTTTTACATAGCAGTTTTGAAACACTCTTTTTGTAGAATCTGCGAGGGGATATTTGGATAGATTTCAGGATTCCGTTGGAAACGGGAATATCTTCATATAAAATCTCGACAGAAAGCATTCTCAGTAAACTTCTTTGTGATATCTGCATTCAAGTCACAGAGTTGAATATTCCCTTTCACAGAGTAGGTTTGAAACACTCTTTTTGTAGTATCTGGAAGTGGACATTTTGAGCGCCTTGACGCCTACGGTGAAAAGGGAAATATCTTCTCATAAAAAGTAGACAGAAGCAATCTCAGAATCTTCTTCGGGATATATGCACGCAGGTAACAGAGTTGAACCTTTCTATTGACAGAGCAGTTTTGAAACAGTCTTTCTGTGGAATCTGCAAGTGGATATTTGGATAGCTTGGAGGATTTCGTTGGAAACGGGATTACGTATAAAAAGTAGACAGCAGCCTCCTCAGAAACTTCTTTGTGATGTGTGCATTCAAGTCACACAGTTGAACATTCCCTTTCGTACAGCAGTTTTGAAACACTCTTTCTGTAGTATCTGGAAGTGAACATTAGGACAGCTTTCAGGTCTATGGTGAGAAAGGAAATATCTTCAAATAAAAACTAGACAGAAGCATTCTCATAAACTTGTTTGTGATGTCTGAACTCAGCTAACAGACGTGGATCTTTCTTTTGATAGAGCAGTTCTGAAAAACACGTTTTGTTGAATCTGCAAGTGGACATTTGGATAGATTTGAAGATTTCGTTGGAAACGGGAATATCGTCATATCAAATCTAGACAGATAAGCATTCTCAGAAACGTCTTTGCGATGTTTGCATTCAACTCATAGAGTTGAACATTCCGTTTCAGAGAGCAGCTTTGAGGCACTCTTTTTGTAGTATGTGCAAGTGGATATTTGGAGCGCTCTGAGGCCTACGGTGAAAAAGCAAATATCTTCCCATAACCACTAGACAGAAACATTCTCAGAAACTCCTTTATGACGTATGCACTCACCTAACAGAGAAGAACCTTCCTTTTGACAGAGCAGTTTTGATACACTCTTTTTGTAGAATCTGCAAGTGGATATTTGGATAGCTGTGAAGATTTCGTTGGAAACGGGAATATCTTCCTATAAAACCTAGACAGAAGCATTCTCAGAAACTGCTCTGTGATGTGTGCATTCAAGTCACAGAGTTGAACATTGGCTTTCATAGAGCAGGTTTGAAATGCTCTTTTTGTAGTATATGGAAGTGGACGTTTCAGACGGTTTGAGGCCCATGGTGATAAAGGGAATATCTTCCCCTGCAAGCTAGAAAGAAGCATTCTGTGAAACTAGTTTGTGATGTGTGTACTCAACTAACAGAGTTGAACCTTTCTTTTCACAGAGCAGTTTTGAAACACTCTTTTTGTAGAATCTGCGAGGGGATATTTGGATAGATTTCAGCATTTCGTTGGAAACGGGAATATCTTCATATAAAATCTCGACAGAAGCATTCTCTGAAACTTCTTTGTGATATGTGCATTCAAGTCACAGAGTTCAATATTCCCTTTCACAGAGTAGGTTTGAAACACTCTTTTTGTAGTATCTGAAGTGGACATTTGGAGCGCCTTGACGCCTACGGTGAAAAGGGAAATATCTTCTCATAAAAAGTAGACAGAAGCAATCTCAGAATCTTCTTTGGGATATATGCACGCAGCTAACAGAGTTGAACCTTTCTATTGACAGAGCTGTTTTGAAACACTCTTTCTGTGGAATCTGCAAGTGGATATTTGGATAGCTTGGAGGATTTCGTTGGAAACGGGATTACGTATAAAAAGTAGACAGCAGCATCCTCAGGAACTTCTTTGTGATGTGTGCATTCAAGTCACAGAGTTGAACATTCCCTTTCGTACAGCAGTTTTGAAACACTCTTTCTGTAGTATCTGGAAGTGAACATTAGGACAGCTTTCAGGTCTATGGTGAGAAAGGCAATATCTTCAAATAAAAACTAGACAGAAGAATTCTCATAAACTTGTTCGTGATGTGTGAACTCAGCTAACACACGTGGATCTTTCTTTTGATAGAGCAGTTCTGAAAAACACTTTTTGTTGAATCTGCAAGAGGACATTTGGATAGATTTGAAGATTTCGTTGGAAACGGGAATATCTTCATATCAAATCTAGACAGAAGCATTCTCGGAAACGTCTTTGTGATGTTTGCATTCAACTCATAGATTTGAACATTCCGTTTCAGAGAGCAGCTTTGAGGCACTCATTTTGTAGTATGTGCAAGTGGATATTGGGAGCGCTCTGAGGCCTTCGGTGAAAAAGCAAATATCTTCCCATAACCACTAGACAGAAACATTCTCAGAAACTCCTTTATGACGTATGCACTCACCTAACAGAGAAGAACCTTCCTTTTGACAGAGCAGTTTTGATACACTCTTTTTGTAGAATCTGCAAGTGGATATTGGGATAGCTGTGAAGATTTCGTTGGAAACGGTAATATCTTCCTATAAAATCTAGACAGAAGCATTCTCAGAAACTGCTCTGTGATGTCTGCATTCAAGTCACAGAGTTGAACATTGCCTTTCATAGAGCAGGTTTGAAACACTCTTTTTGTAGTATATGGAAGTGGACGTTTCGGACGGTTTCAGGCCCATGGTGATAAAGGGAATATCTTCCCCTACAAGCTAGAAAGAACAATTCTGTGAAACTTGTTTGTGATGTGTGTACTCAACTAACAGAGTTGAACCTTTCTTTTTACAGAGCAGTTTTGAAACACTCTTTTTGTAGAATCTGCGAGGGGATATTTGGATAGATTTCAGGATTTCGTTGGAAACGGGAATATCTTCATATAAAATCTCGACAGAAGCATTCTCAGAAACTTCTTTGTGATATCTGCATTCAAGTCACAGAGTTGAATATTCCCTTTCACAGAGTAGGTTTGAAACACTCTTTTTGTAGTATCTGGAAGTGGACATTTGGAGCGCCTTGACACCTACGGTGAAAAGGTAAATATCTTACCATAAAAACGAGACAGAAGCAATCTCAGAATCTTCTTTGGGATATATGCACGCAGCTAACAGAGTTGAACCTTTCTATTGAAAGAGCAGTTTAGAAACAGTCTTTCTGTGGAATCTGCAAGTGGATATTTAGATAGCTTGGAGGATTTCGTTGGAAACGGGATTACGTATAAAAAGTAGACAGCCAGCATCCTCAGAAACTTCTTTGTGATGTGTGCATTCAAGTCACAGTAGTTGAACATTCCCTTTCGTAAAGCAGTTTTGAAACACTCTTTCTGTAGTATCTGGAAGTGAACATTAGGACAGCTTTCAGGTCTATGGTGAGAAAGGAAATATCTTCAAATAAAAACTAGACAGAGCATTCTCATAAACTTGTTTGTGATGTGTGAACTCAGCTAACAGAGATGGATCTTTCTTTTGATAGAGCAGATCTGAAAAACACTTTTTGTTGAATCTGCAAGTGGACATTTGGATAGATTTGAAGATTTCGTTGGAAACGGGAATATCTTCATATCAAATCTAGACAGAAGCATTCTCGGAAACGTCTTTGTGATGTTTGCATTCAACTCATAAAGTTGAACATTCCGTTTCAGAGAGCAGCTTTGAGGCACTCTTTTTGTAGTATGTGCAAGTGGATATTTGGAGCGCTCTGAGGCCTTCTGTGAAAAAGCAAATATCTTCCCATAACCACTAGACAGAAACATTCTCAGAAACTCCTTTATGACGTATGCACTCACCTAACAGAAAAGAACCTTCCTTTTGACAGAGCAGTTTTGATACACTCTTTTTGTAGAATCTGCAAGTGGATATTTGGATAGCTGTGAAGATTTCGTTGGAAACGGGAATAGCTTCCTATAAAATCTAGACAGAAGCATTCTCAGAAACTGCTCTGTGATGTCTGCATTCAAGTCACAGAGTTGAACATTGCCTTTCATAGAGCAGGTTTGAAACGCTCTTTTTGTAGTATATGGAAGTGGATGTTTCGGACGGTTGGAAGCCCATGGTGATAAAGGGAATATCTTCCCCTACAAGCTGGAAAGAAGCATTCTGTGAAACTTGTTTGTGATGTGTGTACTCAACTAACAAAGTTGAACCTTTCTTTTCACAGAGCAGTTTTGAAACACTCTTTTTGTAGAATCTGCGAGGGGATATTTGGATACATTTCAGGATTTCGTTGGAAACGGGAATATCTTCATATAAAATCTCGACAGAAGCATTCTCAGAAACTTCCTTGTGATATGTGCATTCAAGTCACAGAGTTGAATATTCCCTTTCACAGAGTAGGTTTGAAACACTCTTTTTGTAGTATCTGGAAGTGGACATTTGGAGCGCCTTGACGCCTACGGTGAAAGGGGAAATATCTTCCCATAAAAACTAGACAGAAGCAATCTCAGAATCTTCTTTGGGATATATGCACGCAGCTAACAGAGTTGAACCTTTCTATTGACAGAGCAGTTTTGAAACAGTCTTTCTGTGGAATCTGCAAGTGGATATTTGGATAGCTTGGAGGATTTCGTTGGAAACGGGATTACGTATAAAAAGTAGTCAGCAGCATCCTCAGAAACTTCTTTGTGATGTGTGCATTCAAGTCACAGAGTTGAACATTCCCTTTCGTACAGCAGTTTTGAAACACTCTTTCTGTAGTAACCGGAAGTGAACATTAGGACAGCTTTCAGGTCTATGGTGAGAAAGGAAATATCTTCAAATAAAAACTAGACAGAAGCATTCTCATAAACTTGTTTGTGATGTCTGAACTCAGCTAACAGAGGTGGATCTTTCTTTTGATAGAGCAGTTCTGAAAAACACTTTTTGTTGAATCTGCAAGTGGACATTTGGATAGAATTGAAGATTTCGTTGGAAACGGGAATATCTTCATATCAAATCTAGACAGAAGCATTCTCAGAAACGTCTTTGTGATGTTTGCATTCAACCCATAGAGTTGAACATTCCGTTTCAGGGAGCAGCTTTGAAGCACTCTTTTTGTAGTATGTGCAAGTGGATATTTGGAGCGCTGTGAGGCCTGCGGTGAAAAAGCAAATATCTTCCCATAACCACTAGACAGAAACATTCTCAGAAACTCCTTTATGACGTATGCACTCAACTAACAGAGAAGAACCTTCCTTTTGACAGAGCAGTTTTGATACACTCTTTTTGTAGAATCTGCAAGTGGATATTTGGATAGCTGTGAAGATTTCGTTGGAAACGGGAATATCTTCCTATAAAATCTAGACAGAAGCATTCTCAGAAACTGCTCTGTGATGTCTGTATTCAAGTCACAGAGTTGAACATTGCCTTTCATAGAGCAGGTTTGAAACGCTCTTTTTGTAGTATATGTAAGTGGATGTTTCAGACGGTTTGAGGCCGATGGTGATAAAGGGAATATCTTCCCCTACAAGCTAGAAAGAAGCATTCTGTGAAACTTGTTTTTGATGTGTGTACTCAACTAACAGAGTTGAACCTTCCTTTTTACAGAGCAGTTTTGAAACACTCTTTTTGTAGAATCTGCGAGGGGATATTTGGATAGATTTCAGGATTTCGCTGGAAACGGGAGTATCTTCATATAAAATCTCGACAGAAGCATTCTCAGAAACTTCCTTGCGATATGTGCATTCAAGTCACAGAGTTGAATATTCCCTTTCACAGAGTAGGTTTGAAACACTCTTTTTGTAGTATCTGGAAGTGGACATTTGGAGCGCCTTGACGCCTACGGTGAAAAGGGAAATATCTTCCCATCAAAACTAGACAGAAGCAATCTCAGAATCTTCTTTGGGATATATGCACGCAGCTAACAGAGTTGTACCTTTCTATTGACAGAGCAGTTTTGAAACAGTCTTTCTGTGGAATCTGCAAGTGGATATTTGGATAGCTTGGAGGATTTCGTTGGAAACGGGATTACGTATAAAAAGTAGACAGCAGCATCCTCAGAATCTTCTTTGTGATGTGTGCATTCAAGTCACAGAGTTGAACATTCCCTTTCGTACAGCAGTTTTGAAACACTCTTTCTGTAGTATCTGGAAGTGAACATTAGGACAGCTTTCAGGTCTATGGTGAGAAAGGAAATATCTTCAAATAAAAACTAGACAGAAGCATTCTCATAAACTTGTTTGTGATGTCTGAACTCAGCTAACAGAGGTGGATCTTCCTTTTGATAGAGCAGTTCTGAAAAACACTTTTTGTTGAATCTGCAAGTGGACATTTGGATAGATTTGAAGATTTCGTTGGAAACGGGAATATCTTCATATCAAATCTAGACAGAAGCATTCTCAGAAACGTCTTTGTGATGTTTGCATTCAACTCATAGAATTGAACATTGCGGTTCAGAGAGCCGCTTTGAAGCACTCTTTTTGTAGTATGTGCAAGTGGATATTTGGAGCGATCTGAGGCCTAAGGTGAAAAAGCAAATATCTTCCCATAACCACTAGACAGAAACATTCTCAGAAACTCCTTTATGACGTATGTACTCAACTAACAGAGAAGAACCTTCCTTTTGACAGAGCAGTTTTGATACACTCTTTTTGTAGAATCTGCAAGTGGATATTTGGATAGCTGTGAAGATTTCGTTGGAAACGGAAATATCTTCCTATAAAATCTAGACAGAAGCATTCTCAGAAACTGCTCTGTGATGTCTGCATTCAAGTCACAGAGTTGAACATTGCCTTTCATAGAGCAGGTTTGAAACGCCCTTTTTGTAGTATATGGAAGTGGACGTTTCGGACGGTTTGAGGCCCATGGTGATAAAGGGAATATCTTCCCCTACAAGCTAGAAAGAAGCATTGTGTGAAACTTATTTGTGATGTGTGTACTCAACTAACAGAGTTGAACCTTTCTTTTTACAGAGCAGTTTTGAAACACTCTTTTTGTAGAATCTGCGAGGGGATATTTGGGTACATTTCAGGATTTCGTTGGAAACGGGAATATCTTCATATAAAATCTCGACAGAAGCATTCTCAGAAACTTCTTTGTGATATGTGCATTCAAGTCACAGAGTTGAATATTCCCTTTCACAGAGTAGGTTTGAAACACTCTTTTTGTAGTATCTGGAAGTGGACATTTGGAGCGCCTTGACCCCTACGGTGAAAAGGGAAATATCTTCCCACAAAAACTAGACAGAAGCAATCTCAGAATCTACTTTGGGATATATGCACGCAGCTAACAGAGTTGAACCTTTCTATTGACAGAGCAGTTTTGAAACAGTCTTTCTGTGGAATCTGCAAGTGGATATTTGGATAGCTTGGAGGATTTCGTTGGAAACGGGATTACGCATAAAAAGTAGACAGCAGCATCCTCAGAAACTTCTTTGTGATGTGTGCATTCAAGTCACAGTGTTGAACATTCCCTTTCGTACAGCAGTTTTGAAACACTCTTTCTGTAGTATCTGGAAGTGAACATTAGGACAGCTTTCAGGTCTATTGTGAGAAAGGAAATATCTTCAAATAAAAACTAGACAGAAGCATTCTCATAAACTTGTTTCTGATGTGTGAACTCAGCTAACAGAGGTGGATCTTTCTTTTGATAGAGCAGTTCTGAAAAACACTTTTTGTTGAATCTGCAAGTGGACATTTGGATAGATTTGAAGATTTCGTTGGAAACGGGAATATCTTCATATCAAATCTAGACAGACAAGCATTCTCAGAAACGTCTTTGCGATGTTTGCATTCAACTCATAGAGTTGAACATTCCGTTTCAGAGAGCAGCTGTGAGGCACTCTTTTTGTAGTATGTGCAAGTGGATATTTGGAGCGCTCTGAGGCCTATGGTGAAAAAGCAAATATCTTCCCATAACCACTAGACAGATACATTCTCAGAAACTCCTTTATGACGTATGTACTCAACTAACAGAGAAGAACCTTCCTTTTGACAGAGCAGTTTTGATACACTCTTTTTGTAGAAACTGCAAGTGGATATTTGGATAGCTGTGAAGATTTCGTTGGAAACGGGAATATCTTCCTATAAAATCTAGACAGAAGCATTCTCAGAAACTGCTCTGTGATGTCTGCATTCAAGTCACAGAGTTGAACATTGCCTTTCATAGAGCAGGTTTGAAACGCTCTTTTTGTAGTATATGGAAGTGGATGTTTCGGACGGTTGGAGGCCCATGGTGATAAAGGGAATATCTTCCTCTACAAGCTAGAAAGAAGCATTCTGTGAAACTTGTTTGTGATGTGTGCACTCAACTAACAGAGTTGAACCTTTCTTTTTACAGAGCAGTTTTGAAACACTCTTTTTGTAGAATCTGCGAGGGGATATTTGGATACATTTCAGGATTTCGTTGGAAACGGGAATATCTTCATATAAAATCTCGACAGAAGCATTCTCAGAAACTTCCTTGTGATATGTGCATTCAAGTCACAGAGTTGAATATTCCCTTTCATAGAGTAGGTATGAAACACTCTTTTTGTAGTATCTGGAAGTGGACATTTGGAGCGCCTTGACGCCTACGGTGAAAAGGGAAATATCTTCCCATAAAAACTAGACAGAAGCAATCTCAGAATCTTCTTTGGGATATATGCACGCAGCTAACAGAGTTGAACCTTTCTATTGACAGAGCAGTTTTGAAACAGTCTTTCTGTGTAATCTGCAAGTGGATATTTGGATAGCTTGGAGGATTTCGTTGGAAACGGGATTACGTATAAAAAGTAGACAGCAACATCCTCAGAAACTTCTTTGTGATGTGTGCATTCAAGTCACAGAGTTGAACATTCCCTTTCGTACAGCAGTTTTGAAACACTCTTTCTGTAGTAACTGGAAGTGAACATTAAGACAGCTTTCAGGTCTATGGTGAGAAAGGAAATATCTTCAAATAAAAACTAGACAGAAGCATTCTCATAAACTTGTTTGTGATGTGCGAACTCAGCTAACAGAGGTGGATCTTTCTTTTGATAGAGCAGTTCTGAAAAACACTTTTTGTTGAATCTGCAAGTGGACATTTGGATAGATTTGAAGATTTCGTTGGAAACGGGAATATCTTCATATCAAATCTAGACAGAAGCATTCTCAGAAACGTCTTTGTGATGTTTGCATTCAACTCATAGAGTTGAACATTCCGTTTCAGAGAGCAGCTTTGAAGCACTCTTTTTGTAGCATGTGCAAGTGGATATTTGGAGCGCTCTGAGGCCTACGGTGAAAAAGCAAATATCTTCCCATAACCAGTAGACAGAAACATTCTCAGAAACTCCTTTATGACGTATGCACTCACCTAACAGAGAAGAACCTTCCTTTTGACAGAGCAGTTTTGATACACTCTTTTTGTAGAATCTGCAAGTGGATATTTGGATAGCTGTGAAGGTTTCGTTGGAAACGGAAATATCTTCCTATGAAATCTAGACAGAAGCATTCTCAGAAACAGCTCTGTGATGTCTGCATTCAAGTCACAGAGTTGAACATTGCCTTTCCTAGAGCAGGTTTGAAATGCTCTTTTTGTAGCATATGGAAGTGGACGTTTCGGACGGTTTGAGGCCCATGGTGATAAAGGGAATATCTTCCCCTACAAGCTAGAAAGAAGCATTCTGTGAAACTAGTTTGTGATGTGTGTACTCAACTAACAGAGTTGAACCTTTCTTTTTACAGAGCAGTTTTGAAACACTCTTTTTGTAGAATCTGCGAGGGGATATTTCGATAGATTTCAGGATTTCGTTGGAAACGGGAATATCTTCATATAAAATCTCGACAGAAGCATTCTCAGAAACTTCTTTGTGATATGTGCATTCAAGTCACAGAGTTGAATATTCCCTTTTACAGAGTAGGTTTGAAACACTCTTTTTGTAGTATCTGGAAGTGGACATTTGGAGCGCCTTGACGCCTACGGTGAAAAGGGAAATATCTTCTCATAAAAAGTAGACAGAAGCAATCTCAGAATCTTCTTTGGGATATATGCACGTAGCTAACAGAGTTGAACCTTTCTATTGACAGAGCAGGTTTGAAACAGTCTTTCTGTGGAATCTGCAAGTGGATATTTGGATAGCTTGGAGGATTTCGTTGGAAACAGGATTACGTATAAAAAGTAGACAGCAGCATCCTCAGAAACTTCTTTGTGATGTGTGCATTCAAGTCACAGAGTTGAACATTCCCTTTTGTACAGCAGTTTTGAAACACTCTTTCTGTAGTATCTGGAAGTGAACATTAGGACAGCTTTCAGGTCTATGGTGAGAAAGGAAATATCTTCAAATAAAAACTAGACAGAAGCATTCTCATAAACTTGTTTGTGATGTGTGAACTCAGCTAACAGAGGTGGATCTTTCTTTTGATAGAGCAGTTCTGAAAAACACTTTGTTGAATCTGCAAGTGGACATTTGGATAGATTTGAAGATTTCGTTGGAAACGGGAATATCTTCATATCAAATCTAGACAGAAGCATTCTCGGAAACGTCTTTGTGATGTTTGCATTCAACTCATAGAGTTGAACATTCCGTTTCAGAGAGCAGCTTTGAAGCACTCTTTTTGTAGTATGTGCAAGTGGATATTTGGAGCGCTGTGAGGCCTACGGTGAAAAAGCAAATATCTTCCCATAACCACTAGAAAGAAACATTCTCAGAAATTCCTTTATGACGTATGCACTCACCTAACAGAGAAGAACCTTCCTTTTGACAGAGCAGTTTTGATACACTCTTTTTGTAGAATCTGCAAGTGGATATTTGGATACCTGTGAAGATTTCGTTGGAAACGGGAATATCTTCCTATAAAATCTAGACAGAAGCATTCTCAGAAACTGCTCTGTGATTTCTGCATTCAAGTCACAGAGTTGAACATTGCCTTTCATAGAGCAGGTTTGAAACGCTCTTTTTGTAGTATATGGAAGTGGATGTTTCGGACGGTTGGAGGCCCATGGTGATAAAGGGAATATCTTCCCCTACAAGCTAGAAAGAAGCATTCTGTGAAACTTGTTTGTTATGTGTGTACTCAACTAACAGAGTTGAACCTTTCTTTTCACAGAGCAGTTTTGAAACACTCTTTTTGTAGAATCTGCGAGGGGATATTTGGATAGATTTCAGGATTTCGTTGGAAACGGGAATATCTTCATATAAAATCTCGACATTAGCATTCTCAGAAACTTCCTTGTGATATGTGCATTCAAGTCACAGAGTTGAATATTCCCTTTCACAGAGTAGGTTTGAAACACTCTTTTTGTAGTATCTGGAAGTGGACATTTGGAGCGCCTTGACACCTACGGTGAATAGGGAAATATCTTCCCATAAAAACTAGACAGAAGCAATCTCAGAATCTTCTTTGGGATATATGCACGCAGCTAACAGAGTTGAACCTTTCTATTGACAGAGCAGTTTTGAAACAGTCTTTCTGTGGAATCTGCAAGTGGATACTTGGAGAGCTTGGAGGATTTCGTTGGAAACGGGATTACGTATAAAAAGAAGACAGCAGCATCCTCAGAATCTTCTTTGTGATGTGTGCATTCAAGTCACAGATTTGAACATTCCCTTTCGTACAGCAGTTTTGAAACACTCTTTCTGTAGTATCTGGAAGTGAACATTAGGACAGCTTTCAGCTCTATGGTGAGAAAGGAAATATCTTCAAATAAAAACTAGACAGAAGCATTCTCATAAACTTGTTTGTGATGTGTGAACTCAGCTAACAGAGGTGGATCTTTCTTTTGATAGAGCAGTACTGAAAAACACTTTTTGTTGAATCTGCAAGTGGACATTTGGATAGATTTGAAGATTTCGTTGGAAACGGGAATATCTTCATATCAAATCTAGACAGAAGCATTCTCAGAAACGTCTTTGTGATGTTTGCATTCAACTCATAGAGTTGAACATTCCGTTTCAGAGAGCAGCTTTGAAGCACTCTTTTTGTAGTATGTGCAAGTGGACATTTGGAGCGCCCTGAGGCCTACGGTGAAAAAGCAAATATCTTCCCATAACCACTAGACAGAAACATTCTCAGAAACTCCTTTATGACGTATGCACTCTCCTAACAGAGAAGAACCTTCCTTTTGACTGAGCAGTTTTGATACACTCTTTTTGCAGAATCTGCAAGTGGATATTTGGATAGCTGTGAAGATTTCGTTGGAAACGGGAATATCTTCCTATAAAATCTAGACAGAAGCATTCTCAGAAACTGCTCTGTGATGTCTGCATTCAAGTCACAGAGTTGAACATTGCCTTTCCTAGAGCAGGTTTGAAACGCTCTTTTTGTAGTATATGGAAGTGGACGTTTCGGACGGCTTGAGGCCCATGGTGATAAAGGGAATATCTTCCCCTACAAGCTAGAAAGAAGCATTCTGTGAAACTTGTTTGTGATGTGTGTACTCAACTAACAGAGTTGAACCTTTTATTTTTACAGAGCAGTTTTGAAACACTCTTTTTGTAGAATCTGCGAGGGGATATTTGGATAGATTTCAGGATTTCGTTGGAAAGGGGAATATCTTCATATAAAATCTCGACAGAAGCATTCTCAGAAACTGCTCTGTGATGTCTGCATTCAAGTCACAGAGTTGAATATTCCCTTTCACAGAGTAGGTTTGAAACACTCTTTTTGTAGTATCTGGAAGTGGACATTTGGAGCGCCTTGACACCTATGGTGAAAAGGGAAATATCTTCCCATAAAAACTAGACAGAAGCAAGCTCAGAATCCTCTTTAGGATATATGCACGCAGCTAACAGAGTTGAACCTTTCTATTGACAGAGCAGTTTTGAAACAGTCTTTCTGTGGAATCTGCAAGTGGATATTTGGATAGCTTGGAGGATTTCGTTGGAAACGGGATTACGTATAAAAAGTAGACAGCAGCATCCTCAGAAACTACTTTGTGATGTGTGCATTCAAGTCACAGAGTTGAACATTCCCTTTCGTACAGCAGTTTTGAAACACTCTTTCTGTAGTATCTGGAAGTGAACATTAGGACAGCTTTCAGGTCTATGGTGAGAAAGGAAATATCTTCAAATAAAAACTAGACAGAAGCATTCTCATAAACTTGTTTGTGATGTGTGAACTCAGCTAACACACGTGGATCTTTCTTTTGATAGAGCAGTTCTGAAAAACAATTTTTGTTGAATCTGCAAGTGGACATTTGGATAGATTTGAAGATTTCGTTGGAAACGGGAATATCTTCATATCAAATCTAGACAGAAGCATTCTCAGAAACGTCTTTGTGATGTTTGCATTCAACTCATAGAGTTGAACATTCCGTTTCAAAGAGCAGCTTTGAGGCCCTCTTTTTGTAGTATGTGCAAGTGGATATTTGGAGCGCTCTGAGGCCTACGGTGAAAAAGCAAATATCTTCCCATAACCACTAGACAGAAACATTCTCAGAAACTGCTTTATGACGTATGCACTCACCTAACAGAGAAGAACCTTCCTTTTGACAGAGCAGCTTTGATACACTCTTTTTGTAGAATCTGCAAGTGTATATTTGGATAGCTGTGAAGATTTCGTTGGAAACGGGAATATCTTCCTATAAAATCTAGACAGAAGCATTCTCAGAAACTGCTCTGTGATGTCTGCATTCAAGTCACAGAGTTGAACATTGCCTTTCATAGAGCAGGTTTGAAATGATCTTTTTGTAGTATATGGAAGTGGACGTTTCAGACGGTTTGAGGCCCATGGTGATAAAGGGAATATCTTCCCCTACAAGCTAGAAAGAAGCATTCTGTGAAACTTGTTTGTGATGTGTGTACTCAAGTAAGAGAGTTGAACCTTTCTTTTCACAGAGCAGTTTTGAAACACTCTTTTTGTAGAATCTGCGAGGGGATATTTGGATAGATTTCAGGATTTCGTTGGAAACGGGAATATCTTCATATAAAATCTCGACAGATGCATTCTCAGAAACTTCTTTGTGATATGTGCATTCTAGTCACAGAGTTGAATATTCCCTTTCATAGAGTAGGTTTGAAACACTCTTTTTGTACTATCTGGAAGTGGACATTTGGAGCGCCTTGACGCCTACGGTGAAGAGGGAAATATCTTCCCATAAAAACTAGACAGAAGCAATCTCAGAATCTTCTTTGGGATATATGCACGAAGCTAACAGAGTTGAACCTTTCTATTGACAGAGCAGTTTTGAAACAGTCTTTCTGTGGAATCTGCAAGTGGATATTTGGATAGCTTGGAGGATTTCGTTGGAAACGGGATTACGTATAAAAAGTAGACAGCAGCATCCTCAGAAACTTCTTTGTGATGTGTGCATTCAAGTCACAGAGTTGAACATTCCCTTTCATACAGCAGTGTTGAAACACTCTTTATGTAGTATCTGGAAGTGAACATTAGGACAGCTTTCAGGTCTATGGTGAGAAAGGAAATATCTTCAAATAAAAACTAGACAGAAGCATTCTCATAAACTTGTTTGTGATGTGTGAACTCAGCTAACAGAGGTGGATCTTTCTTTTGAAAGAGCAGTTCTGAAAAACACTTTTTGTTGAATCTGCAAGTGGACATTTGGATAGATTTGAAGATTTCGTTGGTAACGGGAACATCTTCATATCAAATCTAGACAGAAGCATTCTCAGAAACGTCTTTGTGATGTTTGCATTCAACTCATAGAGTTGAACATTCCGTTTCAGTAGAGCAGCTTTGAAGCACTCTTTTTGTAGTATGTGCAAGTGGATATTTGGAGCGCTCTGAGGCCTACGGTGAAAAAGCAAATATCTTCCCATAACCACTAGACAGAAACATTCTCAGAAACTACTTTATGGCGTATGTACTCAACTAGCAGAGAAGAACTTTCCTTTTGACAGAGCACTTTTGATACACTCTTTTTGTAGTATCTGCAAGTGGATATTTGGATAGCTGTGAAGATTTCGTTGGAATCGGGAATATCTTCCTATAAAGTCTGGACAGAAGCATTCTCAGAAACTGCTCTGTGATGTCTGCATTCAAGTCACAGAGTTGAACATTGCCTTTCATAGAGCAGGTTTCAAGCACTCTTTTTTTAGTATATGGAAGTGGACGTTTCGGACGGTTTGAGGCCCATGGTGATAAAGGAAATATCTTCCCCTACAAGCTAGAAAGAAGCATTCTGTGAAACTTGTTTGTGATGTGTGTACTCAACTAACAGAGTTGAACCTTTCTTTTTACAGAGTAGTTTTGAAACACTCTTTTTGTAGAATCTGCGAGGGGATATTTGGATACATTTCAGCATTTCGTTGGAAACGGGAATATCTTCATATAAAATCTCGACAGAAGCATTCTCAGAAACTTCCTTGTGATACGTGCATTCAAGTCACAGAGTTGAATATTCCCTTTCACAGAGTAGGTTTGAAACACTCTTTTTGTAGTATCTGGAAGTGGACATTTGGAGCGCCTTGACACCTACGGTGAAAAGGGAAATATCTTCCCATAAAAACTAGACAGAAGCAATCTCAGAATCTTCTTTGGGATATATGCACGCAGCTAACAGAGTTGAACCTTTCTATTGACAGAGCAGTTTTGAAACAGTCTTTCTGTGGAATCTGCAAGTGCATATTTTGATAGCTTGGAGGATTTCGTTGGAAACGGGATTACGTATAAAAAGTAGACAGCAGCATCCTCAGAAACTTCTTTGTGATGTGTGCATTCAAGTCACAGAGTTGAACATTCCCTTTCGTACAGCAGTTTTGAAACACTCTTTCTGTGGTATCTGGAAGTGAACATTAGGACAGCTTTCAGCTCTATGGTGAGAAAGGAAATATCTTCAAATAAAAACTAGACAGAAGCATTCTCATAAACTTGTTTGTGATGTGTGAACTCAGCTAAGAGACGTGGATCTTTCTTTTGATACAGCAGTTTTGAAAAACACTTTTTGTTGAATCTGCAAGTGGACATTTTATAGATATGAAGATTTCGTTGGAAACGGGAATATCTTCATATCAAATCTAGACAGAAGCATTCTCGGAAACGTCTTTGTGATGTTTGCATTCAACTCATAGAGTTGAACATTCCGTTTCAGAGAGCAGCTTTGAGGCACTCATTTTGTAGTATGTGCAAGTGGATATTTGGAGCGCTCTGAGGCCTTCGGTGAAAAAGCAAATATCTTCCCATAACCACTACACAGAAACATTCTCAGAAACTCCTTTATGACGTATGCACTCACCTAACAGAGAAGAACCTTCCTTTTGACAGAGCATTTTTGATACACTCTTTTTGTAGAATCTGCAAGTGGATATTTGGATAGCTGTGAAGATTTCGTTGGAAACGGGAATATCTTCCTATAAAATCTAGACAGAAGCATTCTCAGAAACTGCTCTGTGATGTCTGCATTCAAGTCACAGAGTTCAACATTGTCTTTCATAGAGCAGGTTTGAAATGCTCTTTTTGTAGTATATGGAAGTGGACGTTTCGGACGGTTTGAGGCCCATGGTGATAAAGGGAATATCTTCCCCTACAAGCTAGAAAGAAGCATTCTGTGAAACTTGTTTGTGATGTGTGTACTCAACTAACAGAGTTGAACCTTTCTTTTTACAGAGCAGTTTTGAAACACTCTTTTTGTAGAATCTGCGAGGGGATATTTGGATACATTTCAGGATTTAGTTGGAAACGGGAATATCTTCACATAAAATCTTGACAGAAGCATTCTCAGAAGCTTCTTTGTGATATGTGCATTCAAGTCACAGAGTTCAATATTCCCTTTCACAGAGTAGGTTTGAAACACTCTTTTTGTAGTATCTGGAAGTGGACATTTGGAGCGCCTTGACGCCTAAGGTGAAAAGGGAAATATCTTCTCATAAAAAGTAGACAGAAGCAATCTCAGAATCTTCTTTGGGATATATGCACGCAGCTAACAGAGTTGAACCTTTCTATTGACAGAGCAGTTTTGAAACAGTCTTTCTGTGGAATCTGCAAGTGGATATTTGGATAGCTTGGAGGATTTCGTTGGAAACGGGATTACGTATAAAAAAGTAGACAGCAGCATCCTCAGAAACTTCTTTGTGATGTGTGCATTCAAGTCACAGAGTTGAACATTCCCTTTCGTACAGCAGTTTTGAAACACTCTGTAGTAACTGGAAGTGAACATTAGGACAGCTTTCAGGTCTATGGTGAGAAAGGAAATATCTTCAAATAAAAACTAGACAGAAGCATTCTCATAAACTTGTTTGTGATGTGTGAACTCAGCAAACAGCGGTGGATCTTTCTTTTGATAGAGCAGTTCTGAAAAACACTTTTTGTTGAATCTGCAAGTGGACATTTGGATAGTTTTGAAGATTTCCTTGGAAACGGGAATATCTTCATATCAAATCTAGACAGAAGCATTCTCAGAAACGTCTTTGTGATGTTTGCATTCAAGTCATAGAGTTGAACATTCCGTTTCAGAGAGCAGCTTTGAAGCACTCTTTTTGTAGTATGTGCAAGTGGATATTTGGAGCGCTCTGAGACCTACGGTGAAAAAGCAAATATCTTCCCATAACCACTAGACAGAAACATTCTCAGAAACTCCTTTATGACGTGTGCACTCACCTAACAGAGAAGAACCTTCCTTTTGACAGAGCAGTTTTGATACACTCTTTTTGTAGAATCTGCAAGTGGATATTTGGATAGCTGTGAAGATTTCGTTGGAAACGGGAATATCTTCCTATAAAACCTAGACAGAAGCATTCTCAGAAACTGCTCTGTGATGTCTGCATTCAAGTCACAGAGTTGAACATTGCTTTTCCTAGAGCAGGTTTGAAACGCTCTTTTTGTAGTATATGGAAGTGGACGTTTCGGATGGTTTGAGGCCCATGGTGATAAAGGGAATATCTTCCCCTACAAGCTAGAAAGAAGCATTCTGTGAAACTTGTTTGTGATGTGTGTACTCAACTAAGAGAGTTGAACCTTTCTTTTCACAGAGCAGTTTTGAAACACTCTTTTTGTAGAATCTGCGAGGGGATATTTGGATAGATTTCAGAATTTCGTTGGAAACGGGAATATCTTCATACAAAATCTCGACAGAAGCATTCTCAGAAACTTCCTTGTGATATGTGCATTCAAGTCACAGAGTTGAATATTCCCTTTCACAGAGTAGGTTTGAAACACTCTTTTTGTAGTATCTGGAAGTGGACATTCGGAGCGCCTTGATGCCTACGGTGAAAAGGGAAATATCTTCCCATAAAAACTAGACAGAAGCAATCTCAGAATCTTCTTTGGGATATATGCACGCAGCTAATAGAGTTGAACCTTTCTATTGACAGAGCAGTTTTGAAACAGTCTTTCTGTGGAATCTGCAAGTGGATATTTGGATAGCTTCGAGGATTTCTTTGGAAACGCGATTACGTATAAAAAGTAGACAGCAGCATCCTCAGAAACTTCTTTGTGATGTGTGCTTTCAAGTCACAGTGTTGAACATTCCCTTTCGTACAGTAGTTTTGAAACACTCTTTCTGTAGTATCTGGAAGTGAACATTAGGACAGCTTTCAGGTCTATGGTGAGAAAGGAAATATCTTCAAATAAAAACTAGACAGAAGCATTTTCATAAACTTGTTTGTGATGTGTGAACTCAGCTAACAGAGGTGGATCTTTCTTTTGATAGAGCAGTTCTGAAAAACACTTATTGTTGAATCTGCAAGTGGACATTTGGATAGATTTGAAGATTTCGTTGGAAACGGGAATATCTTCATATCAAATCTAGACAGAAGCATTCCCAGAAACGTCTTTGTGATGTTTGCATTCAACTCATAGAGTTGAACATTCCGTTTCAGAGAGCAGCTTTGAAGCACTCTTTTTGTAGTATGTGCAAGTGGATATTTGGAGCGCTCTGAGGCCTAAGGTGAAAAAGCAAATATCTTCCCATAACCACTAGACAGAAACATTCTCAGAAACTCCTTTATGACGTATGCACTCACCTAACAGAGAAGAACCTTCCTTTTGACAGAGCAGTTTTGATACACTCTTTTTGTAGAATCTGCAAGTGGATATTTGGATAGCTGTGAAGATTTCGTTGGAAACGGGAATATCTTCCTATAAAATCCAGACAGAAGCATTCTCAGAAACTGCTCTGTGATGTCTGCATTCAAGTCACAGAGTTGAACATTGCCTTTCATAGAGCCGGTTTGAAACGCTCTTTTTGTAGTATATGGAAGTGGATGTTTCGGACGGTTGGAGGCCCATGGTGATAAAGGGAATATCTTACCCAACAAGCTAGAAAGAAGCATTCTGTGAAACTTGTTTGTGATGTGTGTACTCAACTAACACAGTTGAACCTTTCTTTTTACAGAGCAGTTTTGAAACACTCTTTTTGTAGAATCTGCAAGTGGATATTTGGATAGCTGTGAAGGTTTCATTGGAAACGGGAATATCTTCCTATAAAATCTAGACAGAAGCATTCTCAGAAACTTCTTTGTGATATGTGCATTCAAGTCACAGAGTTGAATATTCCCTTTCACAGAGTAGGTTTGAAACACTCTTTTTGTAGTATCTGGAAGTGGACATTTGAAGCGCCTTGACGCCTACGGTGAAAAGGGAAATATCTTCCCATAAAAACTAGACAGAAAGCAATCTCAGAATCTTCTTTGGGATATATGCACGGAGTTAACAGAGTTGAACCTTTCTATTGACAGAGCAGTTTTGAAACAGTCTTTCTGTGGAATCTGCAAGTGGATATTTGGATAGCTTGGAGGTTTTCTTTGGAAACGGGATTACGTATAAAAAGTAGACTGCAGCATCCTCAGAAACTTCTTTGTGATGTGTGCATTCAAGTCACAGAGTTGAACATTCCCTTTCGTACAGCAGTTTTGAAACACTCTTTCTGTAGTATCTGGAAGTGAACATTAGGACAGCTTTCAGGTCTATGGTGAGAAAGGAAATATCTTCAAATATAAACTAGACAGAAGCATTTTCATAAACTTGTTTGTGATGTGTGAACTCAGCTAACAGAGGTGGATCTCTCTTTTGATAGAGCATCAGCTAACAGACGTGGATCTTTCTTTTGATACAGCAGTTTTGAAAAACACTTTTTGTTGAATCTGCAAGTGGACATTTGGATAGATATGAAGATTTCGTTGGAAACGGGAATATCTTCATATCAAATCTAGACAGAAGCATTCTCAGAAACGTCTTTGTGATGTTTGCATTCAACTCATAGAGTTGAACATTCCGTTTCAGAGAGCAGCTTTGAAGCACTCTTTTTGTAGTATGTGCAAGTGGATATTTGGAGCGCTCTGAGTCCTACGGGGAAAAAGCAAATATCTTCCCATAACCACTAGACAGAAACATTCTCAGAAACTCCTTTATGACGTATGTACTCAACTAACAGAGAAGAACCTTCCTTTTGACAGAGCAGTTTGAATACACTCTTTTTGTAGAATCTGCAAGTGGATATTTGGATAGCTGTGAAGATTTCGTTGGAAACGGGAATATCTTCCTATAAAATCTAGACAGAAGCATTCTCAGGAACTGCTCTGCGATGTCTGTATTCAAGTCACAGAGTTGAACATTGCCTTTCATAGAGCAGGTTTGAAACCCTCTTTTTGTAGTATATGGAAGTGGACGTTTCGGACGGTTTGAGGCCCATGGTGATAAAGGGAATATCTTCCCCTACAAGCTAGAAAGAAGCATTCTGTGAAACTTGTTTGTGATGTGTGTACTCAACTAACAGAGTTGAACCTTTCTTTTTACAGAGCAGTTTTGAAACACTCTTTTTGTGGAATCTGCGAGGGGATATTTGGATAGATTTCAGGATTTCGTTGGAAACGGGAATATCTTCATAGAAAATCTCGACAGAAGCATTCTCAGAAACTTCTTTGTGATATGTGCATTCAAGTCACAGAGTTGAATATTCCCTTTCACAGAGTAGGTTTGAAACACTCTTTTTGTAGTATCTGGAAGTGGACATTTGGAGCGCCTTGACACCTACGGTGAAAAGGGAAATATCTTCTCATAAAAAGTAGACAGAAGCAATCTCAGAATCTTCTTTGGGATATATGCACGCAGCTAACAGAGTTGAACCTTTCTATTGACAGAGCAGTTTTGAAACAGTCTTTCTGTGGAATCTGCAAGTGGATATTTGGATAGCTTGGAGGATTTCGTTGGAAACGGGATTGCATATAAAAAGTAGACAGCCAGCATCCTCAGAACTTCTTTGTGATGTGTGCATTCAAGTCACAGAGTTGAACATTCCCTTTCGTACAGCAGTTTTGAAACACTCTTTCTGTAGTATCTGGAAGTGAACATTAGGACAGCTTTCAGGTCTATGGTGAGAAAGGAAATATCTTCAAATAAAAACTAGACAGAGCATTCTCATAAACTTGTTCGTGATGTGTGAACTCAGCTAACACACGTGGATCTTTCTTTTGATAGAGCAGTTCTGACAAACACTTTTTGTTGAATCTGCAAGAGGACATTTGGATAGATTTGAAGATTTCGTTGGAAACGGGAATATCTTCATATCAAATCTAGACAGAAGCATTGTCAGAGACGTCTTTGTGATGTTTGCATTCAACTCATAGAGTTGAACATTCCCTTTCAGAGAGCAGCTTTGAAGCACTCTTTTTGTAGCATGTGCAAGTGGACATTTGGAGCACCCTGAGGCCTACGGTGAAAAAGCAAATATCTTCCCATAACCACTAGACAGAAACATTCTCAGAAACTCCTTTATGACGTATGCACTCACCTAACAGAGAAGAACCTTCCTTTTGACAGAGCAGTTTTGATACACTCTTTTTGTAGAATCTGCAAGTGGATATTTGGATAGCTGTGAAGATTTCGTTGGAAACGGGAATATCTTCCTATAATATCTAGACAGAAAGCATTCTCAGAAACTGCTCTGTGATGTCTGCATTCAAGTCACAGAGTTGAACATTGCCTTTCATAGAGCAGGTTTGAAACGCTCTTTTTGTAGTATATGGAAGTGGACGTTTCGGACGGTTTGAGGCCCATGGTGATAAAGGGAATATCTTCCCCTACAAGCTAGAAAGAAGCATTCTGTGAAACTTGTTTGTGATGTGTGTACGCAACTAACAGAGTTGAACCTTTCTTTTTACAGAGCAGTTTTGAAACACTCTTTTTGTAGAATCTGCGAGGGGATATTTGGATAGATTTCAGGTTTTCGTTGGAAACGGGAATATCTTCATATAAAATCTCGACAGAAGCATTCTCAGAAACTTCTTTGTGATATCTGCATTCCAGTCACAGAGTTGAATATTCTCTTTCACAGAGTAGGTTTGAAACACTCTTTTTATAGTATCTGGAATTGGACATTTGGAGCGCCTTGACGCCTACGGTGAAAAGGGAAATATCTTCCCATAAAAACTAGACAGAAGCAATCTCAGAATCTTCTTTGGGATATATGCACGCAGCTAACAGAGTTGAACCTTTCTATTGACACAGCAGTTTAGAAACAGTCTTTCTGTGGAATCTGCAAGTGGATATTTGGATAGCTTGGAGGATTTCGTTGGAAACGGGATTACGTATAAAAAGTAGACAGCAGCATCCTCAGAAACTTCTTTGTGATGTGTGCATTCAAGTCACAGTGTTGAACATTCCCTTTCGTACAGCAGTTTTGAAACACTCTATCTGTAGTATCTGGAAGTGAACATTAGGACAGCTTTCAGGTCTATGGTGAGAAAGGAAATATCTTCAAATAAAAACTAGACAGAAGCATTCTCATAAACTTGTTTGTGATGTGTGAACTCAGCTAACAGAGGTGGATCTTTCTTTTGATAGAGCAGTTCTGAAAAACACTTTTTGTTGAATCTGCAAGTGGACATTTGGATAGATTTGAAGATTTCGTTGGAAACGGAAATATCTTCATATCAAATCTAGACAGAAGCATTCTCAGAAACGTTCTTTGTGATGTTGGCATTCAACTCATAGAGTTGAACATTCCGTTTCAGAGAGCAGCTTTGAGGCACTCTTTTTGTAGTATGTGCAAGTGGATATTTGGAGCGCTCTGAGGCCTACGGTGAAAAAGCAAATATCTTCCCATAACCACTAGACAGAAACATTCTCAGAAACTTCTTTATGACGTATGCACTCACCTAACAGAGAAGAACCTTCCTTTTGACAGAGCAGTTTTGATACACTCTTTTTGTAGTATCTGCAGGTGGATATTTGGATAGCTGTGAAGATTTCGTTGGAAACGGGAATATCTTCCTATAAAGTCTGGACAGAAGCATTCTCTGAAACTGCTCTGTGATGTCTGCATTCAAGTCACAGAGTTGAACGTTGCCTTTCATAGAGCAGGTTTCAAACCCTCTTTTTTTAGTATATGGAAGTGGACGTTTCAGACTGTTTGAGGACCATGGTGATAAAGGAAATATCTTCCCCTACAAGCTAGAAAGAAGCATTCTGTGAAACTTGTTTGTGATGTGTGTACTCAACTTACAGAGTTGAACCTTTCTTTTTACAGAGCAGTTTTGAAACACTCTTTTTGTAGAATCTGCGAGGGGTTATTTGGATAGATTTCAGGATTTCGTTGGAAACGGGAATATCTTCATATAAAATCTCGACAGAAGCATTCTCAGAAACTTCTTTGTGATATGTGCATTCAAGTCACAGAGTTGAATATTCCCTTTCACAGAGTAGGTTTGAAACACTCTTTTTGTAGTATCTGGAAGTGGACATTTTGAGCGCCTTGACGCCTACGGTGAAAAGGGAAATATCTTCTCATAAAAAGTAGACAGAAGCAATCTCAGAATCTTCTTTGGGATATATGCACGCAGCTAACAGAGTTGAACCTTTCTATTGAGAGAGCAGTTTTGAAACAGTCTTTCTGTGGAATCTGCAAGTGGATATTTGGATAGCTTGGAGGATTTCGTTGGAAACGGGATTACGTATAAAAAGTAGACAGCAGCATCCTCAGAAACTTCCTTGTGGTGTGTGCATTCAAGTCACAGAGTTGAACATTCCCTTTCTTACAGCAGTTTTGAAACACTCTTTCTGTAGTATCTGGAAGTGAACATTAGGACAGCTTTCAGGTCTATGGTGAGAAAGGAAATATCTTCAAATAAAAACTAGACAGAAGCATTCTCATAAACTTGTTTGTGATGTGTGAACTCAGCTAACAGAGGTGGATCTTTCTTTTGATAGAGCAGTTCTGAAAAACACTTTTTGTTGAATCTGCAAGTGGACATTTGGATAGATTTGAAGATTTCGTTGGAAACGGGAATATCTTCATAACAATTCTAGACAGAAGCATTCTCAGAAACGTCTTTGTGATGTTTGCATTCAACTCATAGAGTTGAACATTCCGTTTCAGAGAGCAGCTTTGAATCACTCTTTTTGTAGTATGTGCAAGTGTATATTTGGAGCGCTCTGAGGCCTAAGGTGAAAAAGCAAATATCTTCCCATAACCACTAGACAGAAACATTCTCAGAAACTCCTTTATGACGTATGCACTCACCTAACAGAGAAGAAACCTTCCTTTTGACAGAGCACTTTTGATACACTCTTTTTGTAGAATCTGAAAGTGGATATTTGGATAGCTGTGAAGATTTCGTTGGAAACGGGAATATCTTCCTATAAATTCTAGACAGAAGCATTCTCAGAAACTGCTCTGTGATGTCTGCGTTCAAGTCACAGAGTTGAACATTGCCTTTCATGGAGCAGGTTTGAAACGCTCTTTTTGTAGTATATGGAAATGGACGTTTCGGACGGTTTGAGGCCCATGGTGATAAAGGGAATATCTTCCCCTACAAGCTAGAAAGAAGCATTCTGTGAAACTTGTTTGTGATGTGTGTACTCAACTAACAGAGTTGAACCTTTCTTTTTACAGAGCAGTTTTGAAACTCTCTTTTTGTAGAATCTACGAGGGGATATTTGGATAGATTTCAGGATTTCGTTGGAAACGGGAATATCTTCATATAAAATCTCGACAGATGCATTCTCAGAAACTTCTTTGTGATATGTGCATACTAGTCACAGAGTTGAATATTCCCTTTCACAGAGTAGGTTTGAAACACTCTTTTTGTAGTATCTGGAAGTGGACATTTGGAGCGCCTTAACGCCTACGGTGAAAAGGGAAATATCTTCCCATAAAAACTAGACAGAAGCAATCTCAGAATCGTCTTTGGGATATATGCACGCAGCTAACAGAGTTGAACCTTTCTATTGACATAGTAGTTTTGAAACAGTCTTTCTGTGGAATCTGCAAGTGGATATTTGGATAGCTTGGAGGATTTCGTTGGAAACGGGATTACGTATAAAAAGTAGACAGCAGCATCCTCAGAAACATCCTTGTGATGTGTGCATTCAAGTCACAGAGTTGAACATTCCCTTTCGTACAGCAGTTTTGAAACACTCTTTCTGTAGTATCTGGAAGTGAACTTTAGGAGAGCTTTCAGGTCTATAGTGAGAAAGGATATATACTTCAAATAAAAACTAGACAGAAGCATTTTCATAAACTTGTTTGTGATGTGTGAACTCAGCTAACAGAGGTGGATCTTTCTTTTGATAGAGCAGTTCTGAAAAACACTTTTTGTTGAATCTGCAAGTGGACATTTGGATAGATTTGAAGATTTCGTTGGGAACGGGAATATCTTCATATCAAATCTAGACAGAAGCATTGTCAGAAACGTCTTTGTGATGTTTGCATTCAACTCATAGAGTTGAACATTCCGTTTCAGAGAGCAGCTTTGAAGCACTCTTTTTGTAGTATGTGCAAGTGGATATTTGGAGCGCTCTGAGGCCTAAGGTGAAAAAGCAAATATCTTCCCATAACCACTAGACAGAAACATTCTCAGAAACTCCTTTATGACGTATGCACTCACCTAACAGAGAAGAACCTTCCTTTTGACAGAGCAGTTTTGATACACTCTTTTTGTAGAATCTGCAAGTGGATATTTGGATAGCTGTGAAGATTTCGTGGGAATCGGGAATATCTTCCTATAATATCTAGACAGAAGCATTCTCAGAAACTGCTCTTTGATGTCTGCATTCAAGTCACAGAGTTGAACATTGCCTTTCATAGAGCAGGTTTGAAACACTCTTTTTGTAGTATATGGAAGTGGACGTTTCGGACGGTTTGAGGCCCATGGTGATAAAGGGAATATCTTCCCCTACAAGCTAGAAAGAAGCATTCTGTGAAACTTGTTTGTGATGTGTGTACTCAACTAACAGAGTTGAACCTTTCTTTTTACAGAGCAGTTTTGAAACAGTCTTTTTGTAGAATCTGCGAGGGGATATTTGGATAGATTTCAGGATTTCGTTGGAAACGGGAATATCTTCATATAAAATCTCGACAGAAGCATTCTCAGAAGCTTCTTTGTGATATGTGCATTCAAGTCACAGAGTTCAATATTCCCTTTCACAGAGTAGGTTTGAAACACTCTTTTTGTAGTATCTGGAAGTGGACATTTGGAGCGCCTTGACGCCTACGGTGAAAAGGGAAATATCTTCTCATAAAAAGTAGACAGCAGCAATCTCAGAATCTTCTTTGGGATATATGCACGGAGTTAACAGAGTTGAACCTTTCTATTGACAGAGCAGTTTTGAAACAGTCTTTCTGTGGAATCTGCAAGTGGATATTTGGATAGCTTGGAGGTTTTCTTTGGAAACGGGATTACGTATAAAAAGTAGACTGCAGCATCCTCAGCAAACTTCTTTGTGATGTGTGCATTCAAGTCACAGAGTTGAACATTCCCTTTCGTACAGCAGTTTTGAAACACTCTTTCTGTAGTATCTGGAAGTGAACATTAGGACAGCTTTCAGGTCTATGGTGAGAAAGGAAATATCTTCAAATAAAAACTAGACGGAAGCATTCTCATAAACTTGTTTGTGATGTGTGAACTCAGCTAACAGAGGATGGATCTTTCTTTTGATAGAGCAGTTCTGAAAAACACTTTTTGTTGAATCTGCAAGTGGACATTTGGATAGATTTGAAGATTTCGTTGGAAACGGGAATATCTTCATATCAAATCTAGGCAAGAAGCATTCTCGGAAACGTCTTTGTGATGTTTGCATTCAACTCATAGAGTTGAACATTCCGTTTCAGAGAGCAGCTTTGAGGCACTCATTTTGTAGTATGTGCAAGTGGATATTTGGAGCGCTCTGAGGCCTTCGGTGAAAAAGCAAATATCTTCCCATAACCACTAGACGGAAACATTCTCAGAAACTCCTTTATGACGTATGTACTCAACTAACAGAGAAGAACCTTCCTTTTGACAGAGCAGATTTGATACACTCTTTTTGTAGAATCTGCAAGCGGATATTTGGATAGCTGTGAAGATCTCGTTGGAAACGGGAATATCTTCCTATAAAATCTAGACAGAAGCATTCTCAGAAACTGCTCTGTGATGTCTGCATTCAAGTCACAGAGTTGAACATTGCCTTTCCTAGAGCAGGTTTGAAACGCTCTCTTTGTAGTATATGGAAGTGGACGTTTCGGACGGTTTGAGGCCCATGGTGATAAAGGGAATATCTTCCCCTACAAGCTAGAAAGAAGCATTCTGTGAAACTTGTTTGTGATGTGTGTACTCAACTAACAGAGTTGAACCTTTCTTTTCACAGAGCAGTTTTGAAACACTCTTTTTGTAGAATCTGCGAGGGGATATTTGGATACATTTCAGCATTTCGTTGGAAACGGGAATATCTTCATATAAAATCTCGACAGAAGCATTCTCAGAAACTTCTTTGTGATATGTGCATTGAAGTCACAGAGTTGAATATTCCCTTTCACAGAGTAGGTTTGAAACACTCTTTTTGTAGTATCTGGAAGTGGACATTTGGAGCGCCTTGACACCTACGGTGAAAAGGGAAATATCTTCCCATAAAAACTAGACAGAAGCAATCTCAGAATTTTCTTTGGGATATATGCACACAGCTAACAGAGTTGAACTTTTCTATTGACATAGCAGTTTTGAAACAGTCTTTCTGTGGAATATGCAAGTGGATATTTGGATAGCTTGGAGGATTTCGTTGGAAACGGGATTACGTATAAAAAGTAGACAGCAGCATCCTCAGAAACTTCTTTGTGATGTGTGCATTCAAGTCACAGAGTTGAATATTCCCTTTCGTACAGCAGTTTTGAAACACTCTTTCTGTAGCATCTGGAAGTGAACATTAGGACAGCTTTCAGGTCTATGGTGAGAATGGAAATATCTTCAAATAAAAACTAGACAGAAGAATACTGATAAACTTGTTTGTGAAGTGTGAACTCAGCTAACACAGGTGGATCTTTCTTTTGATACAGCAGTTTTGAAAAACATTTTGTTGAATCTGCAAGTGGACATTTGGATAGATTTGAAGATTTCGTTGGAAACGGGAATATCTTCATATCAAATCTAGACAGAAGCATTCTCAGAAACGTCTTTGTGATGCTTGCATTCAACTCATAGAGTTGAACATTCCCTTCCAGAGAGCAGCTTTGAAGCACTCTTTTTATAGTATGTGCAAGGGGATATTTGGAGCGCTCTGAGGCCTAAGGTGAAAAAGCAAATATCTTCCCATAACCACTAGACAGAAACATTCTCAGAAACTCCTTTATGACGTATGCACTCACCTATCAGAGAAGAACCTTCCTTTTGACAGAGCAGTTTTGATACACTCTTTTTGTAGAATCTGCAAGTGGATATTTGGATATCTGTGAAGATTTCGTTGGAAACGGGAATATCTTCCTATAAAATCTAGACAGAAGCATTCTCAGAAACTGCTCTGTGATGTCTGCATTCAAGTCACAGAGTTGAATATTGCTTTTCATAGAGCAGGTTTGAAACGCTCTTTTTGTAGTATATGGAAGTAGACGTTTCGGACGGTTTGAGGCCCATGGTGATAAAGGGAATATCTTCCCCTACAAGCTAGAAAGAAGCATTCTGTGAAACTTGTTTGTGATGTGTGTACTCAACTAACAGAGTTGAACCTTTCTTTTTACAGAGCAGTTTTGAAACACTCTTTTTGTAGAATCTGCGAGGGGATATTTGGATAGGTTTCAGGATTTCGTTGGAAACGGGAATATCTTCATATAAAATCTCGACAGAAGCATTCTCAGAAACTTCTTTGTGATATGTGCATTCAAGTCACAGAGTTGAATATTCCCTTTCACAGTGTAGGTTTGAAACACTCTTTTTGTAGTATCTGGAAGTGGACATTTGGAGCGCCTTGACGCCTACGGTGAAAAGGGAAATATCTTCCCATAAAAACTAGACAGAAGCAATCTCAGAATTTTCTTTGGGATATATGCACACAGCTAACAGAGTTGAACTTTTCTATTGACATAGCAGTTTTGAAACAGTCTTTCTGTGGAATCTGCAAGTGGATATTTGGATAGCTTGGAGGATTTCGTTGGAAACAGGATTACGTATAAAAAGTAGACAGCAGCATCCTCAGAAACTTCTTTGTGATGTGTGCATTCAAGTCACAGAGTTGAACATTCCCTTTCGTACAGCAGTTTTGAAACACTCTTTCTGTAGTATCTGGAAGTGAACATTAGGACAGCTTTCAGGTCTATGGTGAGAAACGAAATATCTTCAAATAAAAACTAGACAGAAGCATTCTCATAAACTTGTTTGTGATGTGTGAACTCAGCTAACAGAGGTGGATCTTTCTTTTGATAGAGCAGTTCTGAAAAACACTTTTGTTGAATATGCAAGTGGACATTTGGATAGATTTGAAGATTTCGTTGGAAACGGGAATATCTTCATATCAAATCTAGACAGAAGCATTCTCGGAAACGTCTTTGTGATGTTTGCATTCAACTCATAGAGTTGAACATTCCGTTTCAGAGAGCAGCTTTGAAGCACTCTTTTTGTAGTATGTGCAAGTGGATATTTGGAGCGCTCTGAGGCCTACGGTGAAAAAGCAAATATCTTCCCATAACCACTACACAGAAACATTCTCAGAAACTCCTTTTATGACGTATGCACTCACCTAACAGAGAAGAACCTTCCTTTTGACAGAGCAGTTTTGATACACTCTTTTTGTAGAATCTGCAAGTGGATATTTGGATAGCTGTGAAGATTTCGTTGGAAACGGGAATATCTTCCTATAAAATCTATACAGAAGCATTCTCAGAAACTGCTCTGTGATGTCTGCATTCAAGTCACAGAGTTGAACATTGCCTTTCATAGAGCAGGTTTGAAACGCTCTTTTTGTAGTATATGGAAGTGGACGTTTCGGACGGTTTGAAGCCCATGGTGATAAAGGGAATATCTTCCCCTACAAGCTAGAAAGAAGCATTCTGTGAAACTTGTTTGTGATGTGTGTACTCAACTAACAGAGTTGAACCTTTCTTTTTACAGAGCAGTGTTGAAACACTCTTTTTGTAGAATCTGCGAGGGGATATTTGGATAGATTTCAGGATTTCGTTGGAAACGGGAATATCTTCATATAAAATCTCGACAGAAGCATTCTCAGAAGCTTCTTTGTGATATGTGCATTCAAGTCACAGAGTTCAATATTCCCTTTCACAGAGTAGGTTTGAAACACTCTTTTTGTAGTATCTGGAAGTGGACATTTGGAGCACCTTGACGCCTACGGTGAAAAGGGAAATATCTTCTCATAAAAAGTAGACAGAAGCAATCTCAGAATCTTCTTTGGGATATTTGCACGCAGCTAACAGAGTTGAACCTTTCTATTGACAGAGCAGTTTTGAAACAGTCTTTCTGTGGAATCTGCAAGTGGATATTTGGATAGCTTGGAGGATTTCGTTGGAAACGGGATTACGCATAAAAAGTAGACAGCAGCATCCTCAGAAACTTCTTTGTGATGTGTGCATTCAAGTCACAGAGTTGAACATTCCCTTTCGTACAGCAGTTTTGAAACTCTCTTTCTGTAGTATCTGGAAGTGAACATTAGGACAGCTTTCACGTCTATGGTGAGAAAGGAAATATCTTCAAATAAAAACTAGACAGAAGCATTCTCATAAACTTGTTTGTGATGTGTGAACTCAGCTAACAGAGGTGGATCTTTCTTTTGATAGAGCAGTTTTGAAAAACACTTTTTGTTGAATCTGCAAGTGGACATTTGGATAGATTTGAAGATTTCGTTGGAAACGGGAATATCTTCATATCAAATCTAGACAGAAGCATTCTCAGAAACGTCTTTGTGATGTTTGCATTCAACTCATAGAGTTGAACATTCCGTTTCAGAGAGCAGCTTTGAAGCACTCTTTTTGTAGTATGTGCAAGTGGATATTTGGAGCGCTCTGAGGCCTACGGTGAAAAAGCAAGTATCTTCCCATAACCACTAGACAGAAACATTCTCAGAAACTCCTTTATGACGTATGCACTCACCTAACAGAGAAGAACCTTCCTTTTGACAGAGCAGTTTTGATACACTCTTTTTGTAGAATCTGCAAGTGGATATTTGGATAGCTGTGAAGATTTCGTTGGAAACGGGAATATCCTCCTATAAAATCTAGACAGAAGCATTCTCAGAAACTGCTCTGTGATGTCTGCATTCAAATCACAGAGTTGAACATTGCCTTTCCTAGAGCAGGTTTGAAACGCTCTTTTTGTAGTATATGGAAGTGGACGTTTCGGACGGTTTGAGGCCCATGGTGATAAAGGGAATATCTTCCCCTAGCAGCTAGAAAGAAGCATTCTGAGGAAACTTGTTTGTGATGTGTGTACTCAACTAACAGAGTTGAACCTTTCTTTTTGCAGAGCAGTTTTGAAACACTCTTTTTGTAGAATCTGCGAGGGGATATTTGGATAGATTTCAGGATTTCGTTGGAAACGGGAATATCTTCATATAAAATCTCGACAGAAGCATTCTCAGAAACTTCCTTGTGATATGTGCATTCAAGTCACAGAGTTGAATATTCCCTTTCACAGAGTAGGTTTGAAACACTCTTTTTGTAGTATCTGGAAGTGGACATTTGGAGCGCCTTGACGCCCACGGTGAAAAGGGAAATATCTTCCAATAAAAACTAGACAGAAGCAATCTCAGAATCTTCTTTGGGATATATGCACGCAGCTAACAGAGTTGAACCTTTCTATTGACAGAGCAGTTTTGAAACAGTCTTTCTGTGGAATCTGCAAGTGGATATTTGGATAGCTTGGAGGACTTCGTTGGAAACGGGATTAAGTATAAAAAGTAGACAGCAGCATCCTCAGAAACTTCTTTGTGATGTGTGCATTCAAGTCACAGAGTTGAACATTCTCTTTCGTACAGCAGTTTTGAAATGCTCTTTCTGTAGTATCTGGAAGTGAACATTAGGACAGCTTTCAGGTCTATGGTGAGAAAGGAAATATCTTCAAATAAAAACTAGACAGAAAGCATTCTCATAAACTTGTTTGTGATGTGTGAACTCAGCTAACAGAGGTGGATCTTTCTTTTGATAGAGCAGTTCTGAAAAACACTTTTTGTTGAAACTGCAAGTGGACATTTGGATAGATTTGAAGATTTCGTTGGAAACGGGAATATCTTCATATCAAATCTAGACAGAAGCATTCTCAGAAACGTCTTTGTGATGTTTGCATTCAACTCATAGAGTTGAACATTCCGTTTCAGAGAGCAGCTTTGAAGCACTCTTTTTGTAGTATGTGCAAGTGGATATTTGGAGCGCTCTGAGGCCTACGGTGAAAAAGCAAATATCTTCCCATAACCAGTAGACAGAAACATTCTCAGAAACTCCTTTATGACGTATGCACTCACCTAACAGAGAAGAACCTTCCTTTTGACAGAGCACTTTTGATACACTCTTTTTGTAGAATCTGCAAGTGGATATTTAGATAGCTGTGAAGATTTCGTTGGAAACGGGAATATCTTCCTATAAAATCTAGACAGAAGCATTCTCAGAAACTGCTCTGTGATGTCTGCATTCAATTCACAGAGTTGAACATTGCCTTTCCTAGAGCAGGTTTGAAATGCTCTTTTTGTAGTATATGGAAGTGGACGTTTCGGACGGTTTGAGGCCCATGGTGATAAAGGGAATATCTTCCCCTACAAGCTAGAAAGAAGCATTCTGTGAAACTTGTTTGTGATGTGTGTACTCAACTAACAGAGTTGAACCTTTCTTTTTACAGAGCAGTTTTGAAACACTCTTTTTGTAGAATCTGCGATGGGTTATTTGGATACATTTCAGCATTTCGTTGGAAACGGGAATATCTTCATATAAAATCTCGACAGAAGCATTCTCAGAAACTTCTTTGTGATATGTGCATTCAAGTCACAGAGTTGAATATTCCCTTTCACAGAGTAGGTTTGAAACACTCTTTTTGTAGTATCTGGAAGTGGACATTTGGAGCGCCTTGACGCCTACAGTGAAAAGGGAAATATCTTCCCATAAAAACTAGACAGAAGCAATCTCAGAATTTTCTTTGGGATATATGCACACAGCTAACAGTAGTTGAACTTTTCTATTGACATAGCAGTTTTGAAACAGTCTTTCTGTGGAATCTGCAAGTGGATATTTGGATAGCTTGGAGGATTTCGTTGGAAACGGGATTACGTATAAAAATTAGACAGCAGCATCCTCAGAAACTTCTTTGTGATGTGTGCATTCAAGTCACAGAGTTGAACATTCCCTTTCGTACAGCAGTTTTGAAACACTCTTTCTGTAGTAACTGGAAGTGAACATTAGGACAGCTTTCAGGTCTATGGTGAGAAAGGAAATATCTTCAAATAAAAACTAGACGGAAGCATTCTCATAAACTTGTTTGTGATGTGTGAACTCAACTAACACACGTGGATCTTTCTTTTGATAGAGCAGTTCTGAAAAACACTTTTTGTTGAATCTGCAAGTGGACATTTGGATAGATTTGAAGATTTCGTTGGAAACGGGAATATCTTCATATCAAATCTAGACAGAAGCATTCTCAGAAACGTCTTTGTGATGTTTGCATTCAACTCATAGAGTTGAACATTCCCTTTCAGAGAGCAGCTTTGAAGCACTCTTTTTGTAGCATGTGCAAGTGGACATTTGGAGCGCCCTGAGGCCTACGGGGAAAAAGCAAATATCTTCCCATAACCACTAGACAGGAAACATTCTGAGAAACTCCTCTATGACGTATGCACTCACCTAACAGAGAAGAACCTTCCTTTTGACAGAGCATTTTTGATACACTCTTTTTGTAGAATCTGCAAGTGGATATTTGGATAGCTGTGAAGATTTCGTTGGAAACGGGAATATCTTCCTATAAAATCTAGACAGAAGCATTCTCAGAAACTGCTCTGTGATGTCTCCGTTCAAGTCACAGAGTTGAACATTGCCTTTCATGGAGCAGGTTTGAAACGCTCTTTTTGTAGTATATGGAAATGGACGTTTCGGACGGTTTGAGGCCCATGGTGATAAAGGGAATATCTTCCCCTACAAGCTAGAAAGAAGCATTCTGTGAAACTTGTTTGTGATGTGTGTACTCAACTAACAGAGTTGAACCTTTCTTTTTACAGAGCAGTTTTGAAACTCTCTTTTTGTAGAATCTGCGAGGGGATATTTGGATAGATTTCAGGATTTCGATGGAAACGGGAATATCTTCATATAAAATCTCGACAGAAGCATTCTCAGAAACTTCTTTGTGATATGTGTATTCAAGTCACAGGGTTGAATACTCCCTTTCACAGAGTAGGTTTGAAACACTCTTTTTGTAGTATCTGGAAGTGGACATTTGGAGCGCCTTGACGCCTACGGTGAAAAGGGAAATATCTTCCCATAAAAACTAGACAGAAGCAATCTCAGAATCTTCTTTGGGATATATGCACGCAGCTAACAGAGTTGAACCTTTCTATTGACAGAGCAGTTTTGAAACAGTCTTTCTGTGGAATCTGCAAGTGGATATTTGGATAGCTTGGAGGATTTCGTTGGAAACGGGATTACGTACAAAAAGTAGACAGCAGCATCCTCAGAAACTTCTTTGTGATGTGTGCATTCAAGCCACAGAGTTGAACATTCCCTTTCGTACAGCAGTTTTGAAACACTCTTTCTGTAGTATCTGGAAGTGAACATTAGGACAGCTTTCAGGTCTATGGTGAGAAAGGAAATATCTTCAAATAAAAACTAGACAGAAGCATTCTCATAAACTTGTTTGTGATGTGTGAACTCAGCTAACAGAGGTGGATCTTTCTTTTGATAGAGCAGTTCTGAAAAACACTTTTTGTTGAATCTGCAAGTGGACATTTGGATAGATTTGAAGATTTCGTTGGAAACGGGAATATCTTCATAACAAATCTAGACAGAAGCATTCTCAGAAACGTCTTTGTGATGTTTGCATTCAACTCATAGAGTTGAACATTCCGTTTCAGAGAGCAGCTTTGAAGCACTCTTTTTGTAGTATGTGCAAGTGGATATTTGGAGCGCTCTGAGGCCTACGGTGAGAAAGCAAATATCTTCCCATAACCACTAGACGGAAACATTCTCAGAAACTCCTTTATGACGTATGCACTCACCTAACAGAGAAGAACCTTCCTTTTGACAGAGCAGTTTTGATACACTCTTTTTGTAGAATCTGCAAGTGGATATTTGGATAGCTGTGAAGATTTTGCTGGAAACGGGAATATCTTCCTATAAAATCTAGACAGAAGCATTCTCAGAAACTGCTCTGTGATGTCTGCATTCAAGTCACAGAGTTGAACATTGCCTTTCATAGAGCAGGTTTGAAACGCTCTTTTTGTAGTATATGGAAGTGGACGTTTCGGATGGTTTGAGGCCCATGGTGATAAAGGGAATATCTTCCCCTACAAGCTAGAAAGAAGCATTCTGTGAAACTTGTTTGTGATGTGTGTACTCAACTAACAGAGTTGGACCTTTCTTTTTACAGAGCAGTTTTGAAACACTCTTTTTGTAGAATCTGTGAGGGGATATTTGGATAGGTTTCAGGATTTCGTTGGAAACGAGAATATCTTCATATAAAATCTCGACAGAAGCATTCTCAGGAAACTTCTTTGTGATATCTGCCTTCAAGTCACAGAGTTGAATATTCCCTTTCACAGAGTAGGTTTGAAACACTCTTTTTGTAGTATCTGGAAGTGGACATTTGGAACGCCTTGGCGCCTACGGTGAAAAGGTAAATATCTTCCCATAAAAACTAGACAGAAAGCAATCTCAGAATCTTCTTTGGGATATATGCACGCAGCTAACAGAGTTGAACCTTTCTATTGACTGAGCAGATTTGAAACAGTCTTTCTGTGGAATCTGCAAGTGGATATTTGGATAGCTTGGAGGATTTCGTTGGAAACGGGATTACGTATAAAAAGTAGACAGCAGCATCCTCAGAAACTTCTTTGTGATGTGTGCATTCAAGTCACAGAGTTGAACATTCCATTTCGTACAGCAGTTTTGAAACACTCTTTCTGTAGTATCTGGAAGTGAACATTAGGACAGCTTTCAGGTCTATGGTGAGAAAGGAAATATCTTCAAATAAAAACTAGACAGAAGCATTCTGATAAACTTGTTTGTGAAGTGTGAACTCAGCTAACAGGTGGATCTTTCTTTCGAAACAGCAGTTTTGAAAAACACTTTTTGTTGAATCTGCAAGTGGACATTTGAATAGATTTGAAGATTTCGTTGGAAACAGGAATATCTTTATATGAAATCTAGACAGAAGCATTCTCAGAAACGTCTTTGTGATGTTTGCATTCAACTCATAGAGTTGAAGATTCCCTTTCAGAGAGCAGCTTTGAAGCACTCTTTTTGTAGTATGTGCAAGGGGATATTTGGAGCGCTCTGAGGCCTAAGGTGAAAAAGCAAATATCTTCCCATAACCACTAGACAGAAACATTCTCAGAAACTCCTTTATGACGTATGTACTCAACTAACAGAGAAGAACCTTCCTTTTGAAAGAGCAGTTTTGATACACTCTTTTTGTACAATCTGCAAGTGGATATTTGGATAGCTGTGAAGATTTCGATGGAAACGGGAATATCTTCCTATAAAATCTAGACAGAAGCATTCTCAGAAACTGCTCTGTGATGTCTGCATTCAAGTCACAGAGTTGAACATTGCTTTTCCTAGAGCAGGTTTGAAACGCTCTTTTTGTAGTATATGGAAGTGGACGTTTCGGACGGTTTGAGGCCCATGGTGTTAAAGGGAATATCTTTCCCTACAAGCTAGAAAGAAGCATTCTGTGAAACTTGTTTGTGATGTGTGTACTCAACTAACAGAGTTGAACCTTTCCTTTTACAGAGCAGTTTTGAAACACTCTTTTTGTAGAATCTGCGAGGGGATATTTGGATAGATTTCAGGATTTCGTTGGAAACGGGAATATCTTCATATAAAATCTCGACAGAAGCATTCTCAGAAACTTCTTTGTGATATCTGCATTCAAGTCACAGAGTTGAATATTCCCTTTCACAGAGTAGGTTTGAAACACTCTTTTTGTAGTATCTGGAAGTGGATATTTGGAGCGCCTTGACACCTACGGTGAAAAGGGAAATATCTTCCCATAAAAACTAGACAGAAGCAATCTCAGAATCTTCTTTGGGATATATGCACGCAGCTAATAGAGTTGAACCTTTCTATTGACAGAGCAGTTTTGAAACAGTCTTTCTGTGGAATCTGCAAGTGGATATTTGGATAGCTTCGAGGATTTCTTTGGAAACGGGATTACGTATAAAAAGTAGACAGCAGCATCCTCAGAAACTTCTTTGTGATGTGTGCATTCAAGTCACAGAGATGAACATTCCCTTTCGTACAGCAGTTTTGAAACACTCTTTCTGTAGTATCTGGAAGTGAACATTAGGACAGCTTTCAGGTCTATGGTGAGAAAGGAAATATCTTCAAATAAAAACTAGACAGAAGCATTCTCATAAACTTGTTTGTGATGTGTGAACTCAGCTAACAGAGGTGGATCTTTCTTTTGATAGAGCAGTTCTGAAAAACACTTTTTGTTGAATCTGCAAGTGGACATTTGGATAGATTTGAAGGTTTCGTTGGAAACGGGAATATCTTCATATCAAGTCTAGACAGAAGCATTCTCAGAAACGTCTTTGTGATGTATGCATTCAACTCATAGAGTTGAACATTCCCTTTCAGAGAGCAGCTTTGAAGCACTCTTTTTGTAGTATGTGCAAGTGGACATTTGGAGCGCTTTGAGGCCTACGGGGAAAAAGCAAATATCTTCCCATAACCACTAGACAGAAACATTCTCAGAAACTCCGTTATGACGTATGCACTCACCTAACAGAGAAGAACCTACCTTTTGACTGAGCAGTTTTGATACACTCTTTTTGCAGAATCTGCAAGTGGATATTTGGATAGCTGTGAAGATTTCGTTGGAAACGGGAATATCTTCCTATAAAATCTAGACAGAAGCATTCTCAGAAACTGCTCTGTGATGTCTGCATTCAAGTCACAGAGTTGAACATTGCCTTTCATAGAGCAGGTTTGAAACGCTCTTTTTGTAGTATATGGAAGTGGACGTTTCGGACGGTTTGAGGCCCACGGTGATAAAGGGAATATCTTCCCCTACAAGCTAGAAAGAAGCATTCTGTGAAACTTGTTTGTGATGTGTGTACTCAACTAACAGAGTTGAACCTTTCTTTTCACAGAGCAGTTTTGAAACACTCTTTTTGTAGAATCTGCGAGGGGATATTTGGATAGATTTCTGGATTTCGTTGGAAACGGGAATATCTTCATATAAAATCTCGACAGAAGCATTCTGAGAAGCTTCTTTGTGATATGTGCATTCAAGTCACAGAGTTGAATATTCCCTTTCACAGAGTAGGTTTGAAACACTCTTTTTGTAGTATCTGGAAGTGGACATTTTGAGCACCTTGACGCCTACGGTGAAAAGGGAAATATCTTCTCATAAAAAGTAGACAGAAGCAATCTCAGAATCTTCTTTGGGATATATGCACGCAGCTAACAGAGTTGAACCTTTGTATTGACAGAGCAGTTTTGAAACAGTCTTTCTGTGGAATCTGGAAGTGGATATTTGGATAGCTTGGAGGATTTCGTTGGAAACGGGATTAAGTATAAAAAGTAGACAGCAGCATCCTCAGAAACTTCTTTGTGATGTGTGCATTCAAGTCACAGAGTTGAACATTCCCTTTCGTACCGCAGTTTTGAAACACTCTTTCTGTATTATCTGGAAGTGAACATTAGGACAGCTTTCAGGTCTATGGTGAGAAAGGAAATATCTTCAAATAAAAACTAGACAGAAGCATTCTCATAAACTTGTTTGTGATGTGTGAACTCAGCTAACAGAGGTGGATCTTTCTTTTGATAGAGCAGTTCTGAAAAACACTTTTTGTTGAATCTGCAAGTGGACATTTGGATAGATTTTAAGATTTCGTTGGAAACGGGAATATCTTCATATCAAATCTAGACAGAAGCATTCTCAGAAACGTCTTTGTGATGTTTGCATTCAACTCATAGAGTTGAACATTCCGTTTCAGAGGGCAGCTTTGAAGCACTCTTTTTGTAGTATGTGCAAGTGGATATTTGGAGCGCTGTGAGGTCTACGGTGAAAAAGCAAATATCTTCCCATAACCACTAGACTGAAACATTCTCAGAAACTCCTTTATGACGTATGTACTCAACTAACAGAGAAGAACCTTCTTTTTGACAGAACAGTTTTGATACACTCTTTTTGTAGAATCTCCAAGTGGATATTTGGATAGCTGTGAAGATTTCGTTGGAAACGGGAATATCTTCCTATAAAATCTAGACAGAAGCATTCTCAGAAACTGCTCTGTGATGTCTGCATTCAAGTCACAGAGTTGAACGGTTGCCTTTCATAGAGCAGGTTTGAAACGCTCTTTTTGTAGTATATGGAAGTGGACTTATCGGACGGTTTGAGGCCCATGGTGATAAAGGGAATATCTTCCCCTACAAGCTAGAAAGAAGCATTGTGTGAAACTTGTTTGTGATGTGTGTACTCAACTAACAGAGTTGAACCTTTCTTTTCACAGAGCAGTATTGAAACACTCTTTTTGTAGAATCTGCGAGGGGATATTTGGATAGATTTCAGCATTTCGTTGGAAACGGGAATATCTTCATATAAAATCTCGACAGAAGCATTCTCAGAAACTTCTTTGTGATATGTGCATTCAAGTCACAGAGTTGAATATTCCCTTTCACAGAGTAGGTTTGAAACACTCTTTTTGTAGTATCTGGAAGTGGACATTTGGAGCGCCTTGACACCTACGGTGAAAAGGGAAATATTTCCCATAAAAACTAGACAGAAGCAATCTCAGAATCTTCTTTGGGATACATGCACGCAGCTAACAGAGTTGAACCTTTCTATTGACAGAGCAGTTTTGAAACAGTCTTTCTGTGTAATCTGCAAGTGGATATTTGGATAGCTTGGAGGATTTCGTTGGAAACGGGATTACGTATAAAAAGTAGACAGCAGCATCCTCAGAAACTTCTTTGTGATGTGTGCATTCAAGTCACAGAGTTCAACATTCCCTTTCGTACAGCAGTTTTGAAACACTCTTTCTGTAGTATCTGGAAGTGAACATTAGGACAGCTTTCAGGTCTATGGTGAGAAAGGAAATATCTTCAAATAAAAACTAGACAGAAAGCATTCTGATAAACTTGTTTGTGAAGTGTGATCTCAGCTAACAGAGGTGGATCTTTCTTTTGATAGAGCAGTTCTGAAAAACACTTTTTGTTGAATCTGCAAGTGGACATTTGGATAGATTTGAAGATTTCGTTGGAAACGGGAATATCTTCATATCAAATCTAGACAGAAGCATTCTCAGAAACGTCTTTGTCATGTTTGCATTCAACTCATAGAGTTGAACATTCCCTTTCAGAGAGCAGCTTTGGAACACTCTTTTTGTAGTATGTGCAAGTGGATATTTGGAGCGCTCTGAGGCCTACGGTGAAAAAGAAAATATCTTCCCATAACCACTAGACAGAAACATTCTCAGAAACTCCTTTATGACGTATGCACTCACCTAACAGAGAAGAACCTTCCTTTTGACAGAGCAGTTTTGATACACTCTTTTTGCAGAATCTGCAACTGGATATTTGGATAGCTGTGAAGATTTCGTTGGAAACGGGAATATCTTCCTATAAAATCTAGACAGAAGCATTCTCAGAAACTGCTCTGTGATGTCTGCATTCAAGTCACAGAGTTGAACATTGCCTTTCATAGAGCAGGTTTGAAACGCTCTTTTTGTAGTATATGGAAGTGGATGTTTCGGACGGTTGGAGGCCCATGGTGATGAAGGGAATATCTTCCCCTACAAGCTAGAAAGAAGCATTCTGTGAAACTTGTTTGTGATGTGTGTACTCAACTAACAGAGTTCAACCTTTCTTTTTACAGAGCAGTTTTGAAACACTCTTTTTGTAGAATCTGCGAGGGGATATTTGGATAGATTTCAGGATTTCATTGGAAACGGGAATATCTTCATATAAAATCTCGACAGAAGCATTCTCAGAAACTTCTTTGTGATATCTGCATTCAAGTCACAGAGTTGAATATTCCCTTTCACAGAGTAGGTTTGAAACACTCTTTTTGTAGTATCTGGAAGTGGACATTTGGAGCGCCTTGACACCTATGGTGAAAAGGGAAATATCTTCCCATAAAAACTAGACAGAAGCAATCTCAGAATCTTCTTTGGGATATATGCACGCAGCTAACAGAGTTGAACCTTTCTATTGACAGAGCAGTTTTGAAACAGTCTTTCTGTGGAATCTGCAAGTGGATATTTGGATAGCTTGGAGGATTTCGTTGGAAACGGGATTACCTATAAAAAGTAGACAGCAGCATCCTCAGAAACTTCTTTGTGATGTGTTCATTCAAGTCACAGAGTTGAACATTCCTTTTCGTACAGCAGTTTTGAAACACTCTTTCTGTAGTATCTGGAAGTGAACATTAGGACAGCTTTCAGGTCTATGGTGAGAAAGGCAATATCTTCAAATAAAAACTAGACAGAAGCATTCTCATAAAACTTGTTTGTGATGTGTGAACTCAGCTAACAGACGTGGATCTTTCTTTTGATAGAGCAGTTCTGAAAAACACGTTTTGTTGAATCTGCAAGTGGACATTTGGATAGATTTGAAGATTTCGTTGGAAACGGGAATATCTTCATATCAAATCTAGACAGAAGCATTCTCAGAAACGTCTTTGTGATGTTTGCATTCAACTCATAGAGTTGAACATTCCGTTTCAGAGACCAGCTTTGAAGCACTCTTTTTGTAGTATGTGCAAGTGGATATTTGGAGCGCTCTGAGGCCTACGGTGTAAAAGCAAATATCTTCCCATAACCACTAGACAGAAACATTCTCAGAAACTCCTTTATGACGTATGCACTCACCTAACAGAGAAGAACCTTCCTTTTGACAGAGCAGTTTTGATGCACTCTTTTTGTAGAATCTGCAAGTGGATATTTGGATAGCTGTGAATATTTCGTTGGAAACGGGAATACCTTCCTATAAAATCTAGACAGAAGCATTCTCAGAAACTGCTCTGTGATGTCTGCATTGAAGTCACAGAATTGAACATTGCCTTTCCTAGAGCAGGTTTGAAACGCTCTTTTTGTAGTATATGGAAGTGGACGTTTCGGACGGTTGGAGGCCCAGGGTGATAAAGGGAATATCTTCCCCTACAAGCTAGAAAGAAGCATTCTGTGAAACTTGTTTGTGATGTGTGTACTCAACTAACGGAGTTGAACCTTTCTTTTTACAGAGCAGTTTTGAAACACTCTTTTTGTAGAATCTGCGAGGGGATATTTGGATAGATTTCAGGATTTCGTTGGAAACGGGAATATCTTCATATAAAATCTCGACAGAAGCATTCTCAGAAGCTTCTTTGTGATATGTGCATTCAAGTCACAGAGTTGAATATTCCCTTTCACAGGGTAGGTTTGAAACACTCTTTTTGTAGTATCTGGAAGTGGACATTTGGAGCGCCTTGACGCCTACGTTGAAAAGGGAAATATCTTCTCATAAAAAGTAGACAGAAGCAATCTCAGAATCTTCTTTGGGATATATGGACACAGCTAACAGAGTTGAACTTTTCTATTGACAGAGCAGTTTTGAAACAGTCTTTCTGTGGAATCTGCAAGTGGATATTTGGATAGCTTGGAGGATTTCGTTGGAAACGGGATTACGTATAAAAAGTAGACAGCAGCATCCTCAGAAGCTTCTTTGTGATGTGTGCATTCAAGTCACAGAGTTGAACATTCCCTTTCGTACAGCAGTTTTGAAACACTCTTTCTGTAGTATCTGGAAGTGAACATTAGGACAGCTTTCAGGTCTATGGTGAGAAAGGAAATATCTTCAAATAAAAACTAGACAGAAGCATTCTCATAAACTTGTTTGTGATGTCTGAACTCAGCTAACAGAGGTGGATCTTTCTTTTGATAGAGCAGTTCTGAAAAACACTTTTTGTTGAATCTGCAAGTGGACATTTGGATAGATTTGAAGATTTCGTTAGAAACGGGAATATCTTCATATCAAATCTAGACAGAAGCATTCTCAGAAACGTCTTTGTGATGTTTGCATTCAACTCATAGAGTTGAACATTCCGTTTCAGAGAGCAGCTTTGAAGCACTCTTTTTGTAGTATGTGCAAGTGGATATTTGGAGCGCTCTGAGGCCTACGGTGAAAAAGGAAATATCTTCCCATAACCATTAGACAGAAACATTCTCAGAAACTCCTTTATGACGTATGCACTCACCTAACTGAGAAGAACCTTCCTTTTGACAGAGCAGTTTTGATACACTCTTTTTGTAGAATCTGCAAGTGGATATTTGGATAGCTGTGAAGATTTCGTTGGAAACGGGAATATCTTCCTATAAAATCTAGACAGAAGCATTCTCAGAAACTGCTCTGTGATGTCTGCATTCAAGTCACAGAGTTGAACATTGCCTTTCATAGAGCAGGTTTGAAACGCTCTTTTTGTAGTATGTGGAAGTGGACGTTTCGGACGGTTTGAGGCCCATGGTGATAAAGGGAATATCTTCCCCTACAAGCTAGAAAGAAGCATTCTGTGAAACTTGTTTGTGATGTGTGTACTCCACTAACAGAGTTGAACCTTTCTTTTTACAGAGCAGTTTTGAAACACTCTTTTTGTAGAATCTGTGAGGGGATATTTGGATAGATTTCAGGATTTCGTTGGAAACGGGAATATCTTCATATAAAATCTCGACAGAAGCATTCTCAGTAAACTTCTTTGTGATATCTGCATTCAAGTCACAGAGTTGAATATTCCCTTTCACAGAGTAGGTTTGAAACACTCTTTTTGTAGTATCTGGAAGTGGACATTTTGAGCGCCTTGACACCTACGGTGAAAAGGGAAATATCTTCCCATAAAAACTAGACAGAAGCAATCTCAGAATCTTCTTTGGGATATATGCACGCAGCTAACAGAGTTGAACCTTTCTATTGACAGAGCGGTTTTGAAACAGTCTTTCTGTGGAATCTGCAAGTGGATATTTGGATAGCTTGGAGGATTTCGTTGGAAACGGGATTAAGTATAAAAAGTAGACAGCAGCATCCTCAGAAACTTCTTTGTGATGTGTGCATTCAAGTCACAGAGTTGAACATTCCCTTTCGTACAGCAGTTTTGAAACACTCTTTCTGTAGTAACTGGAAGTGAACATTAGGACAGCTTTCAGGTCTATGGTGAGAAAGGAAATATCTTCAAATAAAAACTAGACAAAAGCATTGTCATAAACATGTTTGTGATGTGTGAAATCAGCTAACAGAGGTGGATCTTTCTTTTGATAGAGCAGTTCTGAAAAACACTTTTTGTTGAATCTGGAAGTGGACATTTGGATAGATTTGAAGATTTCGTTGGAAACGGGAATATCTTCATATCAAATCTAGACAGAAGCATTCTCAGAAACGTCTTTGTGATGTTTGCATTCAACTCACAGAGTTGAACATTCCCTTTCAGAGAGCAGCTTTGAAGCACTCTTTTTGTAGTATGTGCAAGGGGATATTTGGAGCGCTCTGAGGCCTACGGTGAAAAAGCAAATATCTTCCCATAACCAGTAGACAGAAACATTCTCAGAAACTCCTTTATGACGTATGCACTCACCTAACAGAAAAGAACCTTCCTTTTGACAGAGCAGTTTTGATACACTCTTTTTGTAGAATCTGCAAGTGGATATTTGGATAGCTGTGAAGATTTCGTTGGAAACGGGAATATCTTCCTATGAAATCTAGACAGAAGCATTCTCAGAAACTGCTCTGTGATGTCTGCATTCAAGTCACAGAGTTGAACATTGCCTTTCATAGAGCAGGTTTGAAACGCTCTTTTTGTACTATATGGAAGTAGACGATTCGGACCGTTTGAGGCCCATGGTGATAAAGGGAATATCTTCCCCTACAAGCTAGAAAGAAGCATTCTGTGAAACTTGTTTGTGATGTGTGTACTCAACTAACAGAGTTGAACCTTTCTTTTTACAGAGCAGTTTTGAAACACTCTTTTTGTAGAATCTGTGAGGGGATATTTGGATAGATTTCAGGATTTCGTTGGAAACGGTAATATCTTCATATAAAATCTCGACAGAAGCATTCTCAGAAACTTCTTTGTGATATGTGCATTCAAGTCACAGAGTTGAATATTCCCTTTCACAGAGTAGGTTTGAAACACTCTTTTTGTAGTATCTGGAAGTGGACATTTGGAGCGCCTTGACGCCTACGGTGGAAAGGGAAATATCTTCCCATAAAAACTGGACAGAAGCAATCTCAGAATCTTCTTTGGGATATATGCACGCAGCTAACAGAGTTGAACCTTTCTATTGACAGACCAGTTTTGAAACAGTCTTTCTGTGGAATCTGCAAGTGGATATTTGGATAGCTTGGAGGATTTCGTTGGAAACGGGATTAAGTATAAAAAGTAGACAGCAGCATCCTCAGAAACTTCTTTGTGATGTGTGCATTCAAGTCACAGAGTTGAACAATCCCTTTCGTACAGCAGTTTTGAAACACACTTTCTGTAGCATCTGGAAGTGAACATTAGGACAGCTTTCAGGTCTATGGTGAGAAAGGAAATATCTTCAAATAAAAACTAGACAGAAGCATTCTCATAAACTTGTTTGTGATGTGTGAACTCAGCTAACAGAGGTGGATCTTTCTTTTGATAGAGCAGTTCTGAAAAACACTTTTTGTTGAATCTGCAAGTGGATATTTGGATAGATTTGAAGATTTCGTTGGAAACGGGAATATCTTCATATCAAATCTAAACAGAAGCATTCTCAGAAACGTCTTTGTGATGTTTGCATTCAACTCATAGAGTTGAACATTCCGTTTCAGAGAGCAGCTTTGAAGCACTCTTTTTGTAGTATGTGCAAGTGGATATTTGGAGCGCTGTGAGGCCTACAGTGAAAAAGCAAATATCTTCCCATAACCACTAGACAGAAACATTCTCAGAAAATCCTTTATGACGTATGTACTCAACTAACAGAGAAGAACCCTCCTTTTGACAGAGCAGTTTTGATACACTCTTTTTGTAGAATCTGCAAGTGGATATATGGATAGCTGTGAAGATTTCGTTGGAAACGGGAATATCTTCCTATAAAATCTAGACAGAAGCATTCTCAGAAACTGCTCTGTGATGTCTGCATTCAAGTCACAGAGTTGAACATTGCCTTTCCTAGAGCAGGTTTGAAACGCTCTTTTTGTAGTATATGGAAGTGGACGGTTCGGACGGTTTGAGGCCCATGGTGATAAAGGGAATATCTTCCCCTACAAGCTAGAAAGAAGCATTCTGTGAAACTTCTTTGTGATGTGTGTACTCAACTAACAGAGTTGAACCTTTCTTTTTACAGAGCAGTTTTGAAACACTCTTTTTATAGAATCTGCGAGGGGATATTTGGATAGATTTCAGGATTTCGTTGGAAACGGGAATATCTTCATATAAAATCTCGACAGAAGCATTCTCAGAAAGTTCTTTGTGATATCTCCATTCAAGTCACCGAGTTGAATATTCCCTTTCACAGAGTAGGTTTGAAACACTCTTTTTGTAGTATCTGGAAGTGGACATTTGGAGCGCCTTGACGCCTACGGTGAAAAGGGAAATATCTTCCCATAAAAACTAGACAGAGCAATCTCAGAATCTTCTTTGGGATATATGCACGCAGCTAACAGAGTTGAACCTTTCTATTGACAGAGCAGTTTTGAAACAGTCTTTCTGTGGAATCTGCAAGTGGATATTTGGATAGCTTGGAGGATTTCGTTGGAAACGGGATTACGTATAAAAAGTAGACAGCAGCATCCTCAGAAACTTCTTTGTGATGTGTGCATTCAAGTCACAGAGTTGAACATTCCCTTTCGTACAGCAGTTTTGAAACACTCTTTCTGTAGTATCTGGAAGTGAACATTAGGACAGCTTTCAGGTCTATGGTGAGAAGGGAAATATCTTCAAATAAATACTAGACAGAAGCTTTCTGATAAACTTGTTTGTGAAGTGTGAACTCAGCTAACAGAGGTGGATCTTTCTTTTGATACAGCAGTTTTGAAAAACACTTTGTTGAATCTGCAAGTGGACATTTGGATAGATTTGAAGATTTCGTTGGAAACGGGAATATCTTCATATCAAATCTAGACAGAAGCATTCTCAGAAACGTCTTTGCGATGTTTGCATTCAACTCATAGAGTTGCACATTCCGTTTCAGAGAGCAGCTTTGAGGCACTCTTTTTGTAGTATGTGCAAGTGGATATTTTGAGCCCTCTGAGGCCTACGGTGAAAAAGCAAATATCTTCCCATAACCACTAGACAGAAACATTCTCAGAAACTCCTTTATGACGTATGTACTCAACTAACAGAGAAGAACCTTCCTTTTGACAGAGCAGTTTTGATACACTCTTTTGTAGTATCTGCAAGTGGATACTTGGATAGCTGTGAAGATTTCATTGGAAACGGGAATATCTTCCTATAAAGTCTGGACAGAAGCATTCTCAGAAACTGCTCTGTGTTGTCTGCATTCAAGTCACAGAGTTGAACATTGCCTTTCATAGAGCAGGTTTGAAACACTCTTTTTGTAGTATATGGAAGTGGACGTTTCGGACGGTTTGAGGCCCATGGTGTTTTAGGGAATATCTTCCCCTACAAGCTAGAAAGAAGCATTCTGTGAAACTTGTTTGTGATGTGTGTACTCAACTAAAAGAGTTGAACCTTTCTTTTTACAGAGCAGTTTTGAAACACTCTTTTTGTAGAATCTGCGAGGGGATATTTGGATAGGTTTCAGGATTTCGTTGGAAACGGGAATATCTTCATATAAAATCTCGACAGAAGCATTCTCAGAAACTTCTTTGTGATATGTGCATTCAAGTCACAGAGTTGAATATTCCCTTTCACAGAGTAGGTTTGAAACACTCTTTTTGTAGTATCTGGAAGTGGACATTTGGAGCGCCTTGACACCTACAGTGAAAAGGGAAATATCTTCTCATAAAAAGTAGACAGAAGCAATCTCAGAATCTTCTTTGGGATATATGCACGCAGCTAACAGAGTTGAACCTTTCTATTGACAGAGCAGTTTTGAAACAGTCTTTTTGTGGAATCTGCAAGTGGATATTTGGATAGCTTGGAGGATTTCTTTGGAAACGGGATTACGTATAAAAAGTAGACAGCAGCATCCTCAGAAACTTCTTTGTGATGTATGCATTCAAGTCCCAGAGTTGAACATTCCCTTTCGTACAGCAGTTTTGAAACACTCTTTCTGTAGTATCTGGAAGTGAACATTAGGACAGCTTTCAGGTCTATGGTGAGAAAGGAAATATCTTCAAATAAAAACTAGACAGAAAGCATTCTCATAAACTTGTTTGTGATGTGTGAACTCAGCTAACAGACGTGGATCTTTCTTTAGATAGAGCAGTTTTGAAAAACACTTTTTGTTGAATCTGCAAGTGGACATTTGGATAGATTTGAAGATTTCGTTGGAAACGGGAATATCTTCATATCAAATCTAGACAGAAGCATTCTCAGAAACGTCTTTGTGATGTTTGCATTCAACTCATAGAGTTGAACATTCCCTTTCAGAGAGCAGCTTTGAAGCACTCTTTTTGTAGCATGTGCAAGTGGACATTTGGAGCGCCCTGAGGCCTACGGGAAAAAGCAAATATCTTCCCATAACCACTAGACAGAAACATTCTCAGAAACTCCTTTATGACGTATGCACTCACCTAACAGAGAAGAACCTTCCTTTTGACAGAGCAGTTTTGATACACTCTTTTTGTAGTATCTGCAAGTGGATATTTGGATAGCTGTGAAGATTTCGTTGGAAACGGGAATATCTTCCTATAAAATCTAGACAGAAGCATTCTCAGAAACTGCTCTGTGATGTCTGCATTCAAGTCACAGAGTTGAACATTGCCTTTCATAGAGTAGGTTTGAAACGCTCTTTTTGTAGTATATGGAAGTGGACGTTTCGGACGGTTTGAGGCCCATGGTGTTAAAGGGAATATCTTCCCCTACAAGCTAGAAAGAAGCATTCTGTGAAACTGGTTTGTAATGTGTGTACTCAACTAACAGAGTTGAACCTTTCTTTTTACAGAGCAGTTTTGAAACACTCTTTTTGTAGAATCTGCGAGGGGATATTTGGATAGATTTCAGGGTTTCGTTGGAAACGGGAATATCTTCATATAAAATCTCGACAGAAGCATTCTCAGAAACTTCTTTGTGATATGTGCATTCAAGTCACAGAGTTGAATATTCCCTTTCACAGAGTAGGTTTGAAACACTCTTTTTGTAGTATCTGGAAGTGGACATTTGGAGCGCCTTGACACCTACGGTGAAAAGGGAAAATATCTTCTCATAAAAAGTAGACAGAAGCAATCTCAGAATCTTCTTTGGGATATATGCACACAGCTAACAGAGTTGAACCTTTCTATTGACAGAGCAGTTTTGAAACAGTCTTTCTGTAGAATCTGCAAGTGGATATTTGGATAGCTTGGAGGATTTCGTTGGAAACGGGATTACGTATAAAAAGTAGACAGCAGCATCCTCAGAAACTTCTTTGTGATGTGTGCATTCAAGTCACAGAGTTGAACATTCCCTTTCGTACAGCAGTTTTGAAACACTCTTTCTGTAGTAACTGGAAGTGAACATTAGGACAGCTTTCAGGTCTATGGTGAGAAAGGAAATATCTTCAATTAAAAACTAGACGGAAGCATTCTCGTAAACTTGTTTGTGATGTGTGGACTCAGCTAACAGAGGCGGATCTTTCTTTTGATAGAGCAGTTCGGGAAAACACTTTTTGTTGAATCTGCAAGTGGACATTTGGATAGATTTGAAGATTTCGTTGGAAACGGGAATATCTTCATATCAAATCTAGACAGAAGCATTCTCAGAAACGTCTTTGTGATGTTTGCATTCAACTCATAGAGTTGAACATTCCGTTTCAGAGGGCAGCTTTGAAGCACTCTTTTTGTAGTATGTGCAAGTGGATATTTGGAGCGCTGTGAGCTCTGCGGTGAAAAAGCAAATATCTTCCCATAACCACTAGACTGAAACATTCTCAGAAACTCCTTTATGACGTATGCACTCACCTAACAGAGAAGAAGCTTCCTTTTGACAGAGCAGTTTTGATACACTCTTTTTGTAGAATCTGCAACTGGATATTTGGATAGCTGTGAAGATTTCGTTGGAAACGGGAATATCTTCCTATAAAATCTAGACAGAAGCATTCTCAGAAACTGCTCTGTGATGTCTGCATTCAAGTCACAGAGTTGAACATTGCCTTTCATAGAGCAGGTTTGAAACGCTCTTTTTGTAGTATATGGAAGTGGACGTTTCGGACGGTTTGAGGCCCATGTTGATAAAGGGAATATCTTCCCCTACAAGCTAGAAAGAAGCATTCTGTGAAACTTGTTTGTGATGTGTGTACTCAACTAACAGAGTTGAACCTTTCTTTTTACAGAGCAGTTTTGAAACACTCTTTTTGTATAATCTGCGAGGGGATATTTGGATACATTTCAGGATTTCGTTGGAAACGGGAATATCTTCATATAAAATCTCGACAGAAGCATTCTCAGAAACTTCCTTGTGTTATGTGCATTCAAGTCACAGAGTTGAATATTCCCTTTCACAGAGTAGGTTTGAAACACTCTTTTTGTAGTATCTGGAAGTGGACATTTGGAGCGCCTTGACGCCTACGGTGAAAAGGGAAATATCTTCCCATAAAAACTAGACAGAAGCAATCTCAGAATTTTCTTTGGGATATATGCACACAGCTAACTGAGTTGAACTTTTCTATTGACATAGCAGTTTTGAAACAGTCTTTCTGTGGAATCTGCAAGTGGATATTTGGATAGCTTGGAGGATTTCGTTGGAAATGGGATTACGTATAAAAAGTAGACAGCAGCATCCTCAGAAATTTCTTTGTGATGTGTGCATTCAAGTCACAGAGTTGAACATTCCCTTTCGTACAGCAGTTTTGAAACACTCTTTCTGTAGTATCTGGAAGTGAACATTAGGACAGCTTTCAGGTCTATGGTGAGAAAGGAAATATCTTTAAATAAAAACTAGACAGAAGCATTCTCATAAACTTGTTTGTGATGTGTGAACTCAGCTAACAGAGGTGGATCTTTCTTTTGATAGAGCAGTTCTGAAAAACACGTTTTGTTGAATCTGCAAGTGGACATTTGGATAGATTTGAAGATTTCGTTGGAAACGGGAATATCTTCATATCAAATCTAGAAAGAAGCATTCTCAGAAACGTCTTTGTGATGTTTGCATTCAACTCATAGAGTTGAACATTCCCTTTCAAAGAACAGCTTTGAAGCACTCTTTTTGTAGTATGTGCAAGTGGATATTTGGAGCGCTCTGAGGCCTACGGTGAAAAAGCAAATATCTTCCCATAACCACTAGACAGAACATTCTCAGAAACTCCTTTATGACGTATGCACTCACCTAACAGAAAAGAACCTTCCTTTTGACAGAGCAGTTTTGATACACTCTTTTTGTAGAATCTGCAAGTGGATATTTGGATAGCTGTGAAGATTTCGTTGGAAACGGGAATATCTTCCTATAAAATCTAGACAGATAAGCATTCTCAGAAACTGCTCTGTGATGTCTGCATTCAAGTCACAGAGTTGAACATTGCCTTTCATAGAGCAGGTTTGAAACGCTCTTTTTGTAGTATATGGAAGTGGATGTTTCGGACGGTTGGAGGCCCATGGTGATAAAGGGAATATCTTCCCCTACAAGCTAGAAAGAAGCATTCTGTGAAACTTGTTTGTGATGTGTGTACTCAACTAACAGAGTTGAACCTTTCATTTTACAGAGCAGTTTAGAAACACTCTTTTTGTAGAATCTGCGAGGGGATATTTGGATAGATTTCAGGATTTCGTTGGAAACGGGAATATCTTCATTTAAAATCTCGACAGAAGCATTCTCAGAAACTTCCTTGTGATATGTGCATTGAAGTCACAGAGTTGAATATTCCCTTTCACAGAGTAGGTTTGAAACACTCTTTTTGTAGTATCTGGAAGTGGACATTTGGAGCGCCTTGACACCTACTGTGAAAAGGGAAATATCTACCCATAAAAACTAGACAGAAGCAATCTCAGAATCTTCTTTGGGATATATGCACGCAGCTAACAGAGTTGAACCTTTCTATTGACAGAGCGGTTTTGAAACAGTCTTTCTGTGGAATCTGCAAGTGGATATTTGGATAGCTTGGAGGATTTCGTTGGAAACGGGATTAAGTATGAAAAGTAGACAGCAGCATCCTCAGAAACTTCTTTGTGATGTGTGCATTCAAGTCACAGAGTTGAACATTCCCTTTCATACAGCAGTTTTGAAACACTCTTTCTGTAGTATCTGGAAGTGAACATTAGGACAGCTTTCAGGTCTATGGTGAGAAAGGAAATATCTTCAAATAAAAACTAGACAGAAGCATTCTCATAAACTTGTTTGTGATGTGTGAACTCAGCTAACAGAGGTGGATCTTTCTTTTGATAGAGCAGTTGTGAAAAACACTTTTTGTTGATTATGCAAGTGGATATTTGGATAGATTTGAAGATTTCGTTGGAAACGGGAATATCTTCATATCAAATCTAGACAGAAGCATTCTCAGAAACGTCTTTGTGATGTTTGCATTCAACTCATAGAGTTGAACATTCTGTTTCAGAGAGCAGGTTTGAAGCACTCTTTTTGTAGTATGTGCAAGTGGATATTTGGAGCGCTCTGAGGCCTACGGTGAAAAAGCAAATATCTTCCCATAACCACTAGACAGAAACATTCTCAGAAACTCCTTTATGACGTATGCACTCACCTAACAGAAAAGAACCTTCCTTTTGACAGAGCAGTTCTGATACACTCTTTTTGTAGAATCTGCAAGTGGATATTTGGATAGCTGTGAAGATTTCGTTGGAAACGGGAATATCTTCCTATAAAATCTAGACAGAAGCATTCTCAGAAACTGCTCTGTGATGTCTGCATTCAAGTCACAGAGTTGAACATTGCCTTTCATAGAGCAGGTTTGAAACGCTCTTTTTGTAGTATATGGAAGTGGATGTTTCGGACGGTTGGAGGCCCATGGTGATAAAGGGAATATCTTCCCCTGCAAGCTAGAAAGAGAGCATTCTGTGAACTTGTTTGTGATGTGTGTACTCAACTAACAGAGTTGAACCTTTCTTTTTACAGAGCAGTTTTGAAACACTCTTTTTGTAGAATCTGCGAGGGGATATTTGGATAGATTTCAGGATTTCGTTGGAAACGGGAATATCTTCATATAAAATCTCGACAGAGCATTCTCAGAAACTTCTTTGTGATATGTGCATTCAAGTCACAGAGTTGAATATTCCCTTTTACAGAGTAGGTTTGAAACACTCTTTTTGTAGTATCTGGAAGTGGACATTTGGAGCGCCTTGACGCCTACGGTGAAAAGGGAAATATCTTCTCATAAAAACTAGACAGAAGAAATCTCAGAATCATCTTTGGGATATATGCACGCAGCTAACAGAGTTGAACCTTTCTATTGACAGAGCAGTTTTGAAACAGTCTTTCTGTGGAATCTGCAAGTGGATATTTGGATAGCTTGGAGGATTTCGTTGGAAACGGGATTAGGTATAAAAAGTAGACAGCAGCATCCTCAGAAACTTCTTTGTGATGTGTGCATTCAAGTCACAGAGTTGAACATTCCCTTTCGTACAGCAGTTTTGAAACACTCTTTCTGGAGTATCTGGAAGTGAACATTAGGACAGCTTTCAGCTCTATGGTGAGAAAGGTAATATCTTCAAATAAAAACTAGACAGAAGCATTCTCATAAACTTGTTTGTGATGTGTGAACTCAGCTAACAGACGTGGATCTTTCTTTTGATACAGCAGTTTTGAAAAACACTTTTTGTTGAATCTGAAAGTGGACATTTGGATAGATTTGAAGATTTCCTTGGAAACGGGAATATCTTCATATCAAATCTAGACAGAAGCATTCTCAGTAAACGTCTTTGTGATGTTTGCATTCAACTCATAGAGTTGAACATTCCGTTTCAGAGACCAGCTTTGAAGCACTCTTTTTGTAGTATGTGCAAGTGGATATTTGGAGCGCTCTGAGGCCTACGGTGAAAAAGCAAATATCTTCCCATAACGACTAGACAGAAAACATTCTCAGAAACTCCTTTATGACGTATGCACTCACCTAACAGAGAAGAACCTTCCTTTTGACAGAGCAGTTTTGATACACTCTTTTTGTAGAATCTGCAAGTGGATATTTTGATACCTGTGAATATTTCGTTGGAAACGGGAATATCTTCCTATAAAATCTAGACAGAAGCATTCTCAGAAACTGCTCTGTGATGTCTGCATTCAAGTCACAGAGTTGAACATTGCCTTTCATAGAGCAGGTTTGAAAGGCTCTTTTTGTAGTATATGGAAGTGGACGTTTCGGACGGTTGGAGGCCCATGGTGATAAAGGGAATATCTTCCCCTACAAGCTAGAAAGAAGCATTCTGTGAAACTTGTTTGTTATGTGTGTACTCAACTAACAGAGTTGAACCTTTCTTTTTACAGAGCAGTTTTGAAACACTCTTTTTGTAGAATCTGCGAGGGGATATTTGGATAGATTTCAGGATTTTGTTGGAAACCGGAATATCTTTATATAAAATCTCGACAGAAGCATTCTCGGAAGCTTCTTTGTGATATGTGCATTCAAGTCACAGAGTTGAATATTCCCTTTCACAGAGTAGGTTTGAAACACTCTTTTTCTAGTATCTGGAAGTGGACATTTGGAGCGCCTTGATGCCTACGGTGAAAAGGGAAATATCTTCTCATAAAAAGTAGACAGAAGCAATCTCAGAATCTTCTTTGGGATATATGCACGCAGCTAACAGAGTTGAACCTTTCTATTGACAGAGCAGTTTTGAAACAGTCTTTCTGTGGAATCTGCAAGTGGATATTTGGATAGCTTGGAGGATTTCGTTGGAAACGGTATTACGTATAAAAAGTAGACAGCAGCATCCTCAGAAACTTCTTTGTGATGTGTGCATTCAAGTCACAGAGTTGAACATTCCCTTTCGTACAGCAGTTTTGAAACACTCTTTCTGTAGTATCTGGAAGTGAACATTAGGACAGCTTTCAGGTCTATGGTGAGAAAGAAAATATCTTCAAATAAAAACTAGACAAAAGCATTCTCATAAACTTGTTTGTGAAGTGTGAACTCAGCTAACAGAGGTGAATCTTTCTTTTGATAGAGCAGTTCTGAAAAACACTTTTTGTTGAATCTGCAAGTGGACATTTGGATAGATTTGAAGATTTCGTTGGAAACGGGAATATCTTCATATCAAATCTAGACAGAAGCATTCTCAGAAACGTCTTTGTGATGTTTGCATTCAACTCATAGAGTTGAACATTCCCTTTCAGAGAGCAGCTTTGAAGCACTCTTTTTGCAGTATGTGCAAGTGGATATTTGGAGCGCTCTGAGGCCTACGGGGAAAAAGCAAATATCTTCCCATAACCACTAGACAGAAACATTCTCAGGAACTCCTTTATGATGTATGCACTCACCTAACAGAGAAGAACCTTCCTTTTGACAGAGCAGTTTTGATACACTCTTTTTGTAGAATCTGCAAGTTTATATTTGGATAGCTGTGAAGATTTCGTTGGAAACGGGAATATCTTCCTATAAAATCTAGACAGAAGCATTCTCAGAAACTGCTCTGTGATGTCTGCATTCAAGTCACAGAGTTGAACATTGCCTTTCATAGAGCAGGTTTGAAATGCTCTTTTTGTAGTATATGGAAGTGGAAGTTTCAGACGGTTTGAGGCCCATGGTGATAAAGGGAATATCTTCCCCTACAAGCTAGAAAGAAACATTCTGTGAAACTTGTTTGTGATGTGTGTACTCAGCTAACAGAGTTGAACCTTTCTTTTTACAGAGCAGTTTTGAAACACTCTTTTTGTAGAATCTGCGAGGGGATATTTGGATAGATTTCAGGATTTCGTTGGAAAAGGGAATATCTTCATATAAAATCTCGACAGAAGCATTCTCAGAAACTTCTTTGTGATATCTGCATTCAAGTCACAGAGTTGAATATTCCCTTTCACAGAGTAGGTTTGAAACACTCTTTTTGTAGTATCTGGAAGTGGACATTTGGAGCGCCTTGACGCCTACGGTGAAAAGGGAAATATCTTCTCATAAAAAGTAGACAGAAAGCAATCTCAGAATCTTCTTTGGGATATATGCACGCAGCTAACAGAGTTGAACCTTTCTATTGACAGAGCAGTTTTGAAACAGTCTTTCTGTGGAATCTGCAAGTGGATATTGGGATAGCTTGGAGGATTTCGTTGGAAACGGGATTACGCATAAAAAGTAGACAGCAGCATCCTCAGAAACTTCTTTGTGATGTGTGCATTCAAGTCACAGAGTTGAACATTCCCTTTCGTACAGCAGTATTGAAACACTCTTTCTGTAGCATCTGGAAGTGAACATTAGGACAGCTTTCAGGTCTATGGTGAGAAAGGAAATATCTTCAAATAAAAACTAGACAGAAGCATTCTCATAAACTTGTTTGTGATGTGTGAACTCAGCTAACAGAGGTGGATTTTTCTTTTGATAGAGCAGTTCTGAAAAACACTTTTTGTTGAATCTGCAAGTGGACATTTGGATAGATTTGAAGATTTCGTTGGAAACGGGAATATCTTCATATCAAATCTAGACAGAAGCATTCTCAGAAACGTCTTTGTGATGTTTGCATTCAACTCACAGAGTTGAACATTCCCTTTCAGAGAGCAGCTTTGAAGCACTCTTTTTGTAGTATGTGCAAGGGGATATTTGGAGTGCTCTGAGGCCTACGGTGAAAAAGCAAATATCTTCCCATAACCACTAGACAGAAACATTCTCAGAAACTCCTTTATGACGTATGCACTCACCTAACAGAAAAGAACCTTCCTTTTGACAGAGCAGTTTTGATACACTCTTTTTGTAGAATCTGCAAGTGGATATTTGGATAGCTGTGAAGATTTCGTTGGAAACGGGAATATCTTCCTATAAAATCTACACAGAAGCATTCTCAGAAACTGCTCTGTGATGTCTGCATTCAAGTCACAGAGTTGAACATTGCCTTTCATAGAGCAGGTTTGAAACGCTCTTTTTGTAGTATATGGAAGTGGACGTTTCAGACGGTTTGAGGCCCATGGTGTTAAAGGGAATATCTTCCCCTACAAGCTAGAAAGAAGCATTCTGTGAAACTTGTTTGTGATGTGTGTACTCAACTAACAGAGTTGAACCTTTCTTTTTACAGAGCAGTTTTGAAACACTCTTTTTGTAGAATCTGCGAGGGAATATTTGGATAGATTTTAGGATTTCGTTGGAAACGGGAATATCTTCATATAAAATCTCGACAGAAGCATTCTCAGAAGCTTCTTTGTGATATGTGCACTCAAGTCACAGAGTTGAACATTCCCTTTCACAGAGTAGGTTTGAAACACTCTTTTTGTAGTATCTGGAAGTGGACATTTGGAGCGCCTTGACGCCTACGGTGAAAAGGGAAATATCTTCCCATAAAAACTAGACAGAAAGCAATCTCAGAATCTTCTTTGGGATATATGCACGCAGCTAACAGAGTTGAACCTTTCTATTGACAGAGCAGTTTTGAAACAGTCTTTCTGTGGAATCTGCAAGTGGATATTTGGATAGCTTGGAGGATTTCGTTGGAAACGGGATTACGTATAAAAAGTAGACAGCAGCATCCTCAGAAACTTCTTTGTGATGTGTGCATTCAAGTCACAGAGTTGAACATTCTCTTTCGTACAGCAGTTTTGAAACACTCTTTCTGTAGTATCTGGAAGTGAACATTAGGACAGCTTTCAGGTCTATGGTGAGAAAGGAAATATCTTCAAATAAAAACTAGACAGAAGCATTCTCATAAACTTGTTTGTGATGTGTGAACTCAGCTAACAGAGGTGGATCTTTCTTTTGATAGAGCAGTTCTGAAAAACACGTTTTGTTGAATCTGCAAGTGGACATTTGGATAGATTTGAAGATTTCGTTGGAAAAGGGAATATCTTCATATCAAATCTAGACAGAAGCATTCTCAGAAACGTCTTTGTGATGTTTGCATTCAACTCATAGAGTTGAACATTCCGTTTCAGAGACCAGCTTTGAGGCACTCTTTTTGTAGTATGTGCAAGTGGATATTTGGAGCGCTCTGAGGCCTACGGTGAAAAAGCAAATATCTTCCCATAACGACTAGACAGAAACATTCTCAGAAACTCCTTTATGACGTATGCACTCACCTAACAGAGAATAACCTTCCTTTTGACAGAGCAGTTTTGATACACTCTTTTTGTAGGATCTGCAAGTGGATATTTGGATAGCTGTGAAGATTTCGTTGGAAACGGGAATATCTTCCTATAAAATCTAGACAGAAGCATTCTCAGAAACTGCTCTGTGATGTCTGCATTCAAGTCACAGAGTTGAACATTGCCTTTCCTAGAGCAGGTTTGAAACGCTCTTTTTGTAGTATATGGAAGTGGATGTTTCGGACGGTTGGAGGCCCATGGTGATAAAGGGAATATCTTCCCCTACAAGCTAGAAAGAAGCATTCTGTGAAACTTGTTTGTGATGTGTGTACTAAACTAACAGAGTTGAACCTTTCTTTTTACAGAGCAGTTTTGAAACACTCTTTTTGTAGAATCTGCGAGGGGATATTTGGATAGATTTCAGGATTTCGTTGGAAACGGGAATATCTTCATATAAAATCTCGACAGAAGCATTCTCAGAAACTTCTTTGTGATATGTGCATTCAAGTCACAGAGTTGAATATTCCCTTTCACAGAGTAGGTTTGAAACACTCTTTTTGTAGTATCTGGAAGTGGACATTTGGAGCGCCTTGAGGCCTACGGTGAAAAGGGAAATATCTTCTCATAAAAAGTAGACAGAAAGCAATCTCAGAATCTTCTTTGGGATATATGCACGCAACTAACAGAGTTGAACCTTTCTATTGACAGAGCAGTTTTGAAACAGTCTTTCTGTGGAATCTGCAAGTGGATATTTGGATAGCTTGGAGGATTTCTTTGGAAATGGGATTACGTATAAAAAGTAGACAGCAGCATCCTCAGAAACTTCTTTGTGATGTGTGCATTCAAGTCACAGAGTTGAACATTCCCTTTCGTACAGCAGTTTTGAAACACTCTTTCTGTAGTATCTGGAAGTGAACATTAGGACAGCTTTCAGGTCGATGGTGAGAAAGGGAATATCTTCAAATAAAAACTAGACAGAAGCATTCTCATAAACTTGTTTGTGATGTGTGAACTCAGCTAACAGACGTGGATCTTTCTTTTGATACAGCAGTTTTGAAAAACACTTTTTGTTGAATCTGCAAGTGGACATTTGGATAGATATGAAGATTTCGTTGGAAACGGTAATATCTTCATATCAAATCTAGACAGAAGCATTCTTGGAAACGTCTTTGTGATGTTTGCATTCAACTCATAGAGTTGAACATTCCGTTTCAGAGAGCAGCTTTGAAGCATTCTTTTTGTAGTATGTGCATGGGGATATATGGAGCGCTCTGAGGCCTAAGGTGAAAAAGCAAATATCTTCCCATAACCACTACACAGAAACATTCTCAGAAACTCCTTTATGACGTATGCACTCACCTAACAGAGAAGAACCTTCCTTTTGACAGAGCAGTTTTGATAAACTCATTTTGTAGAATCTGCAAGTGGATATTTGGATAGCTGTGAAGATTTCGTTGGAAACGGGAGTATCTTCCTATAAAATCTAGACAGAAGCATTCTCAGAAACTGCTCTGTGATGTCTGCATTCAAGTCACAGAGTTGAACATTGCCTTTCATAGAGCAGGTTTGAAACGCTCTTTTTGTAGTACATGGAAGTGGACGTTTCGGACGGTTTGAGGCCCATGGTGATAAAGGGAATATCTTCCCCTACTAGCTAGAAAGAAGCATTCTGTGAAACTTGTTTGTGATGTGTGTACTCAACTAACAGAGTTGAACCTTTCTTTTTACAGAGCAGTTTTGAAACACTCTTTTTGTAGAATCTGCGAGGGGATATTTGGATAGATTTCAGGATTTCGTTGGAAAGGGGAATATCTTCATATAAAATCTGGACAGAAGCATTCTCAGAAACTTCTTTGTGGTATGTGCATTCAAGTCACAGAGTTGAATATTCCCTTTCACAGAGTAGGTTTGAAACACTCTTTTTGTAGTATCTGGAAGTGGACATTTTTAGCGCCTTGACGCCTACAGTGAAAAGGGAAATATCTTCCCATAAAAACTAGACAGAAGCAATCTCAGAATCTTCTTTGGGATATATGCACGCAGCTAACAGAGTTGAACCTTTTTATTGACAGAGCAATTTTGAAACAGTCTTGCTGTGGAATCTGCAAGTGGATATTTGGATAGATTAGAGGATTTCGTTGGAAACGGGATTACGTATAAAAAGTAGACAGCAGCATCCTCAGAAACTTTTTTGTGATGTGTGCATTCAAGTCACAGAGTTGAACATTCCCTTTCGTACAGCAGTTTTGAAACACCCTTTCTGTAGTATCTGGAAGTGAACATTAGGACAGCTTTCAGGTCTATGGTGAGAAAGGAAATATCTTCAAATAAAAACTAGACAGAAGCATTCTCATAAACTTGTTTGTGATGTGTGAACTCAGCTAACAGAGATGGATCTTTCTTTTGATAGAGCAGTTCTGAAAAACACTTTTTGTTGAATCTGCAAGTGGACATTTGGATAGATTTGAAGATTTCGTTGGAAACGGGAATATCTTCATATCAAATCTAGACAGAAGCATTCTCAGAGACGTCTTTGTGATGTTTGCATTCAACTCATAGAGTTGAACATTCCGTTTCAGAGAGCAGCTTTGAGGCACTCATTTTTGTAGTATGTGCAAGTGGATATTTGGAGCGCTCTGAGGCCTACGGTGAAAAAGCAAATATCTTCCCATAACCACTAGACAGAAACATTCTCAGAAACTCCTTTATGACGTGTGTACTCATCTAACAGAGAAGAACCTTCCTTTTGACAGAGCAGTTTTGATACACTCTTTTTGTAGAATCTGCAAGTGGATATTGGGATAGCTGTGAAGATTTCGTTGGAAACGGGAATATCTTCCTATAAAATCTAGACAGAAGCACTTCTCAGAAACTGCTCTGTGATGTCTGCATTCAAGTCACAGAGTTGAACATTGCCTTTCATAGAGCAGGTTTGAAACGCTCTTTTTGTAGTATATGGAAGTGGACGTTTCGGACGGTCTGAGGCCCATGGTGATAAAGGGAATATCTTCCCCTATAAGCTAGAAAGAAGCATTCTGTGAAACTTGTTTGTGATGTGTGTACTCAAGTAACAGAGTTGAACCTTTCTTTTTACAGAGCAGTTTTGAAACACTCTTTCTGTAGAATCTGCGACGGGATATTTGGATAGATTTCAGGATTTCGTTGGAAACGGGAATATCTTCATATAAAATCTCGACAGAAGCATTCTCAGAAACTTCTTTGTGATATCTGCCTTCAAGTCACAGAGTTGAATATTCCCTTTCACAGAGTAGGTTTGAAACACTCTTTTTGTAGTATCTGGAAGTGGACATTTGGAGTGCCTTGACGCCTACGGTGACAAGGGAAATATCTTCCCATAAAAACTAGACAGAAGCAATCTCAGAATCTTCTTTGGGATATATGCACGCAGCTAACAGAGTTCAACCTTTCTATTGACAGAGCAGTTTTGAAACAGTCTTTCTGTGGAATCTGCAAGTGGATATTTGGATAGCTTGGAGGATTTCGTTGGAAACGGGATTACGTATAAAAAGTAGACAGCAGCATCCTCAGAAACTTCTTTGTGATGTGTGCATTCAAGTCACAGAGTTGAACATTCCCTTTCGTACAGCAGTTTTGAAACACTCTTTCTGTAGTATCTGGAAGTGAACATTAGGAGAGCTTTCAGGTCTATGGTGAGAAAGGAAATATCTTCAAATAAAAACTAGACAGAAGCATTCTGATAAACTTGTTTGTGAAGTGTGAACTCAGCTAACAGAGGTGGATCTTTCTTTTGATTGAGCAGTTCTGAAAAACACTTTTTGTTGAATCTGCAAGTGGACATTTGGATAGATTTGAAGATTTCGTTGGAAACGGGAATATCTTCATATCAAATCTAGACAGAAGCATTCTCAGAAACGTCTTTGCGATGTTTGCATTCAACTCATAGAGTTGAACATTCCGTTTCAGAGAGCAGCTTTGAGACACTCTTTTTGTAGTATGTGCAAGTGGATATTTGGAGTGCTCTGAGGCCTACGGTGAAAAAGCAAATATCTTCCCATAACCACTAGACAGAAACATTCTCAGAAACTCCTTTATGACGTATGTACTCAACTAACAGAGAAGAACCTTCCTTTTGACAGAGGAGTTTTGATACACTCTTTTTGTAGAATCTGCAAGTGGATATTTGGATAGCTGTGAAGATTTCGTTGGAAACGGGAATATCTTCCTATAAAATCTAGACAGAAGCATTCTCAGAAACTGCTCTGTGATGTCTGCATTCAAGTCACAGAGTTGAACATTGCCTTTCCTAGAGCAGGTTTGAAACGCTCTTTTTGTAGTATATGGAAGTGGACGTTTTGGACGGTTTGAGGCCCATGGTGATAAAGGGAATATCTTCCCCTACAAGCTAGAAAGAAGCATTCTGTGAAACTTGTTTGTGATGTGTGTACTCAACTAACAGAGTTGAACCTTTCTTTTTACAGAGCAGTTTTGAAACACTCTTTTTGTAGAATCTGCGAGGGGATATTTGGAGAGATTTCAGGATTTCGTTGGAAACGGGAATATCTTCATATAAAATCTCGACAGAAGCATTCTCAGTAAACTTCTTTGTGATATGTGCATTCAAGTCACAGAGTTGAATATTCCCTTTCACAGAGTAGGTTTGAAACACTCTTTTTGTAGTATCTGGAAGTGGACATTTGGAGCGCCTTGACGCCTACGGTGAAAAGGGAAATATCTTCCCATAAAAACTAGACAGAAGCAATCTCAGAATCTTCTTTGGGATATATGCACGCAGCTAACAGAGTTGAACCTTTCTATTGACAGCAGTTTTGAAACAGTCTTTCTGTGGAATCTGCCAGTGGATATTTGGATAGCTTGGAGGATTTCGTTGGAAACAGGATTACGTATAAAAAGTAGACAGCAGCATCCTCAGAAACTTCTTTGTGATGTGTGCATTCAAGTCACAGCAGTTGAACATTCCCTTTCGTACAGCAGTTTTGAAACACTCTTTCTGTAGTATCTGGAAGTGAACATTAGGACAGCTTTCAGGTCTATGGTGAGAAAGGAAATATCTTCAAATAAAAACTAGACAGAAGCATTCTAATAAACTTGTTTGTGAAGTGTGAACTCAGCTAACAGTGGTGGATCTTTCTTTTGATACAGCAGTTTTGAAAAACACTTTGTTGAATCTGCAAGTGGACATTTGGATAGATTTGAAGATTTCGTTGGAAACGGGAATATCTTCATATCAAATCTAGACAGAAGCATTCTCAGAAACGTCTTTGTGATGTTTGCATTCAACTCATAGAGTTGAACATTCCCTTTCAGAGAGCAGCTTTGAAGCACTCTTTTTGTAGCATGTGCAAGTGGACATTTGGAGCGCCCTGAGGCCTATGGGGAAAAAGCAAATATCTTCCCATAACCACTAGACAGAAACATTCTCAGAAACTCCTTTATGACGTATGCACTCACCTAACAGAGAAGAACCTTCCTTTTGACAGAGCAGTTTTGATACACTCTTTTTGTAGAATCTGCAAGTGGATATTGGGATAGCTGTGAAGATTTCGTTGGAAACGGGAATATCTTCCTATGAAATCTAGACAGAAGCATTCTCAGAAACTGCTCTGTGATGTCTGCTTTCAAGTCACAGAGTTGAACATTGCCTTTCCTAGAGCAGGTTTGAAACGCTCTTTTTGTAGTATATGGAAGTGGATGTTTCGGACGGTTTTAGGCCCATGGTGATAAAGGGAATATCTTCCCCTACAAGCTAGAAAGAAGCATTCTGTGAAACTTGTTTGTGATGTGTGTACTGAACTAACAGAGTTGAACCTTTCTTTTTACAGAGCAGTTTTGAAACACTCTTTTTGTAGAATCTGTGAGGGGATATTTGGATAGATTTCAGGATTTCGTTGGAAACGGGAATATCTTCATATGAAATCTCGACAGAAGCATTCTCAGAAACTTCCTTGTGATATGTGCATTCAAGTCACAGAGTTGAATATTCCCTTTCACAGAGTAGGTTTGAAACACTCTTTTTGTAGAATCTGGAAGTGGACATTTGGAGCGCCTTGACACCTACGGTGAAAAGGGAAATATCTTCCCATAAAAACTAGACAGAAGCAATCTCAGAATCTTCTTTGGGATATATGGACGCAGCTAACAGAGTTGAACCTTTCTATTGACAGAGCAGTTTTGAAACAGTCTTTCTGTGGAATCTGCAAGTGGATATTTGGATAGCTTGGAGGATTTCGTTGGAAACGGGATTACGTATAAAATGTAGACAGCAGCATCCTCAGAACCTTCTTTGTGATGTGTGCATTCAAGTCACAGAGTTCAACATTCCCTTTCGTACAGCAGTTTTGAAACACTCTTTCTGTAGTAACTGGAAGTGAACATTAGGACAGCTTTCAGGTCTATGGTGAGAAAGGAAATATCTTCAAATAAAAACTAGACAGAAGCATTCTGATAAACTTGTTTGTGAAGTGTGAACTCAGCTAACAGTGGTGGATCTTTCTTTTCATACAGCAGTTTTGAAAAACACTTTGTTGAATCTGCAAGTGGACATTTGGATAGATTTGAAGATTTCGTTGGAAACGGGAATATCTTCATATCAAATCTAGACAGAAGCATTCTCAGAAACGTCTTTGTGATGTTTGCATTCAACTCATAGATTTGAACATTCCGTTTCAGAGAGCAGCTTTGAAGCACTCTTTTTGTAGTATGTGCAAGTGGATATTTGGAGAGCTCTGACGCCTACGGTGAAAAAGCAAATATCTTCCCATAACCACTAGACAGAAACATTCTCAGAAACTCCTTTATGACGTATGTACTCAACTAACAGAGAAGAACCTTCCTTTTGACAGAGCAGTTTTGATACACTCTTTTTGTAGAATCTGCAAGTGCATATTTGGATAGCTGTGAAGATTTCGTTGGAAACGGGAATATCTTCCTATAAAATCTAGACAGAAGCATTCTCAGAAACTGCTCTGTGATGTCTGCATTCAAGTCACAGAGTTGAACATTGCCTTTCATAGAGCAGGTTTGAAATGCTGTTTTTGTAGTATATGGAAGTGGACGTTTCGGACGGTTTGAGGCCCATGGTGATAAAGGGAATATCTTCCCCTACAAGCTAGAAAGAAGCATTCTGTGAAACTTGTTTGTGATGTGTGTACTCAACTAACAGAGTTGAACCTTTCTTTTTGCAGAGCAGTTTTGAAACACTCTTTTTGTAGAATCTGCGAGGGGATATTTGGATAGATTTCAGGATTTCGTTGGAAACGGGAATATCTTCATATAAAATCTCGACAGAAGCATTCTCAGAAACTTCCTTGTGATATGTGCATTCAAGTCACAGAGTTGAATATTCCCTTTCACAGAGTAGGTTTGAAACACTCTTTTTGTAGTATCTGGAAGTGGACATTTGGAGCGCCTTGACGCCTACGGTGAAAAGGGAAATATCTTCCCATAAAAACTAGACACAAGCAATCTCAGAATTTTCTTTGGGATATATGCACACAGCTAACAGAGTTGAACTTTTCTATTGACATAGCAGTTTTGAAACAGTCTTTCTGTGGAATATGCAAGTGGATATTTCGATAGCTTGGAGGATTTCGTTGGAAACGGGATTACGTATAAAAAGTAGACAGCAGCATCCTCAGGAAACTTCTTTGTGATGTGTGCATTCAAGTCACAGCAGTTGAACATTCCCTTTCGTACAGCAGTTTTGAAACACTCTTTCTGTAGTATCTGGAAGTGAACATTAGGACAGCTTTCAGCTCTATGGTGAGAAAGGAAATATCTTCAAATAAAAACTAGACAGAAGCATTCTCATAAACTTCTTTGTGATGTGTGAACTCAGCTAACCGAGGTGGATCTTTCTTTTGATAGAGCAGTTCTGAAAAACACTTTTTGTTGAATCTGCAGGTGGACATTTGGATAGATTTGAAGATTTCGTTGGAAACGGGAATAACTTCATTTCAAATCTAGACAGAAGCATTCTCAGAAACGTCTTTGTGATGTTTGCATTCAACTCATAGAGTTGAACATTCCCTTTCAGAGAGCAGCTTTGAAGCACTCTTTTTGTAGTATGTGCAAGTGGATATTTGGATCGCTCTGAGGCCTAAGGTGAAAAAGCAAATATCTTCCCATAACCACTAGACAGAAACATTCTCAGGAACTCCTTTATGATGTATGCACTCACCTAACAGAGAAGAACCTTCCTTTTGACAGAGCAGTTTTGATACACTCTTTTTGTAGAATCTGCAAGTGGATATTTGGATAGCTGTGAAGATTTCGTTGGAAACGGGAATATCTTCCTATAAAATCTAGACAGAAGCATTCTCAGGAACTGCTCTGCGATGTCTGTATTCAAGTCACAGGGTTGAACATTGCCTTTCATAGAGCAGGTTTGAAACGCTCTTTTTGTAGTATATGGAAGTGGACGTTTCGGACGGTTTGAGGCCCATGGTGATAAAGGGAATATCTTCCCCTACAAGCTAGAAAGAAGCATTCTGTGAAACTTGTTTGTGATGTGTACTCAACTAACAGAGTTGAACCTTTCTTTTTACAGAGCAGTTTTGAAACACTCTTTTTGTAGAATCTGCGAGGGGATATTTGGATAGATTTCAGGATTTCGTTGGAAACGGGAATGTCTTCATATAAAATCTCGACAGAAGCATTCTCAGAAACTTCTTTGTGATATCTGCATTCAAGTCACAGAGTTGAATATTCCCTTTCACAGAGTAGGTTTGAAACACTCTTTTTGTAGTATCTGGAAGTGGACATTTGGAGCGCCTTGACGCCTACGGTGAATAGGGAAATATCTTCCCATAAAAACTAGACAGAAGCAATCTCAGAATTTTCTTTGGGATGTATGCACATAGCTAACAGAGTTGAACCTTTCTTTTTACAGAGCAGTTTTGAAACACTCTTTTTGTAGAATCTGCAAGTGGATATTTGGATAGCTTGGAGGATTTCGTTGGAAACGGGATTACGTATAAAAAGTAGACGGCAGCATCCTCAGAAACATCCTTGTGATGTGTGCATTCAAGTCACAGAGTTGAACATTCCCTTTCGTACAGCAGTTTTGAAACACTCTTTCTGTAGTATCTGGAAGTGAACTTTAGGAGAGCTTTCAGGTCTATAGTGAGAAAGGATATATCTTCAAATAAAAACTAGACAGAAGCATTCTCATAATCTTGTTTGTGATGTGTGAACTCAGCTAACAGAGGTGGATCTTTCTTTTGATAGAGCAGTTCTGAAAAACACTTTTTGTTGAATCTGCAAGTGGACATTTGGATAGATTTGAAGATTTCGTTGGAAACGGGAATATCTTCATATCAAATCTAGACAGAAGCATTCTCAGAAACGTCTTTGCGATGTTTGCATTCAACTCATAGAGTTGAACATTCCCTTTCAGAGAGCAGCTTTGAAGCACTCTTTTTGTAGCATGTGCAAGTGGACATTTGGAGCGCCCTGAGGCCTACGGGGAAAAAGCAAATATCTTCCCATAACCACTAGACAGAAACATTCTCAGAAACTGCTTTATGACGTATGCACTCACCTAACAGAGAAGAACCTTCCTTTTGACAGAGCAGTTTTGATACACTCTTTTTGTAGAATCTGCAAGTAGATATTTGGATAGCTGTGAAGATTTCGTTGGAAACGGGAATATCTTCCTATAAAATCTAGACAGAAGCATTCTCAGAAACTGCTCTGTGATGTCTGCATTCAAGTCACAGAGTTGAACATTGCCTTTCATAGAGCAGGTTTGAAACGCTCTTTTTGTAGTATAGGGAAGTGGATGTTTCGGACGGTTTGAGGCCCATGGTGATAAAGGGAATATCTTCCCCTACAAGCTAGAAAGAAGCATTCTGTGAAACTTGTTTGTGATGTATGTACTCAACTAACAGAGTTGAACCTTTCTTTTTACAGAGCAGTTTTGAAACACTCTTTTTGTAGAATCTGCGAGGGGATATTTGGATAGATTTCAGGATTTCGTTGGAAACGGGAATATCTTCATATAAAATCTCGACAGAAGCATTATCAGAAACTTCTTGGTGATATGTGCATTCAAGTCACAGAGTTGAATATTCCCTTTCACAGAGTAGGTTTGAAACACTCTTTTTGTAGTATCTGGAAGTGGACATTTGGAGCGCCTTGACGCCTACGGTGAAAAGGGAAATATCTTCCCATAAAAACTAGACAGAAGCAATCTCAGAATCTTCTTTGGTATATATGCACGCAGCTAATAGAGTTGAACCTTTCTATTGACAGAGCAGTTTTGAAACAGTCTTTCTGTGGAATCTGCAAGTGGATATTTGGATAGCTTGGGGGATTTCTTTGGAAAAGGGATTACGTATAAAAAGTAGACAGCAGCATCCTCAGAAACTTCTTTGTGATGTGTGCATTCAAGTCACAGAGTTGAACATTCCCTTTCGTACAGCAGTTTTGAAACACTCTTTCTGTAGTATCTGGAAGTGAACATGAGGACAGCTTTCAGGTCTATGGTGAGAAAGGAAATATCTTCAAATAAAAACTAGACAGAAGCATTCTCATAAACTTGTTTGTGATGTGTGAACTCAGCTAACAGAGGTGGATCTTTCTTTTGATAGAGCAGTTCTGAAAAACACTTTTTGTTGAATCTGCAAGTGGACATTTCGATAGATTTGAAGATTTCGTTGGAAACGGGAACATCTTCATATCAAATCTAGACAGAAGCATTTTCAGAAACGTCTTTGTGATGTTTGCATTCAACTCATAGAGTTGAACATTCCGTTTCAGAGAGCAGTTTTGAGGCACACTTTTTGTAGTATGTGCAAGTGGATATTTGGAGCGCTCTGAGGCCTACGGTGAAAAAGCAAATATCTTCCCATAACCACTAGACAGAAACATTCTCAGAAACTCCTTTATGACGTATGCACTCACCTAACAGAAAAGAACCTTCCTTTTGATAGAGCAGTTTTGATACACTCTTTTTGTAGAATCTGCAAGTGGATATTTGGATAGCTGTGAAGATTTCGTTGGAAACGGGAATATCTTCCTATAAAATCTAGACAGAAGCATTCTCAGAAACTGCTCTGTGATGTCTGCATTCAAGTCACAGAGTTGAACATTGCCTTTCCTAGAGCAGGTTTGAAACGCTCTTTTTGTAGTATATGGAAGTGGACGTTTCGGACGGTTTGAGGCCCATGGTGATAAAGGGAATATTCTTCCCCTACAAGCTAGAAAGAAGCATTCTTTGAAACTTGTTTGTGATGTGTGTACTCAACTAACAGAGTTGAACCTTTCTTTTTACAGAGCAGTTTTGAAACACTCTTTTTGTAGAATCTGCGAGGGGATATTTTGATACATTTCAGCATTTCGTTGGAAACGGGAATATCTTCATATCAAATCTAGACAGAAGCATTCTCAGAAAGTTCTTTGTGATATCTGCACTCAAGTCACAGAGTTGAATATTCCCTTTCACAGAGTAGGTTTGAAACACTCTTTTTGTAGTATCTGGAAGTGGACATTTGGAGCGCCTTGACACCTACGGTGAAAAGGGAAATATCTTCCGATAAAAACTAGACAGAAGCAATCTCAGAATCTTCTTTGGGATATATGCACGCAGCTAACAGAGTTGAACCTTTCTATTGGCAGAGCAGTTTTGAAACAGTCTTTCTGTGGAATCTGCAAGTGGATATTTGGATAGCTTGGAGGATTTCGTTGGAAACGGGATTACGTATAAAAAGTAGACAGCAGCATCCTCAGAAACTTCTTTGTGATGTGTGCATTCAAGTCACAGAGTTGAACATTCCCTTTTGTACAGCAGTTTTGAAACACTCTTTCTGTAGTATCTGGAAGTGAACATTAAGACAGCTTTCAGGTCTATGGTGAGAAAGGAAATATCTTCAAATAAAAACTAGACAGAAGCATTCTCATAAACTTGTTTGTGATGTGTGAACTCAGCTAACAGAGGTGGATCTTTCTTTTGATAGAGCAGTTCTGAAAAACACTTTTTGTTGAATCTGCAAGTGGACATTTGGATAGATTTGAAGATTTCGTTGGAAACGGGAATATCTTCATATCAAATTTTGACAGAAGCATTCTCAGAAACGTCTTTGTGATGTTTGCATTCAACTCATAGAGTTGAACATTCCGTTTCAGAGAGCAGCTTTGAAGCACTCTTTTTGTAGTATGTGCAAGGGGATATTTGGAGCGCTCTGAGGCCTAAGGTGAAAAAGCAAATATCTTCCCATAACCACTAGACAGAAACATTCTCAGAAACTCCTTTATGACGTATGCACTCACCTAACAGAGAATAACCTTCCTTTTGACAGAGCAGTTTTGATACACTCTTTTTGTAGAATCTGCAAGTGGATATTTGGATAGCTGTGAAGGTTTCGTTGGAAACGGGAATATCTTCCTATAAAATCTAGACAGAAGCATTCTCAGAAACTGCTCTGTGATGTCTGCATTCAAGTCACAGAGTTGAACATTGCCTTTCATAGAGCAGGTTTGAAACGCTCGTTTTGTAGTATATGGAAGTGGACTTTTCGGACGGTTTGAGGCCCATGGTGATAAAGGGAATATCTTCCCCTACAAGCTAGAAAGAAGCATTCTGTGAAACTTGCTTGTGATGTTTGTACTCAACTAACAGAGTTGAACCTTTCTTTTTACAGAGCAGTTTTGAAACACTCTTTTTGTAGAATCTGCGAGGGGATATTTGGATAGATTTCAGGATTTCGTTGGAAACGGGAATATCTTCATATAAAATCTCGACAGAAGCATTCTCAGAAACTTCTTTGTGATATGTGCATTCAAGTCACAGAGTTGAATATTCCCTTTCACAGAGTAGGTTTGAAACACTCTTTTTGTAGTATCTGGAAGTGGACATTTGTAGCGCCTTGACGCCTACGGTGAAAAGGGAAATATCTTCCCATAAAAACTAGACAGAAGCAATCTCAGAATCTTCTTTGGGATATATGCACGCAGCTAACAGAGTTGAACCTTTCTATTGACAGAGCAGTTTTGAAACAGTCTTTCTGTGGAATCTGCAAGTGCATATTTGGATAGCTTGGAGGATTTCGTTGGAAACGGGATTACGTATAAAAATTAGACAGCAGCATCCTCAGAAACTTCTTTGTGCGGTGTGCATTCAAGTCACAGAGTTGAACATTCCCTTTCGTACAGCAGTTTTGAAACACTCTTTCTGTAGTATCTGGAAGTGAACATTAGGACAGCTTTCAGGTCTATGGTGAGAAAGGAAATATCTTAAAATAAAAACTAGACAGAAGCATTCTCATAAACTTGTTTGTGATGTGTGAACTCAGCTAACAGAGGTGGATCTTTCTTTTGATAGAGCAGTTCTGAAAAACACTTTTTGTTGAATCTGCAAGTGGACATTTGGATAGATTTGAAGATTTCGTTGCAAACGGGAATATCTTCATATCAAATCTAGACAGAAGCATTCTCAGAAAAGTCTTTGTGATGTTTGCATTCAACTCACAGAGTTGAACATTCCCTTTCAGAGAGCAGCTTTGAAGCACTCTTTTTGTAGTATGTGCAAGGGGATATTTGGAGCGCTCTGAGGCCTACGGTGAAAAAGCAAATATCTTCCCATAACCACTAGACAGAAACATTCTCAGAAACTCCTTTATGACGTATGCACTCACCTAACAGAGAAGAACCTTTCTTTTGACAGAGCAGTTTTCATACACTCTTTTGGTAGAATCTGCAAGTGGATATTTGGATAGCTGTGAAGATTTCGTTGGAAACGGGAATATCTTCCTATAAAATCTAGACAGAAGCATTCTCAGAAACTGCTCTGTGATGTCTGCATTCAAGTCACAGAGTTGAACATTGCCTTTCATAGAGCAGGTTTGAAATGCTCTTTTTGTAGTATATGGAAGTGGACGTTTCGGACGGTTTGAGGACCACGGTGATAAAGGGAATATCTTCCCCTACAAGCTAGAAAGAACAATTCTGTGAAACTTGTTTGTGATGTGTGTACTCAACTAACAGAGTTGAACCTTTCTTTTTACAGAGCAGTTTTGAAACACTCTTTTTGTAGAATCTGCGAGGGGATATTTGGATACATTTCAGGATTTCGTTGGAAACGGGAATATCTTCATATAAAATCTCGACAGAAGCATTCTCAGCAAACTTCTGTGTGATATCTGCATTCAAGTCACAGGAGTTGAATATTCCCTTTCACCGAGTAGGTTTGAAACACTCTTTTTGTAGTATCTGGAAGTGGACATTTGGAGCGCCTTGACGCCTACGGTGTAAAGGGAAATATCTTCCCATAAAAACTAGACAGAAGCAATCTCAGAATCGTCTTTGGGATATATGCACGCAGCTAACAGAGTTGAACCTTTCTATTGACAGAGCAGTTTTGAAACAGTCTTTCTGTGGAATCTGCAAGTGGATATTTGGATAGCTTGGAGGATTTCGTTGGAAACAGGATTACGTATAAAAAGTAGACAGCCAGCATCCTCAGAAACTTCTTTGTGATGTGTGCATTCAAGTCACAGAGTTGAACATTCCCTTTCGTACAGCAGTTTTGAAACACTCTTCCTGTAGTATCTGGAAGTGAACATTAGGACAGCTTTCAGCTCTATGGTGAGAAAGGAAATATCTTCAAATAAAAACTAGACAGAGCATTCTCATAAACTTCTTTGTGATGTGTGAACTCAGCTAACCGAGGTGGATCTTTCTTTTGATAGAGCAGTTCTGAAAAACACTTTTTGTTGAATCTGCAAGTGGACATTTGGATAGATTTGAAGATTTCGTTGGGAACGGGAATATCTTCATATCAAATCTAGACAGAAGCATTCTCAGAAACGTCTTTGTGATGTTGGCATTCAACTCATAGAGTTGAACATTCCGTTTCAGAGAGCAGTTTTGAAGCACTCTTTTTGTAGTATGTGCAAGGGGATATTTTGAGCGCTCTGAGGCCTAAGGTGAAAAAGCAAATATCTTCCCATAACCACTAGACAGAAACATTCTCAGAAACTCCTTTATGACGTATGCACTCACCTAACAGAAAAGAACCTTCCTTTTGACAGAGCAGTTTTGAAACACTCTTTTTGTAGAATCTGCAAGTGGATATTTGGATAGCTGTGAAGATTTCGTTGGAAACGGGAATATCTTCCTATAAAATCTAGACAGAAGCATTCTCAGAAACTGCTCTGTGATGTCTGCATTCAAGTCACAGAGTTGAACATTGCCTTTCATAGAGCAGGTTTGAAACGCTCTTTTTGTAGTATATGGAAGTAGACGTTTCAGACGGTTTGAGGCCCATGGTGATAAAGGGAATATCTTCCCCTACAAGCTAGAAAGAAGCATTCTGTGAAACTTGTTTGTGATGTGTGTACTCAACTAACAGAGTTGAACCTTTCTTTTCACAGAGCAGTTTTGAAACACTCTTTTTGTAGAATCTGCGAGCGGATATTTGGATAGATTTCAGGATTTCGTTGGAAACGGGAATATCTTCATATAAAATGCTCGACAGAAGAATTCTCAGAAACTTCTTTGTGATATGTGCATTCAAGTCACAGAGTTGAATATTCCCTTTCACAGAGTAGGTTTGAAACACTCTTTTTGTAGTATCTGGAAGTGGACATTTGGAGCGCCTTGACGCCTACGGTGGAAAGGGAAATATCTTCCCATAAAAACTAGACAGAAGCAATCTCAGAATCTTCTTTGGGATATATGCACGCAGCTAACAGAGTTGAACCTTTCTGTTGACAGAGCAGTTTTGAAACAGTCTTTCTGTGGAATCTGCAAGTGGATATTTGGATAGCTTGGAGGATTTCGTTGGAAACGGGATTACGTATAAAAAGTAGACAGCAGCATCCTCAGAAACTTCTTTGTGATGTGTGCATTCAAGTCACAGAGTTGAACATTCCCTTTCGTACAGCAGTTTTGAAACACTTTTTCTGTAGCATCTGGAAGAGAACATTAGGACAGCTTTCAGGTCTAGGGTGAGAAAGGCAATATCTTCAAATAAAAACTAGACAGAAGCATTCTCATAAACTTGTTTGTGATGTGTGAACTCAGCTAACAGAGGTGGATCTTTCTTTTGATACAGCAGTTCTGAAAAACACTTTTCGTTGAATCTGCAAGTGGACATTTGGATAGATTTGAAGATTTCGTTGGAAACGGGAATATCTTCATATCAAATCTAGACAGAAGCATTCTCAGAAACGTCTTTGTGATGTTTGCATTCAACTCATAGAGTTGAACATTCCGTTTCAGAGATCAGCTTTGAAGCACTCTTTTTGTAGTATGTGCAAGTGGATATTTGGATCGCTCTGAGGCCTAAGGTGAAAAAGCAAATATCTTCCCATAACCACTAGACAGAAACATTCTCAGAAACTCCTTTATGACGTATGCACTCACCTAACAGAGAAGAACCTTCCTTTTGACAGAGCAGTTTTGATACACTCTTTTTGTAGAATCTGCAAGTGGATATTTGGATAGCTGTGAAGATTTCGTTGGAAACGGGAATATCTTCCTATAAAATCTAGACTGAAGCATTCTCAGAAACTGCTCTGCGATGTCTGCATTCAAGTCACTGAGTTGAACATTGCCTTTCATAGAGTAGGTTTGAAACGCTCTTTTTGTAGTATATGGAAGTAGACGTTTCGGACGGTTTGAGGCCCATGGTGATAAAGGGAATATCTTCCCCTACAAGCTAGAAAGAAGCATTCTGTGAAACTTGTTTGTGATGTGTGTACTCAACTAACAGAGTTGAACCTTTCTTTTTAAAGAGCAGTTTTGAAACACTCTTTTTGTAGAATCTGCGAGGGGATATTTGGATACATTTCAGGATTTCGTTGGAAACGGGAATATCTTCATATAAAATCTCGACAGAAGCATTCTCAGAAACTTCTTTGTGATATCTGCATTCAAGTCACAGAGTTGAATATTCCCTTTCACAGAGTAGGTTTGAAACACTCTTTTTGTAGTATCTGGAAGTGGACATTTGGAGCGCCTTGACGCCTACGGTGAAAAGGGAAATATCTTCTCATAAAAACTAGACAGAAGCAATCTCAGAATCTTCTTTGGGATATATGCACGCAGCTAACAGAGTTGAACCTTTCTATTGACAGAGCAGTTTTGAAACAGTCTTTCTGTGGAATCTGCAAGTGGATATTTGGATAGATTGGAGGATTTCGTTGGAAACGGGATTACGCATAAAAAGTAGACAGCAGCATCCTCAGAAACTTCTTTGTGATGTGTGCATTCAAGTCACAGAGTTGAACATTCCCTTTCGTACAGCAGTTTTGAAACACTCTTTCTGTAGTATCTGGAAGTGAACATTAAGACAGCTTTCAGCTCTATGGTGAGAAAGGAAATATCTTCAAATAAAAACTAGACAGAAGCATTCTCATAACCTTGTTTGTGATGTGTGAACTCAGCTAACAGAGGTGGATCTTTCTTTTGATAGAGCAGTTCTGAAAAACACTTTTTGTTGAATCTGCAAGTGGATATTTGGATAGATTTGAAGATTTCTTTGGAAACGGGAATATCTTCATATCAAATCTAGACAGAAGCATTCTCAGAAACGTCTTTGTGATGTTTGCATTCAACTCATAGAGTTGAACATTCCCTTTCAGAGAGCAGCTTTGAAGCACTCTTTTTGTAGTATGTGCAAGGGGATATTTTGAGCGCTGTGAGGCCTAAGGTGAAAAAGCAAATATCTTCTCATAACCACTAGACACAAACATTCTCAGAAACTCCTTTATGACGTATGCACTCACCTAACTGAGAAGAACCTTCCTTTTGACAGAGCAGTTTTGATACACTCTTTTTGTAGAATCTGCAAGTGGATATTTGGATAGCTGTGAAGATTTCGTTGAAAACGGGAATATCTTCCTATAAAATCTAGACAGAAGCATTCTCAGAAACTGCTCTGTGATGTCTGCATTCAAGTCACAGAGTTGAACATTGCCTTTCCTAGAGCAGGTTTGAAACGCTCTTTTTGTAGTATATGGAAGTTGACGTTTCGGACGGTTTGAGGCCCATGGTGATAAAGGGAATATCTTCCCCTACAAGCTAGAAAGAAGCATTGTGTGAAACTTGTTTGTGATGTGTGTACTCAACTAACAGAGTTGAACCTTTCTTTTCACAGAGCAGTTTTGAAACACTCTTTTTGTAGAATCTGCAAGGGGATATTTGGATAGATTTCAGGATTTCGTTGGAAACGGGAATATCTTCATATAAAATCTCGACAGAAGCATTCTCAGAAACTTCTTTGGAATATGTGTATTCAAGTCACAGAGTTGAATACTCCCTTTCACAGAGTAGGTTTGAAACACTCTTTTTGTAGTATCTGGAAGTGGACATTTGGAGCGCCTTGACGCCTACAGTGAAAAGGGAAATATCTTCCCATAAAAACTAGACAGAAGCAATCTCAGAATCTTCTTTGGGATATATGCACGCAGCTAACAGAGTTGAACCTTTCTATTGACAGAGCAGTTTTGAAACAGTCTTTCTGTGGAACCTGCAAGTGGATATTTGGATAGCTTGGAGGATTTCGTTGGAAACGGGATTACGTATAAAAAGTAGACAGCAGCATCCTCAGAAACTTCTTTGTGATGTGTGCTTTCAAGTCACAGTGTTGAACATTCCCTTTCGTACAGTAGTTTTGAAACACTCTTTCTGTAGTATCTGGAAGTGAACATTAGGACAGCTTGCAGGTCTATGGTGAGAAGGGAAATATCTTCAAATAAAAACTAGACAGAAGCATTCTCATAAACATGTTTGTGATATGTGAACTCAGCTAACAGAGGCGGATCTTTCTTTTGATAGAGCAGTTCGGAAAAACACTTTTTGTTGAATCTGCAAGTGGACATTTGGATAGATTTGAAGATTTCGTTGGAAACGGGAATATCTTCATATCAAATCTAGACAGAAGTATTCTCAGACACGTCTTTGTGATGTTTGCATTCAACTCATAGAGTTGAACATTCCCTTCCAGAGAGCAGCTTTGAAGCACTCTTTTTGTAGCATGTGCAAGTGGACATTTGGAGTGCCCTGAGGCCTACGGGGAAAAAGCAAATATCTTCCCGTAACCACTAGACAGAAACATTCTCAGAAACTCCTTTATGACGTATGCACTCACCTAACAGAGAAGAACCTTCCTTTTGACAGAGCAGTTTTGATACACTCTTTTTGTACAATCTGCAAGTGGATATTTGGATAGCTGTGAAGATTTCGTTGGAAACGGGAATATCTTCCTATAAAATCTACACAGAAGCATTCTCAGAAACTGCTCTGTGATGTCTGCATTCAAGTCACAGAGTTGAACATTGCCTTTCATAGAGCAGGTTTGAAACGCTCTTTTTGTAGTATATGGAAGTGGACTTATCGGACGGTTTGAGGCCCATGGTGATAAAGGGAATATCTTCCCCTGCAAGCTAGAAAGAAGCATTCTGTGAAACTTGTTTGTGATGTGTGTACTCAACTAACAGAGTTGAACCTTTCTTTTCACAGAGCAGTTTTGAAACACTCTTTTTGTAGAATCTGCGAGGGGAAATTTGGATACATTTCAGGATTTCGTTGGAAACGGGAATATCTTCATACAAAATCTCGACAGAAGCATTCTCAGAAACTTCTTTGTGATATGTGCATTCAAGTCACAGAGTTGAATATTCCCTTTCACAGAGTAGGTTTGAAACACTCTTTTTGTAGCATCTGGAAGTGGACATTTGGAGCGCCTTGACTCCTACGGTGAAAAGGGAAATATCTTCCCATAAAAACTAGACAGAAGCAATCTCAGAATCTTCTTTGGGATATATGCACGCAGCTAACAGAGTTGAACCTTTCTATTGACAGAGCAGTTTTGAAACAGTCTTTCTGTGGAATCTGCAAGTGGATATTTGGATAGCTTGGAGGGTTTCGTTGTAAACGGGATTACGTATAAAAAGTAGACAGCAGCATCCTCAGAAACTTCTTTGTGATGTGTGCATTCAAGTCACAGAGTTGAACATTCCCTTTCGTACAGCAGTTTGAAACACTTTCTGTAGTATCTGGAAGTGAACATTAGGACAGCTTTCAGGTCTATGGTGAGAAAGGAAATATCTTCAAATAAAAACTAGACAGAAGCATTCTCATAAACTTGTTTCTGATGTGTGAACTAAGCTAACAGAGGTGGATCTTTCTTTTGATAGAGCAGTTCTGAAAAACACTTTTTGTTGAATCTGCAAGTGGATATTTGGATAGATTTGAAGATTTCGTTGGAAACGGGAATATCTTCATATCAAATCTAGACAGAAGCATTCTCAGAAAAGTCTTTGTGATGTTTGCATTCAACTCATAGAGTTGAACATTCCCTTTCAGAGAGCAGCTTTGAAGCACTCTTTTTGTAGTATGTGCAAGTGGATATTTGGAGCGCTCTGAGGCCTATGGTGAAAAAGCAAATATCTTCCCATAACCACTAGACAGAAACATTCTCAGAAACTCCTTTATGACATATGCACTCACCTAACAGAGAAGAACCTTCCTTTTGACAGAGCAGTTTTGATACACTCTTTTTGTAGAATCTGCAAGTGGATATTTGGATAGCTGTGAAGATTTCGTTGGAAACGGGAATATCTTCCTATAAAATCTAGACAGAAGCATTCTCAGAAACTGCTCTGTGATGTCTGCATTCAAGTCACAGAGTTGAACATTGCCTTTCATAGAGCAGGTTGTAAATGCTCTTTTTGTAGTATATGGAAGTGGACATTTCGGACGGTTTGAGGCCCATGGTGATAAAGGGAATATCTTCCCCTACAAGCTAGAAAGAAGCATTCTGTGAAACTTGTTTGTGATGTGTGTACTCAACTAACAGAGTTGAACCTTTCTTTTCACAGAGCAGTTTTGAAACACTCTTTTTGTAGAATCTGCGAGGGGATATTTGGATAGATTTCAGGATTTCGTTGGAAACGGGAAAATATCTTCATATAAAATCTCGACAGAGAAGCATTCTCAGAAACTTCTTTGTGATATCTGCATTCAAGTCACAGAGTTGAATATTCCCTTTCACAGAGTAGGTTTGAAACACTCTTTTTGTAATATCTGGAAGTGGACATTTGGAGCGCCTTGACGTCTACGGTGAAAAGGGAAATATCTTCCCATAAAAACTAGACAGAAGCAATCTCAGAATCTTCTTTGGGATATATGCAGGCAGCTAACAGAGTTGAACCTTTCTATTGACAGAGCAGTTTTGAAACAGTCTTTCTGTGGAATCTGCAAGTGGATATTTGGATAGATTGGAGGATTTCGCTGGAAACGGGATTACGTATAAAAAGTAGACAGCAACATCCTCAGAAACTTCTTTGTGATGTGTGCATTCAACTCACAGAGTTGAACATTCCCTTTCGTACAGCAGTTTTGAAACACTCTTTCTGTAGTATCTGGAAGTGAACATTAGGACAGCTTTCAGCTCTATGGTGAGAAAGGAAATATCTTCAAATAAAAACTAGACAGATAAGCATTCTCATAAACTTGTTTGTGATGTGTGAACTCAGCTAACAGAGGTGGATCTTTCTTTTGATAGAGCAGTTCGGAAAAACACTTTTTGTTGAATCTCCAAGTGGACATTTGGATAGATTTGAAGATTTCGTTGGAAACGGGAATATCTTTATATCAAATCTAGACAGAAGCATTCTCGGAAACGTCTTTGTCATGTTTGCATTCACCTCATAGAGTTGAACATTCCGTTTAAGAGAGCAGCTTTGAAGCACTCTTTTTGTAGTATGTGCAAGGGGATATTTGGAGCGCTCTGAGGCCTAAGGTGAAAAAGCAAATATCTTCCCATAACCACTAGACAGAAACATTCTCAGAAACTCCTTTATGACGTATGTACTCACCTAACAGAGAAGAACCTTCCTTTTGACAGAGCAGTTTTGATACACTCTTTTTGTAGAATCTGCAAGTGGATATTTGGATAGCTGTGAAGATTTCGTTGGAAACGGGAATATCTTCCTATAAAATGTAGACAGACAAGCATTCTCAGAAACTGCTCTGTGATGTCTGCATTCAAGTCACAGAGTTGAACATTGCCTTTCATAGAGCAGGTTTGAAACTCTCTTTTTGTAGTATATGGAAGTAGACGTTTCGGACGGTTTGAGGCCCATGGTGATAAAGGGAATATCTTCCCCTACAAGCTAGAAAGAAGCATTGTGTGAAACTTGTTTGTGATGTGTGTACTCAACTAACAGAGTTGAACCTTTCTTTTTACAGAGCAGTTTTGAAACACTCTTTTTGTAGAATCTGCGAGGGGATATTTGGATACATTTCAGCATTTCGTTGGAAACGGGAATATATTCATATAAAATCTCGACAGAAGCATTCTCAGAAACTTCTTTGTGATATGTGCATTCAAGTCACAGAGCTGAATATTCCCTTTCACAGAGTAGGTTTGAAACACTCTTTTTGTAGTATCTGGAAGTGGACATTTGGAGCGCCTTGACACCTACGGTGAAAAGGGAAATATCTTCCCATAAAAACTAGACAGAAGCAATCTCAGAATCTTCTTTGGGATATATGCACGCAGCTAACAGAGTTGAACCTTTCTATTGACAGAGCAGTTTTGAAACAGTCTTTCTGTGGATTCTGCAAGTGGATATTTGGATAGGTTGGAGGATTTCGTTGGAAACGGGATTACGTATAAAAAGTAGACAGCAGCATCCTCAGAAACTTCTTTGTGATGTGTGCATTCAAGTCACAGAGTTCAACATTCCCTTTCGTACAGCAGTTTTGAAACACTCTTTCTGTAGTATCTGGAAGTGAACATTAGGACAGCTTTCAGGTCTATGGTGAGAAAGGAAATATTCTTCAAATAAAAACTAGACAGAAGCATTCTCATAAACTTGTTTGTGATGTGTGAACTCAGCTAACAGAGGTGGATCTTTCTTTTGATAGAGCAGTTCTGAAAAACACTTTCTGTTGAATCTGCAAGTGGACATTTGGATAGATTTGAAGATTTCGTTGGAAACGGGAAGATCTTCATATCAAATCTAGACAGAAAGCATTCTCAGAAACGTCTTTGTGATGTTTGCATTCAACTCATAGAGTTGAACATTCCCTTTCAGAGAGCAGCTTTGAAGCACTCTTTTTGTAGTATGTGCAAGTGGATATTTGGAGCGCTCTGAGGCCTACGGTGAAAAAGCAAATATCTTCCCATAACCACTAGACAGAAACATTCTCAGAAACTCCTTTATGACGTATGCACTCACCTAACAGAAAAGAACCTTCCTTTTGACAGAGCAGTTTTGATACACTCTTTTTGTAGAATCTGCAAGTGGATATTTGGATAGCTGTGAAGATTTCGTTGGAAACGGGAATATCTTCCTATAAAATTTAGACAGAAGCATTCTCAGAAACTGCTCTGTGATGTCTGCATTCAAGTCACAGAGTTGAACATTGCCTTTCATAGAGCACGTTTGAAACGCTCTTTTTGTAGTATATGGAAGTAGACTTTTCGGACGGTTTGAGGCCCATAGTGATAAAGGGAATATCTTCCCCTACAAGATAGAAAGAAGCACTCTGTGAAACTTGTTTGTGATGTGTGTATTCAACTAACAGAGTTGAACCTTTCTTTTTACAGAGCAGTTTTGAAACACTCTTTTTGTAGAATCTGCAAGGGGATATTTGGATAGATTTCAGGATTTCGTTGGAAACGGGAATATCTTCATATAAAATCTCGACAGAAGCATTCTCAGAAACTTCTTTGTAATATGTGCATTCAAGTCACAGAGTTGAATATTCCCTTTCACAGAGTAGGTTTGAAACACTCTTTTTGTAGTATCTGGAAGTGGACATTTGGAGCGCCTTGACACCTATGGTGAAAAGGGAAATATCTTCCCATAAAAAGTAGACAGAAGGAATCTCAGAATCTTCTTTGGGATATATGCACGCAGCTAACAGAGTTGAACCTTTCTATTGACAGAGCAGTTTTGAAACAGTCTTTCTGTGGAATCTGCAAGTGGATATTTGGATAGCTTGGAGGATTTCGTTGGAAACGGGATTACGTATCAAAAGTAGACAGCAGCATCCTCAGAAACTTCTTTGTGATGTGTGCATTCAAGTCACAGACTTGAACATTCCCTTTCGTACAGCAGTTTTGAAACACTCTTTCTGTAGTATCTGGAAGTGAACATTAGGACAGCTTTCAGCTCTATGGTGAGAAAGGAAATATCTTCAAATAAAAACTAGACAGAAGCATTCTCATAAACTTGTTTGTGATGTGTGAACTCAGCTAACAGAAGTGGATCTTTCTTTTGATAGAGCAGTTCTGAAAAACACTTTTTGTTGAATCTGCAAGTGGACATTTGGATAGATTTGAAGATTTCCTTGGAAACGGGAATATCTTCATATCAAATCTAGACAGAAGCATTCTCAGAAACGTCTTTGTGATGTTTGCATTCAACTCATAGAGTTGAACATTCCCTTTAAGAGAGCAGCTTTGAAGCACTCTTTTTGTAGCATGTGCAAGTGGACATTTGGAGCGCCCTGAGGCCTACGGGGAAAAAGAAAATATCTTCCCATAACCACTAGACAGAAACATTCTCAGAAACTGCTTTATGACGTATGCACTCACCTAACAGAGAAGAACCTTCCTTTTGACAGAGCAGTTTTGATACACTCTTTTTGTAGAATCTGCAAGTGGATATTTGGATAGCTGTGAAGATTTCGTTGGAAACGGGAATATCTTCTTATAAAATCTAGACAGAAGCATTCTCAGAAACAGCTCTGTGATGTCTACATTCAAGTCACAGAGTTGAACATTGCCTTTCATAGAGCAGGTTTGAAACGCTCTTTTTGTAGTATATGGAAGTGGACGTTTCGGACGGTTTGAGACCCATGGTGATAAAGGGAATATCTTCCCCTACAAGCTAGAAAGAAGCATTCTGTGAAACTTGTTTGTGATGTGTGTACTCAACTAACAGAGTTGAACCTTTCTTTTTACAGAGCAGTTTTGAAACACTCTTTTTGTAGAATCTGCGAGGGGATATTTGGATAGATTTCAGCATTTCGTTGGAAACGGGAATATCTTCATATAAAATCTCGACAGAAGCATTCTCAGAAACTTCTTTGTCATATCTGCCTTCAAGTGACAGAGTTGAATATTCCCTTTCACAGAGTAGGTTTGAAACACTCTTTTTGTAGTATCTGGAAGTGGACATTTGGAGTGCCTTGACGCCTACGGTGAAAAGGGAAATATCTTCCCATAAAAACTAGACAGAAGCAATCTCAGAATCTTCTTTGGGATATATGTACGCAGCTAATAGAGTTGAACCTTTCTATTGACAGAGCAGTTTTGAAACAGTCTTTCTGTGGAATCTGCAAGGGGATATTTGGATAGCTTGGAGGATTTCGTTGGAAACGGGATTACGTATAAAAAGTAGACAGCAGCATCCTCAGAAACATCCTTGTGATGTGTGCATTCAAGTCACAGAGTTGAACATTCCCTTTCGTACAGCAGTTTTGAAACACTCTTTCTGTAGTATCTGGAAGTGAACATTAGGACAGCTTTCAGGTCTATGGTGAGAAAGGAAATATCTTCAAATAAAAACTAGACAGAAGCATTCTCATAAACTTGTTTGTGATGTGTGAACTCAGCTAACAGAGGTAGATCTTTCTTTTGATAGAGCAGTTCTGAAAAACACTTTTTGTTGAATCTGCAAGTGGACATTTGGATAGATTTGAAGATTTCGTTGGAAACGGGAATATCTTCATATCAAATCTAGACAGAAGCATTCTCAGAAACGTCTTTGCGATGTTTGCATTCAACTCATAGAGTTGAACATTCCCTTTGAGAGAGCAGCTTTGAAGCACTCTTTTTGTAGCATGTGCAAGTGGACATTTGGAGCGCCCTGAGGCCGACGGGGAAAAAGCAAATATCTTCCCATAACCACTAGACAGAAACATTCTCAGAAAATCCTTTATGACCGTATGCACTCACCTAACAGAGAAGAACCTTCCTTTTGACAGAGCAGTTTTGATACACTCTTTTTGTAGAATCTGCAAGTGGATATTTGGATAGCTGTGAAGATTTCGTTTGAAACGGGAATATCTTCCTATAAGATCTAGACAGAAGCATTCTCAGAAACTGCTCTGTGATGTCTGCATTCAAGTCACAGAGTTGAACATTACCTTTCCTAGAGCAGGTTTGAAACGCTCTTTTTGTAGTATATGGAAGTGGACGTTTCGGACGGTTTGAGGACCATGGTGATAAAGGGAATATCTTCCCCTACAAGCTAGAAAGAAGCATTCTGTGAAACTTGTTTGTGATGTGTGTACTCAACTAACAGAGTTGAACCTTTCTTTTTACAGAGCAGTTTTGAAACCCTCTTTTTGTAGAATCTGCGAGGGGATATTTGGATACATTTCAGCATTTCGTTGGAAACGGGAATATCTTCATATAAAATCTCGACAGAAGCATTCTCAGAAACTTCTTGTGATATCTGCATTCAAGTCACAGAGTTGAATATTCCCTTTCACAGAGTAGGTTTGAAACACTCTTTTTGTAGTATCTGGAAGTGGACATTTGGAGCGCCTTGACCCCTACGATGAAAAGGGAAATATCTTCCCATAAAAACTAGACAGAAGCAATCTCAGAATCTTCTTTGGGATACATGCACGCAGCTAACAGAGTTGAACCTTTCTATTGACAGAGTAGTTTTGAAACAGTCTTTCTGTGGAATCTGCAAGTGGATATTTGGATAGCTTGGAGGATTTCGTTGGAAACGGGATTATGTATAAAAAGTAGACAGCAGCATCCTCAGAAACTTCTTTGTGATGTGTGCATTCAAGTCACAGAGTTGAACATTCCCTTTCGTACAACAGTTTTGAAACACTCTTTCTGTAGCATCTGGAAGTGAACATTAGGACAGCTTTCAGGTCTATGGTGAGAAAGGAAATATCTTCAAATAAAAACTAGACAGAAGCATTCTCATAAACTTGTTTGTGATGTGTGAACTCAGCTAACAGAGGTGGATCTTTCTTTTGATACAGCAGTTTTGAAAAACACTTTTTGTTGAATCCGCAAGTGGACATTTGGATAGATTTGAAGATTTCATTGGAAACGGGAATATCTTCATATCAAATCTAGACAGAAGCATTCTCAGAAACGTCTTTGTCCTGTTTGCATTCAACTCATAGAGTTGAACATTCCCTTTCAGAAAGCAGCTTTGAAACACTCTTTTTGTAGTATGTGCAAGTGGATATTTGGAGCGCTCTGAGGCCTACGGTGAAAAAGAAAATATCTTCCCATAACCACTAGACAGAAACATTCTCAGAAACTCCTTTATGACGTATGCACTCACCTAACAGAGAAGAACCTTCCTTTTGACAGAGCAGTTTTGATACACTCTTTTTGTAGAATCTGCAAGTGGATATTTGGATAGCTGTGAAGATTCCGTTGGAAACGGGAATATCTTCCTATAAAATCTAGACAGAAGCATTCTCAGAAACTGCTCTGTGATGTCTGTATTCAAGTCACAGAGTTGAACATTGCCTTTCATAGAGCAGGTTTGAAACGCTTTTTTGTAGTATATGGAAGTGGATGTTTCGGACGGTTGGAGGCCCATGGTGATAAAGGGAATATCTTCCCCTACAAGCTAGAAAGAAGCATTCTGTGAAACTTGTTTGTGATGCGTGTACTCAACTAACAGAGTTGAACCTTTCTTTTTACAGAGCAGTTTTGAAACACTCTTTTTGTAGAATCTGCGAGGGGATATTTGGATAGATTTCAGGATTTCGTTGGAAACGGGAATATCTTCATATAAAATCTCGACAGAAGCATTCTCAGAAACTTCTTTGTGATATCTGCATTCAAGTCACAGAGTTGAATATTCCCTTTCACAGAGTAGGTTTGAAACACTCTTTTTGTAGTATCTGGAAGTTGACATTTGGTGCGCCTTGACGCCTACGGTGAAAAGGGAAATATCTTCTCATAAAAAGTAGACAGAAGCAATCTCAGAATCTTCTTTGGGATATATGCACGCAGCTAACAGAGTTGAACCTTTCTATTGACAGAGCACTTTTGAAACAGTCTTTCTGTGGAATCTGCAAGTGGATATTTGGATAGCTTGGAGGATTTCGTTGGAAACGGGATTACGTATAAAAAGTAGACAGCAGCATCCTCAGAAACTTCTTTGTGATGTGTGCATTCAAGTCACAGAGTTGAACATTCCCTTTCGTATAGCAGTTTTGAAACACTCTTTCTGTAGTATCTGGAAGTGAACATTAGGACAGCTTTCAGGTCTATGGTGAGAAAGGAAATATCTTCAAATAAAAACTAGACAGAAGCATTCTCATAAACTTGTTTGTGATGTGTGAACTCAGCTAACGAACGTGGATCTTTCTTTTGATAGAGCAGTTCTGAAAAACACTTTTTGTTGAATCTGCAAGTGGACATTTGGATAGATTTGAAGATTTCGTTGGAAACGGGAATATCTTCATATCAAATCTAGACAGAAGCTTTCTCAGAAACGTCTTTGTGATGTTTGCATTCAACTCATAGAGTTGAACATTCCGTTTCAGAGAGCAGCTTTGAGGCACTCTTTTTGTAGTATGTGCAAGTGGATATTTGGAGCACTCTGAGGCCTACGGTGAAAAAGCAAATATCTTCCCATAACCACTAGACAGAAACATTCTCAGAAACTCCTTTATGACGTATGCACTCACCTAACAGAGAAGAACCTTCCTTTTGACAGAGCAGTTTTGATACACTCTTTTTGTAGAATCTGCAAGTGGATATTTGGATAGCTGTGAAGATTTCGTTGGAAACGGGAATATCTTGCCTATAAAATCTAGACAGAAGCATTCTCAGAAACTGCTATCTGATGTCTGCATTCAAGTCACAGAGTTGAACATTGCCTTTCCTAGAGCAGGTTTGAAACGCTCTTTTTGTAGTATATGGAAGTGGACGTTTCGGACGGTTTGAGGCCCATGGTGATAAAGGGAATATCTTCCCCTACAAGCTAGAAAGAAGCATTCTGTGAAACTTGTTTGTGATGTGTGTACTCAACTAACAGAGTTGAACCTTTCTTTTCACAGAGCAGTTTTGAAACACTCTTTTTGTAGAATCTGCGAGGGGATATTTGGATAGATTTCAGGATTTCGTTGGAAACGTGAATATCTTCATATAAAATCTCGACAGAAGCATTCTCAGAAACTTCTTTGTGATATGTGCATTCAAGTCACAGAGTTGAATATTCCCTTTCACAGAGTAGGTTTGAAACACTCTTTTTGTAGTATCTGGAAGTGGACATTTGGAGCGCCTTGACACCTACGGTGAAAAGGGAAATATCTTCCCATCAAAACTAGACAGAAGCAATCTCAGAATCTTCTTTGGGATATATGCACGCAGCTACCAGAGTTGAACCTTTCTATTGACAGAGCAGTTTTGAAACAGTCTTTCTGTGGAATCTGCAAGTGGATATTTGGATAGCTTGGAGGATTTCGTTGGAAACGGGATTACGTATAAAAAGTAGACAGCAGCATCCTCAGAAACTTCTTTGTGATGTGTGCATCCAAGTCACAGAGTTGAACATTCCCTTTCGTACAGCAGTTTTGAAACACTCTTTCTGTAGTATCTGGAAGTGAACATTAGGACAGCTTTCAGCTCTATGGTGAGAAAGGAAATATCTTCAAATAAAAACTAGACAGAAGCATTCTGATAAACTTGTTTGTGAAGTGTGATCTCAGCTAACAGAGGTGGATCTTTCTTTTGATAGAGCAGTTCTGAAAAACACTTTGTATGAATCTGCAAGTGGACATTTGGATAGATTTCAAGATTTCGTTGGAAACGGGAATATCTTCATATCAAATCTAGACAGAAGCATTCTCAGAAACGTCTTTGTGATGTTTGCATTCAACTCATAGAGTTGAACATTCCCTTTCAGAGAGCAGCTTTGAAGCACTCTTTTTGTAGTATGTGCAAGTGCATATTTGGAGCGCTCTGAGGCCTACGGTGAAAAAGCAAATATCTTCCCATAACCACTAGACAGAAACATTCTCAGAAACTCCTTTATGATGTATGCACTCACCTAACAGAGAAGAACCTTCCTTTTGACAGAGCAGTTTTGATACACTCTTTTTGTAGAATCTGCAAGTGGATATTTGGATAGCTGTGAAGATTTCGTTGGAAACGGGAATATCTTCATATAAAATCTAGACAGAAGCATTCTCAGAAACTGCTCTGTGAAGTCTGCATTCAAGTCACAGAGTTGAACATTGCCTTTCATAGAGCAGGTTTGAAACGCTCTTTTTGTAGTATATGGAAGTGGACGTTTCGGACGGTTTGAGGCCCATGGTGATAAAGGGAATATCTTCCCCTACAAGCTAGAAAGAAGCATTCTGTGAAACTTGTTTGTGATGTGTGTCCTCAACTAACAGAGTTGAACCTTTCTTTTTACAGAGCAGTTTTGAAACACTCTTTTTGTAGAATCTGCGAGGAGATATTTGGATAGATTTCAGGATTTTGTTGGAAACGGGAATATCTTCATATAAAATCGCGACAGAGGCATTCTCAGAAACTTCATTGTGATATCTGCATTCAAGTCACAGAGTTGAATATTCCCTTTCACAGAGTAGGTTTGAAACACTCTTTTTGTAGTATCTGTAAGTGGACATTTGGAGTGCCTTGACACCTACGGTGAAAAGGGAAATATCTTCCCCTAAAAACTAGACAGAAGCAATCTCAGAATCTTCTTTGGGATATATGCATGCAGCTAACAGAGTTGAACCTTTCTATTGACAGAGCAGTTTTGAAACAGTCTTTCTGTGGAATCTGCAAGTGGATATTTGGATAGCTTGGAGGATTTCATTGGAAACGGGATTACGTATAAAAAGTAGACAGCAGCATCCTCAGAAACTTCTTTGTGATGTGTGCATTCAAGTCACAGAGTTGAACATTCCCTTTCGTACAGCAGTTTTGAAACACTCTTTCTGTAGTATCTGGAAGTGAACATTAGGACAGCTTTCAGGTCTATGGTGAGGAAGGAAATATCTTCAAATAAAAACTAGACAGAAGCATTCTCATAAACTTGTTTTGATGTGTGAACTCAGCTAACAGAGGTGGATCTTTCTTTTGATACAACACTTTTGAAAAACACTTTTTGTTGAATCTGCAAGTGGACATTTGGATAGATTTGAAGATTTCTTTGGAAACGGGAATATCTTCATATCAAATCTAGACAGAAGCATTCTCAGAAACGTCTTTGTGATGCTTGCATTCAACTCATAGAGTTGAACATTCCCTTTCAGAGAGCAGCTTTGAAGCACTCTTTTTGTAGTATGTGCAAGTGGAGATTTGGAGCGCTTTGAGGCCTACGGGGAAAAAGCAAATATCTTCCCATAACCACTAGACAGAAACATTCTCAGAAACTCCTTTATGACGTATGCACTCACCTAACAGAAAAGAACCTTCCTTTTGACAGAGCAGTTTTGATACACGCTTTTTGTAGAATCTGCAAGTGGATATTTGTATAGCTGTGAAGATTTCGTTGGAAACGGGAATATCTTCCTATAAAATCTAGACAGAAGCATTCTCAGAAACTGCTCTGTGATGTCTGCATTCAAGTCACACAGTTGAACATTGCCTTTCATAGAGCAGGTTTGAAACGCTCTTTTTGTAGTATATGGAAGTAGACGTTTCGGACGGTTTGAGGCCCATGGTGATAAAGGGAATATCTTCCCCTACAAGCTAGAAAGAAGCATTCTGTGAATCTTGTTTGTGATGTGTGTACTCAACTAACAGAGTTGAACCTTTCTTTTTATAGAGCAGTTTTGAAACACTCTTTTTGTAGAATCTTCGAGGGGATATTTGGATAGATTTCAGGATTTCGTTGGAAACGGGAATATCTTCATATAAAATCTCGACAGAAGCATTCTCAGAAACTTCTTTGTGATATCTGCATTCAAGTCACAGAGTTGAATATTCCCTTTCACAGAGTAGGTTTGAAACACTCTTTTTGAAGTATCTGGAAGTGTACATTTGGAACGCCTTGACGCCTACGGTGAAAAGGAAAATATCTTCCCATAAAAACTAGACAGAAGCAATCTCAGAATCTTCTTTGGGATATATGCACGCAGCTAACAGAGTTGAACCTTTCTATTGACAGAGCTGTTTTGAAACAGTCTTTCTGTGGAATCTGCAAGTGGATATTTGGATAGCTTGGAGGATTTCGTTGGAAACGGGATTACGTATAAAAAGTAGACAGCAGCATCCTCAGAAACTTCTTTGTGATGTGTGCATTCAAGTCACAGAGTTGAACATTCCCTTTCGTACAGCAGTTTTGAAACACTCTTTCTGTAGTATCTGGAAGTGAACATTAGGACAGCTTTCAGGTCTATTTTGAGAAAGGAAATATCTTCAAATAAAAACTAGACAGAAGCATTCTCATAAACTTGTTTGTGATGTGTGAACCCAGCTAACAGAGGTGGATCTTTCTTTTGATAGAGCAGTTCTGAAAAACACTTTTTGTTGAATCTGCAAGTGGACATTTGGATAGATTTGATGATTTCGTTGGAAACGGGAATATCTTCATATCAAATCTAGACAGAAGGATTCTCAGAAACGTCTTTGTGATGTTTGCATTCAACTCATAGAGTTGAACATTCCGTTTCAGAGAGCAGCTTTGAAGCACTCTTTTTGTAGTATGTGCAAGTGGATATTTGGAGCGCTCTGAGGCCTAAGGTGAAAAAGCAAATATCTTCCCATAACCACTAGACAGAAACATTCTCAGAAACTCCTTTATGACGTATGTACTCATCTAACAGAGAAGAACCTTCCTTTTGACAGAGCAGTTTTGATACACTCTTTTTGTAGAATCTGCAAGTGGATATTTGGATAGCTGTGAAGATTTCGTTGGAAACGGGAATATCTTCCTATAAAATCTAGACAGAAGCATTCTCAGAAACTGCTCTGTGATGTCTGCATTCAAGTCACAGAGTTGAACATTGCCTTTCCTAGAGCAGTTTAGAAACGCTCTTTTTGTAGTATATGGAAGTGGACGTTTCGGACGGTTTGAGGCCCATGGTGATAAAGGGAATATCTTCCCCTACAAGCTAGAAAGAAGCATTCTGTGAAACTTGTTTGTGATGTGTGTACTCAACTAATAGAGTTGAAACTTTCTTTTTACAGAGCAGTTTTGAAACACTCTTTTTGTAGAATCTGCGAGGGGATATTTGGATAGATTTCTGGATTTCGTTGGAAAGGGGAATATCATCATATAAAATCTCGACAGAAGCATTCTCAGAAACTTCTTTGTGATATGTGCATTCAAGTCACAGAGTTGAATATTCCCTTTCACAGAGTAGGTTTGAAACACTCTTTTTGTAGTATCTGGAAGTGGACATTTGGAGCGCCTTGACGCCTACGGTGAAAAGGGAAAGATCTTCCCATAAAAACTAGACAGAAGCAATCTCAGAATCTTCTTTGGGATATATGCACGCAGCTAACAGAGTTGAACCTTTCTATTGACAGAGCAGTTTTGAAACAGTCTTTCTGTGGAATCTGGAAGTGGATATATGGATAGCTTGGAGGATTTCGTTGGAAACGGGATTACGTATAAAAAGTAGACAGCAGCATCCTCAGAAACTTCTTTGTGATGTGTGCATTCAAGTCACAGAGTTGAACATTCCCTTTCGTACAGCAGTTTTGAAACACTCTTTCTGTAGTATCTGGAAGTGAACATTAGGACAGCTTTCAGGTCTATGGTGAGAAAGGAAATATCTTTAAATAAAAACTAGACAGAAGCATTCTCATAAACTTGTTTGTGATGTGTGAACTCAGCTAACAGAGGTGGATCTTTCTTTTGATACAGCAGTTTTGAAAAACACTTTTTGTTGAATTTGCAAGTGGACATTTGGATAGATATGAAGATTTCGTTGGAAACGGGAATATCTTCATATCAAATCTAGACAGAAGCATTCTCAGAAACGTCTTTGTCATGTTTGCATTCAACTCATAGAGTTGAACATTCCCTTTCAGAGAGCTGCTTTGAAACACTCTTTTTGAAGTATGTGCAAGTGGATATTTGGAGCGCTCTGAGGCCTACGGTGAAAAAGCAAATATCTTCCCATAACCACTAGACAGAAACATTCTCAGGAACTCCTTTATGACGTATGCACTCACCTAACAGAGAAGAACCTTCCTTTTGACAGAGCAGTTTTGATACACTCTTTTTGTAGAATCTGCAAGTGGATATTTGGATAGCTGTGAAGATTTCGTTGGAAACGGGAATATCTTCCTATAAAATCTAGACAGAAGCATTCTCAGAAACTGCTCTGTGATGTCTGCATTCAAGTCACAGAGTTGAACATTGCCTTTCATAGAGCAGGTTTGAAACGCTCTTTTTGTAGTATATGGAAGTGGACGTTTCGGACGGTTTGAGGCCCATGGTGATAAAGGGAATATCTTCCCCTACAAGGTAGAAAGAAGCATTCTGTGAAACTTGTTTGTGATGTGTGTACTCAACTAACAGAGTTGAACCTTTCTTTTTACAGAGCAGTTTGGAAACACTCTTTTTGTAGAATCTGCGAGGGGATATTTGGATAGATTTCAGGATTTCGTTGGAAACGGGAATATCTTCATAAAAAATCTCGACAGAAGCACTCTCAGAAGCTTCTTTGTGATATGTGCATTCAAGTCACAGAGTTGAATATTCCCTTTCACAGAGTAGGTTTGAAACACTCTTTTTCTAGTATCTGGAAGTGGACATTTGGAGCGCCTTGACACCTACGGTGAAAAGGGAAATATCTTCCCCTAAAAACTAGACAGAAGCAATCTCAGAATTTTCTTTGGGATATATGCACACAGCTAACAGAGTTGAACTTTTCTATTGACAGAGCAGTTTTGAAACAGTCTTTCTGTGGAATCTGCAAGTGGATATTTGGATAGCTTGGAGGATTTCGTTGGAAACGGGATTATGTATAAAAAGTAGACAGCAGCATCCTCAGAAACTTCTTTGTGATGTATGCATTCAAGTCCCAGAGTTGAACATTCCCTTTCGTACAGCAGTTTTGAAACACTCTTTCTGTAGTATCTGGAAGTGAACATTAGGACAGATTTCAGGTCTATGGTGAGAAAGGAAATATCTTCAAATAAAAACTAGACAGAAGCATTCTCATAAACTTGTTTGTGATGTGTGAACTCAGCTAAAAGAGGTGGATCTTTCTTTTGATAGAGCAGTTCTGAAAAACACTTTTTGTTGAATCTGCAAGTGGACATTTGGATGGATTTGAAGATTTCTTTGGAAACGGGAATATCTTCATATCAAATCTAGACAGAAGCATTCTCAGAAACGTCTTTGTGATGTTTGCATTCAACTCATAGAGTTGAACATTCCCTTTCAGAGAGCAGCTTTGAAGCACTCTTTTTGTAGTATGTGCAAGGGGATATTTGGAGCTCTCTGAGGCCTAAGGTGAAAAAGCAAATATCTTCCCATAACCACTAGACAGAAACATTCTCAGAAACTCCTTTATGACGTATGCACTCACCTAACAGAGAAGAACCTTCCTTTTGACAGAGCAGTTTTGATACACTCTTTTTGGAGAATCTGCAAGTGGATATTTGGATAGCTGTGAAGATTTCGTTGGAAACGGGAATATCTTCCTATAAAATCTAGACAGAAGCATTCTCAGAAACTGCTCTGTGATGTCTGCATTCAAGTCACAGAGTTGAACATTGCCTTTCATAGAGCAGGTTTGAAATGCTCTTTTTGTAGTATATGGAAGTGGATGTTTCGGACGGTTTGAGGCCCATCGTGATAAAGGGAATATCTTCCCCTACAAGCTAGAAAGAAGCATTCTGTGAAACTTGTTTGTGATGTGTGTACTCAACTAACAGAGTTGAACCTTTCTTTTTACAGAGCAGTTTTGAAACACTCTTTTTGTAGAATCTGCGAGGGGATATTTGGATACATTTCAGCATTTCGTTGGAAACGAGAATATCTTCATATAAAATCTCGACAGAAGCATTCTCAGAAACTTCTTTGTGATATGTGCATTCAAGTCACATAGTTGAATATTCCCTTTCACAGAGTAGGTTTGAAACACTCTTTTTGTAGTATCTGGAAGTGGACATTTGGAGCGCCTTGACACCTACGGTGAAAAGGGAAGTATCTTCCCATCAAAACTAGACAGAAGCAATCTCAGAATTTTCTTTGGGATATATGCACACAGCTAACAGAGTTGAACTTTTCTATTGACATAGCAGTTTTGAAACAGTCTTTCTGTGGAATCTGCAAGTGGATATTTGGATAGCTTGGAGGATTTCGTTGGAAACGGGATTACGTATAAAAATTAGACAGCAGCATCCTCAGAAACTTCTTTGTGATGTGTGCATTCAAGTCACAGAGTTGAACATTCCCTTTCGTACAGCAGTTTTGAAACACTCTTTCTGTAGTAACTGGAAGTGAACATTAGGACAGCTTTCAGGTCTATGGAGAGAAAGGAAATATCTTCAAATAAAAACTAGACGGAAGCATTCTCATAAACTTGTTTGTGATGTGTGAACTCTGCTAACAGAGGTGGATCTTTCTTTTGATAGAGCAGTTCTGAAAAACACTTTTTGTTGAATCTGCAAGTGGACATTTGGATAGATTTGAAGATTTCGTTGGAAACGGGAATATCTTCATATCAAATCTAGACAGAAGCATTCTCAGAAACGTCTTTGTGATATTTGCATTCAACTCATAGAGTTGAACATTCCCTTTCAGAGAGCAGCTTTGAAGCACTCTTTTTGTAGTATGTGCAAGTGGATATTTGGATCGCTCTGAGGCCTAAGGTGAAAAAGCAAATATCTTCCCATAACCACTAGACAGAAACATTCTCAGAAACTTCTTTATGACGTATGTACTCAACTAGCAGAGAAGAACTTTCCTTTTGACAGAGCATTTTTGATACACTCTTTTTGTAGTATCTGCAAGTGAATATTTGGATAGCTGTGAAGATTTCGTTGGAAACAGGAATATCTTCATATGAAATCTAGACAGAAGCATTCTCAGAAACTGCTCTGTGATGTCTGCATTCAAGTCACAGAGTTGAACACTGCCTTTCCTAGAGCAGGTTTGAAACGCTCTTTTTGTAGTATATGGAAGTGGACGTTTCGGACGGTTTGAGGCCCATGGTGATAAAGGGAATATCTTCACCTACAAGCTAGAAAGAAGCATTCTGTGAAACTTGTTTGTGATGTGTGTACTCAACTAACAGACTTGAACCTTTCTTTTTACAGAGCAGTTTTGAAACACTCTTTTTGTAGAATCTGCGAGGGGATATTTGGATAGATTTCAGGATTTCGTTGGAAACGGGAATATCTTCATATAAAATCTCGACAGAAGCATTCTCAGAAACTTCTTTGTGATATGTGCATTCAAGTCACAGAGTTGAATATTCCCTTTCACAGAGTAGGTTTGAAACACTCTTTTTGTAGTATCTGGAAGTGGACATTCGGAGCGCCTTGACGCCTACGGTGAAAAGGGAAATATCTTCCCATAAAAACTAGACAGAAGCAATCTCAGAATCTTCTTTGGGATATATGCACGCAGCTAACAGAGTTGAACCTTTCTATTGACAGAGCAGTTTTGAAACATTCTTTCTGTGGAATCTGCAAGTGGATATTTGGATAGCTTGGAGGATTTCGTTGGAAACGGGATTACGTATAAAAAGTAGACAGCAGCATCCTCAGAAACTTCTTTGTGATATGTGCATTCAAGTCACAGAGTTGAACATTCCCTTTCATACAGCAGTTTTGAAACACTCTTTCTGTAGTATCTGGAAGTGAACTTTAAGAGAGCTTTCAGGTATATTGTGAGAAAGGATATATCTTCAAATAAAAGCTAGACAGAAGCATTCTCATAAACTTATTTGTGATGTGTGAACTCAGCTAACAGAGGTGGATCTTTCTTTTGATAGAGCAGTTCTGAAAAACACTTTTTGTTGAATCTGCAAGTGGACATTTGGATAGATTTGAAGATTTCGTTGGAAACGGGAATATCTTCATATCAAATCTAGACAGAAGCATTCTCAGAAACGTCTTTGTGATGTTTGCATTCAACTCATAGAGTTGAACATTCCCTTTCAGAGAGCAGCTTTGAAGCACTCTTTTTGTAGCATGTGCAAGTGGATATTTGGAGCCCTCTGAGGCCTACGGTGAAAAAGCAAATATCTTCCCATAACCACTAGACAGAAACATTCTCAGAAACTCCTTTATGACGTATGCACTCACCTAACAGAGAAGAACCTTCCTTTTGACAGAGCAGTTTTGATACACTCTTTTTGTAGAATCTGCAAGTGGATATTTGGATAGCTGTGAAGATTTCGTTGGAAACCGGAATATCTTCCTATAAAATCTAGACAGAAGGATTCTCAGAAACTGCTCTGTGATGTCTGCATTCAAGTCACAGAGTTGAAAATTGCCTTTCATAGAGCATGTTTGAAAGGCTCTTTTTGTAGTATATGGAAGTGGACGTTTCGGACGGTTTGAGGCCCATGGTGATAAAGGGAATATCTTCCCCTACAAGCTAGAAAGAAGCATTCTGTGAAACTTGTTTGTGATGTGTGTACTCAACTAACAGAGTTGAACCTTTCTTTTCACAGAGCAGTTTTGAAACACTCTTTTTGTAGAATCTACGAGGGGATATTTGGATAGATTTCAGCATTTCGTTGGAAACGGGAATATCTTCATATAAAATCTCGACAGAAGCATTCTCAGAAACTTCTTTGTGATATGTGCATTCAAGTCACAGAGTTGAATATTCCCTTTCACAGAGTAGGTTTGAAACACTCTTTTTGTAGTATCTGTAAGTGGACATTTGGAGCGCCTTGACACCTACGGTGAAAAGGGAAATATCTTCCCATAAAAACTAGACAGAAGCAATCTCAGAATCTTCTTTGGGATATATGCACGCAGCTAACAGAGTTGAACCTTTCTATTGACAGAGCAGTTTTGAAACAGTCTTTCTGTGGAATCTGCAAGTGCATATTTGGATAGCTTGGAGGATTTCGTTGGAAACGGGATTACGTATAAAAAGTAGACAGCAGCCTCCTCAGAAACTTCTTTGTGATGTGTGCATTCAAGTCACAGAGTTGAACATTCCCTTTCGTACAGCAGTTTTGAAACACTCTTTCTGTAGTATCTGGAAGTGAACATTAGGACAGCTTTCAGGTCTATGGTGAGAAAGGCAATATCTTCAAATAAAAACTAGACAGAAGCATTCTCATAAAATAGTTTGTGATATGTGAACTCAGCTAACAGACGTGGATCTTTCTTTTGATACAGCAGTTTTGAAAAACACTTTTTGTTGAATCTGCAAGTGGACATTTGGATAGATTTGAAGATTTCATTGGAAACGGGAATATCTTCATATCAAATCTAGATAGAAAGCATTCTCAGAAACGTCTTTGTGATGTTTGCATTCAACTCATAGAGTTGAACATTCCCTTTCAGAGAGCAGCTTTGAAGCACTCTTTTTGTAGTATGTGCAAGTGGATATTTGGAGCGCTCTGAGGCCTACGGTGAAAAAGCAAATATCTTCCCATAACCACTAGGCAGAACTTTCTCAGAAACTCCTTTATGACGTATGTACTCACCTAACAGAGAAGAACCTTCCTTTTGACAGAGCAGTTTTGATACACTCTTTTTGTAGAATCTGCAAGTGGATATTTGGATACCTGTGAAGATTTCGTTGGAAACGGGAATATCTTCCTATAAAATCTAGACAGAAGCATTCTCAGAAACTGCTCTGTGATGTCTGCATTCAAGTCACAGAGTTGAACATTGCCTTTCATAGAGCAGGTTTGAAACACTCTTTTTGTAGTATATGGAAGTGGACGTTTCGGACGGTTTGAGGCCCATGGTGATGAAGGGAATATCTTCCCCTACAAGCTAGAAAGAAGCATTCTGTGAAACTTGTTTGTGATGTGTGTACTCAACTAACAGAGTTGAACCTTTCTTTTTACAGAGCAGTTTTGAAACACTCTTTTTGTAGAATCTGCGAGGGGATATTTGGATAGATTTCAGGATTTCGTAGGAAACGGGAATATCTTCATAGAAAATCTCGACAGAAGCATTCTCAGAAAGTACTTTGTGATATCTGCATTCAAGTCACAGAGTTGAATATTCCCTTTCACAGAGTAGGTTTGAAACACTCTTTTTGTAGTATCTGGAAGTGGTCATTTGGAGCGCCTTGACGTCTACGGTGAAAAGGGAAATATCTTCCCATAAAAACTAGACAGCAGCAATCTGAGAATCTTCTTTGGGATACATGCACGCAGCTAACAGAGTTGAACCTTTCTATTGACAGAGCAGTTTTGAAAAAGTCTTTCTGTGGAATCTGCAAGTGGATATTTGGATAGATTGGAGGATTTCGTTGGAAACGGGATTACGTATAAAAAGTAGACAGCAGCATCCTCAGAAACTTCTTTGTGATGTGTGCATTCAAGTCACAGGGTTGAACATTCCCTTTCGTACAGCAGTTTTGAAACACTCTTTCTGTAGTATCTGGAAGTGAACATTAGGACAGCTTTCAGGTCTATGGTGAGAAAGGAAATATCTTCAAATAAAAACTAGACAGAAGCATTCTCATAAACTTGTTTGTGATGTGTGAACTCAGCTAACAGAGGTGGATCTTTCTTTTGATAGAGCAGTTCTGAAAAACACTTTTTGTTGAATCTGCAAGTGGACATTTGGATAGATTTGAAGATTTCGTAGGAAACGGGAATATCTTCATATCAAATCTAGACAGAAGCATTCTCAGAAACGTCTTTGCGATGTTTGCATTCAACTCATAGAGTTGAACATTCCGTTTCAGAGAGCAGCTTTGAGGCACTCTTTTTGTAGTATGTGCAAGTGGATATTTGGAGCGCTCTGAGGCCTTCGGTGAAAAAGCAAATATCTTCCCATAACCACTAGACGGAAACATTCTCAGAAACTCCTTTATGACGTATGCACTCACCTAACAGAGAAGAACCTTCCTTTTGACAGAGCAGTTTTGATACACTCTTTTTGTAGAATCTGCAAGTGGATCTTTGGATAGCTGTGAAGATTTCGTTGGAAACGGGAATATCTTCCTATAAAATCTAGACAGAAGCATTCTCAGAAACTGCTCTGTTCTGTCTGCATTCAAGTCACAGAGTTGAACATTGCCTTTCATAGAGCAGGTTTGAAACGCTCTTTTTGTAGTATATGGAAGTGGACGTTTCGGACGGTTTGAGGCCCATGGTGATAAAGGGAATATCTTCCCCTACAAGCTAGAAAGAAGCATTCTGTGAAACTTGTTTGTGATGTGTGTACTCAACTAACAGAGTTGAACCTTTCTTTTTACAGAGCAGTTTTGAAACACTCTTTTTGTAGAATCTGCAAGGGGATATTTGAATAGATTTCAGGATTTCGTTGGAAAGGGGAATATCTTCATATAAAATCTCGACAGAAGCGTTCTCAGAAACTTCTTTGTGATATGTGCATTCAAGTCAAAGAGTTGAATATTCGTTTTAACAGAGTCGGTTTGAAACACTCTTTTTGTAGTATCTGGAAGTGGACATTTGGAGCGCCTTGACGCCTACGGTGAAAAGGGAAATATCTTCCAATAAAAACTAGACAGAAGCAATCTCAGAATCTTCTTTGGGATATATGCACGCAGCTAACAGAGTTGAACCTTTCTATTGACAGAGCAGTTTTGAAACAGTCTTTCTGTGGAATCTGCAAGTGGACATTTGGATAGCTTGGAGAATTTCGTTGGAAACGGGATTACGTATAAAAAGTAGACAGCAGCATCCTCAGAAACTTCTTTGTGATGTGTGCATTCAAGTCACAGAGTTGAACATTCCCTTTCGTACAGCAGTTTTGAAACACTCTTTCTGTAGTATCTGGAAGTGAACATTAAGACAGCATTCAGGTCTATGGTGAGAAAGGAAATATCTTCAAATAAAAACTAGACAGAAGCATTCTCAAGAACTTGTTTGTGATGTGTGAACTCAGCTAACAGAGGTGGATGTTTCTTTTGATAGAGCAGTTCTGAAAAACACGTTTTGTTGAATCTGCAAGTGGACATTTGGATAGATATGAAGATTTCGTTGGAAACGGGAATATCTTCATATCAAATCTAGACAGAAGCATTCTCGGAAACGTCTTTGTCACGTTTGCATTCAACTCATAGAGTTGAACATTCCGTTTCAGAGAGCAGCTTTGAAGCACTCTTTTTGTAGTATGTGCAAGGGGATATTTTGAGCGCTGTGAGGCCTACGGTGAAAAAGCAAATATCTTCCCATAACCACTAGACAGAAACATTCTCAGAAACTCCTTTATGACGTATGCACTCACCTAACAGAAAAGAACCTTCCTTCTGACAGAGCAGTTTTGATACACTCTTTTTGTAGAATCTGCAAGTGGATATTTGGATAGCTGTGAAGATTTCGTTGGAAACGGGAATATCTTCCTATAAAATCTAGACAGAAGCATTCTCTGAAACTGCTCTGGGATGTCTGCATTCAAGTCACGGAGTTGAACATTGCCTTTCCTAGAGCAGGTTTGAAACGCTCTTTTTGTAGTATATGGAAGTGGACGTTTCGGACTGTTTGAGGCCCATGGTGATAAAGGGAATATCTTCCCCTACAAGCTAGAAAGAAGCATTGTGTGAAACTTGTTTGTGATGTGTGTACTCAACTAACAGAGTTGAACCTTTCTTTTTACAGAGCAGTTTTGAAACACTCTTTTTGTAGAATCTGCAAGGGGATATTTGGATAGATTTCAGGATTTCATTGGAAACGGGAATATCTTCATATAAAATCTCGACAGAAGCATTCTCAGAAACTTCTTTGTGATATCTGCATTCAAGTCACAGAGTTGAATATTCCCTTTCACAGAGTAGGTTTCAAACACTCTTTTTATAGTATCTGGAAGTGGACATTTGGAGCGCCGTGACGCCTACGGTGAAAAGGGAAATATCTTCCCATAAAAACTAGACAGAAGCAATCTCAGAATCTTCTTTGGGATATATGCACGCAGCTAACAGAGTTGTACCTTTCTATTGACAGAGCACTTTTGAAACAGTCTTTCTGTGGAATCTGCAAGTGGATATTTGGATAGCTTGGAGGATTTCATTGGAAACGGGATTACATATAAAAAGTAGACAGCAGCATCCTCAGAAACTTCTTTGTGATGTGTGCATTCAAGTCACAGAGTTGAACATTCCCTTTCATACAGCAGTTTTGAAACACTCTTTCTGTAGTAACTGGAAGTGAACATTAGGACAGCTTTCAGGTCTATGGTGAGAAAGGAAATATCTTCAAATAAAAACTAGACAGAAGCATTCTCATAAACTTGTTCGTGATGTGTGAACTCAGCTAACACACGTGGATCTTTCTTTTGATAGAGCAGTTCTGAAAAACAGTTTTTGTTGAATCTGCAAGAGGACATTTGGATAGATTTGAAGATTTCGTTGGAAACGGGAATATCTTCATATCAAATCTAGACAGAAGCATTCCCAGAAACGTCTTTGTGATGTTTGCATTCAACTCATAGAGTTGAACATTCCGTTTCAGAGAGCATCTTTGAAGCACTCTTTTTGTAGTATGTGCAAGTGGATATTTGGAGCGCTCTGAGGCCTACGGGGAAAAAGCAAATATCTTCCCATAACCACTAGACTGAAACATTCCCAGAAACTCCTTTATGACGTATGCACTCACCTAACAGAAAAGAACCTTCCTTTTGACAGAGCAGTTTTGATACACTCTTTTTGTAGAATCTGCAAGTGGATATTTGGATAGCTGTGAAGATTTCGTTGGAAACGGGAATATCTTCCTATAAAATCTAGACAGAAGCATTCTCAGAAACTGCTCTGTGATGTCTGCATTCAAGTCACAGAGTTGAACGTTGCCTTTCATAGAGCAGGTTTGAAACGCTCTTTTTGTAGTATATGGAAGTGGACTTATCGGACGGTTTGAGGCCCATGGTGATAAAGGGAATATCTTCCCCTACAAGCTAGAAAGAAGCATTGTGTGAAACTTATTTGTGATGTGTGTACTCAACTAACAGAGTTGAACCTTTCTTTTTACAGAGCAGTTTTGAAACACTCTTTTTGTAGAATCTGCGAGGGGATATTTGGATAGATTTCAGCATTTCGTTGGAAACGGGAATATCTTCATATAAAATCTCGACAGAAGCATTCTCAGAAACTTCTTTATGATATCTGCATTCAAGTCACAGAGTTGAATATTCCCTTTCACAGAGTAGGTTTGAAACACTCTTTTTGTAGTATCTGGAAGTGGACATTTGGAGCGCCTTGACCCCTACGGAGAAAAGGGAAATATCTTCCCATAAAAACTAGACAGAAGCAATCTCAGAATCTTCTTTGGGATATATGCACGCAGCTAACAGAGTTGAACCTTTCTATTGACAGAGCAGTTTTGAAACAGCCTTTCTGTGGAATCTGCAAGTGGATATTTGGATAGCTTGGAGGATTTCGTTGGAAACGGGATTACGTATAAAAAGTAGACAGCAGCATCCTCAGAAACTCCTTTGTGATGTGTGCATTCAAGTCACATAGTTGAACATTCCCTTTCGTACAGCAGTTTTGAAACACTCTTTCTGTAGTATCTGGAAGTGAACATTAGGACAGCTTTCAGCTCTATGGTGAGAAAGGAAATATCTTCAAATAAAAACTAGACAGAAGCATTCTCATAAACTTGTTTGTGATGTGTGAACTCGGCTAACACAGGTGGATCTTTCTTTTGATTGAGCAGTTCTGAAAAACACGTTTTGTTGAATCTGCAAGTGGACATTTGGATAGATTTGAAGATTTCGTTGGAAACGGGAATATCTTCATATCAAATCTAGAGAGAAGCATTCTCAGAAACGTCTTTGTGATGTTTGCATTCAACTCATAGAGTTGAACATTCCCTTTCAGAGAGCAGCTCTGAAGCACTCTTTTTGTAGTATGTGCAAGGGGATATTTGGAGCGCTCTGAGGCCTACGGTGAAAAAGCAAATATCTTCCCATAACGACTAGACAGAAACATTCTCAGAAACTCCTTTACGACGTATGCACTCACCTAACAGAGAAGAACCTTCCTTTTGACAGAGCAGTTTTGATACACTCTTTTTGTAGAATCTGCAAGTGGATATTTGGATAGCTCTGAAGATTTCGTTGGAAACGGGAATATCTTCCTATAAAATCTAGACAGAAGCATTCTCAGAAACTGCTCTGTGATGTCTGCATTCAAGTCACAGAGTTGAACATTACCTTTCATAGAGCAGGTTTGAAACGCTCTTTTTGTAGTATATGGAAGTGGACGTTTCGGACGGTTTGAGGCCCATGGTGATAAAGGGAATATCTTCCCCTACAAGCTAGAAAGAAGCATTCTGTGAAACTTGTTTGTGATGTGTGTACTCAACTAACAGAGTTGAACCTTTCTTTTTACAGAGCAGTTTTGAAACACTCTTTTTGTAGAATCTGCGAGGTGATATTTGGATAGATTTCAGGATTTCGTTGTAAACGGGAATATCTTCATATAAAATCTCGACAGAAGCATTCTCAGAAACTTCTTTGTGATATGTGCATTCAAGTCACAGAGTTGAATATTCCCTTTCACAGAGTAGGTTTGAAACACTCTTTTTGTAGTATCTGGAAGTGGACATTTGGAGCGCCTTGACACCTACGGTGAAAAGGGAAATATCTTCCCACAAAAACTAGACAGAAGCATCCTCAGAAACATCCTTGTGATGTGTGCATTCAAGTCACAGAGTTGAACATTACCTTTCGTACAGCAGTTTTGAAACACTCTTTCTGTAGTATCTGGAAGTGAACTTTAGGACAGCTTTCAGGTCTATAGTGAGAAAGGATATATCTTCAAATAAAAACTAGACAGAAGCATTCTCATAAACTTCTTTGTGATGTGTGAACTCACCTAACAGAGGTGGATCTTTCTTTTGATAGAGCAGTTCTGAAAAACACTTTTTGTTGAATCTGCAAGTGGACATTTGGATAGATATGAAGATTTCGTTGGAAACGGGAATATCTTCATATCAAATCTAGACAGAAGCATTCTCAGAAACGTCTTTGTGATGTTTGCATTCAACTCATAGAGTTGAACATTCCCTTTCAGAGAGCAGCTTTGAAGCACTCTTTTTGTAGTATGTGCAAGTGGACATTTGGAGCGCTCTGAGGCCTAAGGTGAAAAAGCAAATATCTTCCCATAACCACTAGACAGAAACATTCTCAGAAACTTCTTTATGACGTATGTACTCAACTAGCAGAGAAGAACTTTCCTTTTGACAGAGCTTTTTTGATACACTCTTTTGTAGTATCTGCAAGTGGATATTTGGATAGCTGTAAAGATTTCGTTGGAATCGGGAATATCTTCCTATAAAGTCAGGACAGAAGCATTCTCAGAAACTGCTCTGTGATGTCTGCATTCAAGTCACAGAGTTGAACATTGCCTTTCATAGAGCAGGTTTCAAACACTCTTTTGTTAGTATATGGAAGTGGACGTTTCGGACGGTTTGAGGCCCATGGTGATAAAGGAAATTTCTTCCCCTACAAGCTAGAAAGAAGCATTCTGTGAAACTTGTTTGTGATGTGTGTACTCCACTAACAGAGTTGAACCTTTCTTTTTACAGAGCAGTTTTGAAACACTCTTTTTGTAGAATCTGCGAGGGGATATTTGGATAGATTTCAGGATTTCGTTGGAAACGGGAATATCTTCATATAAAATCTCGACAGAAGCATTCTCAGAAACTTCTTTGTGATATCTACATTCAAGTCACAGGGTTGAATATTCCCTTTCACAGAGTAGGTTTGAAACACTCTTTTTGTAGTATCTGGAATTGGACATTTGGAGCACCTTGACACCTACGGTGAAAAGGGAAATATCTTCCCATAAAAACTAGACAGAAGCAATCTCAGAATCTTCTTTGGGATATATGCACGCAGCTAACAGAGTTGAACCTTTCTATTGACAGCAGTTTTGAAACAGTCTTTCTGTGGAATCTGCAAGTGGATATTTGGATAGCTTGGAGGATTTCGTTGGAAACAGGATTACGTATAAAAAGTAGACAGCAGCATCCTCAGAAACTTCTTTGGGATGTGTGCATTCAAGTCACAGAGTTGAACATTCCCTTTCGTACAGCAGTTTTGAAACACTCTTTATGTAGTATCTGGAAGTGAACATTAGGACAGCTTTCAGGTCTATGGTGAGAAAGGAAATATCTTCAAATAAAAACTAGACAGAAGCATTCTCATAAACTTGTTTGTGATGTGTGAACTCAGCTAACAGAGGTGGATCTTTCTTTTGATAGAGCAGTTCTGAAAAACACTTTTTGTTGAATCTGCAAGTGGCCATTTGGATAGATTTGAAGATTTCGTTGGAAACGGGAATATCTTCATATCAAATCTAGACAGAAGCATTCTCAGAAACGACTTTGTGATGTTAGCATTCAACTCATAGAGTTGAACATTCCCTTTCAGAGAGCAGCTTTGAAGCACTCTTTTTGTAGTATGTGCAAGTGGACATTTGGAGCGCTTTGAGGCCTACAGGGAAAAAGCAAATATCTTCCCATAACCACTAGACAGGAACATTCTCAGATTACTCCTTTATGACGTATGTACTCAACTAACAGAGAAGAACCTTCCTTTTGACAGAGCAGTTTTGATACACTCTTTTTGTAGAATCTGCAAGTGGATATTTGGATAGCTGTGAAGATTTCTTTGGAAACGGGAATATCTTCCTATAAAATCTAGACAGAAGCATTCTCAGAAACTGCTCTGTGATGTCTGCATTCAAGTCACAGAGTTGAACATTGCCTTTCATAGAGCAGGTTTGAAACGCTCTTTTTGTAGTATATGGAAGTAGACGTTTCGGACGGTTTGAGGCCCATGGTGATAAAGGGAATATCTTGCCCTACAAGCTAGAAAGAAGCATTCTGTGAAACTTGTTTGTGATGTGTGTACTCAACTAACAGAGTTGAACCTTTCTTTTTACAGAGCAGTTTTGAAACACTGTTTTTGTAGAATCTGCGAGGGGATATTTGGAGAGACTTCAGGATTTCGTTGGAAACGGGAATATCTTCATATAAAATCTCGACAGAAGCATTCTCAGAAACTTCCTTGTGATATGTGCATTCAAGTCACAGAGTTGAATATTCCCTTTCACAGAGTAGGTTTGAAACACTCTTTTTGTAGTATCTGGAAGTGGACATTTGGAGCGCCTGGACGCCTACGGTGAAAAGGCAAATATCTTCCCATAAAAACTAGACAGAAGCATTCTGTGAAACTTGTTTGTGATGTGTGTACTCAAGTAACAGAGTTGAACCTTTCTATTGACAGAACAGTTTTGAAACAGTCTTTCTGTGGAATCTGCAAGTGGATATTTGGATAGCTTGGAGGATTTCGTTGGAAACGGGATTACGTATAAAAAGTAGACAGCAGCATCCTCAGAAACTTCCTTGTGATGTGTGCATTCAAGTCACAGAGTTGAACATTCCCTTTCGTACAGCAGTTTTGAAACACTCTTTCTGTAGTATCTGGAAGTGAACATTAGGACAGCTTTCAGGTCTATGGTGAGAAAGGAAATACCTTCAAATAAAAACTAGACAGAAGCATTCTCATAAACTTGTTTGTGATGTGTGAACTCAGCTAACAGACGTGGATCTTTCTTTTGATACAGCAGTTTTGAAAAACACTTTTTGTTGAATCTGCAAGTAGACATTTGGATAGATTTGAAGATTTCGTTGGAAACGGGAATATCTTCATATCAAATCTAGACAGAAGCATTCTCAGAAACGTCTTTGTGATGTTTGCATTCAACTCATAGAGTTGAACATTCCCTTTCAGAGAGCAGCTTTGAAGCACTCTTTTTGAAGCATGTGCAAGTGGACATTTGGAGCGCCCTGAGGCCTACGGGGAAAAAGCAAATATCTTCCCATAACCACTAGATAGAAACATTCTCAGAAACTGCTTTATGACGTATGCACTCACCTAACAGAGAAGAACCTTCCTTTTGACAGAGCAGTTTTGATACACTCTTTTTGTAGAATCTGCAAGTGGATATTTGGATAGCTGTGAAGATTTCTTTGGAAACGGGAATATCTTCCTATAAAATCTAGACAGAAGCATTCTCAGAAACTGCTCTGTGATGTCTGCATTCAAGTCACAGAGTTGAACATTGCCTTTCATAGAGCAGGTTTGAAACGCTCTTTTTGTAGTATATGGAAGTGGACTTATCGGACGGTTGGAGGCCCATGGTGCTAAAGGGAATATCTTCCCCTACAAGCTAGAAAGAAGCATTCTGTGAAACTTGTTTGTGATGTGTGTACTCAACTAACAGAGTTGAACCTTCCTTTTTACAGAGCAGTTTTGAAACACTCTTTTTGTAGAATCTGCGAGGGGATATTTGGATAGATTTCAGGATTTCGTTGGAAACGGGAATATCTTCATATAAAATCTCGACAGAAGCATTCTCAGAAACTTCTTTGTGATATGTGCATTCAAGTCACAGAGTTGAATATTCCCTTTCACAGAGTAGGTTTGAAACACACTTTTTGTAGTATCTGGAAGTGGACATTTGGAGCGCCTTTACACCTACGGTGAAAAGGGAAATATCTTCTCATAAAAAGTAGACAGAAGCAATCTCAGAATCTTCTTTGGGATATATGCACGCAGCTAACAGAGTTGAACCTTTCTATTGACAGAGCAGTTTTGAAACAGTCTTTCTGTGGAATCTGCAAGTGGATACTTGGATAGCTTGGAGGATTTCGTTGGAAACGGGATTACGTATAAAAAGTAGACAGCAGCATCCTCAGAAACATCCTTGTGATGTGTGCATTCAAGTCACAGAGTTGAACATTCCCTTTCGTACAGCAGTTTTGAAACACTCTTTCTGTAGTATCTGGAAGTGAATTTTAGGACAGCTTTCAGGTCTATAGTGAGAAAGGATATATCTTCAAATAAAAACTAGACGGAAGCATTCTGATAAACTTGTTTGTGAAGTGTGATCTCAGCTAACAGAGGTGGATCTTTCTTTTGATAGAGCAGTTCTGAAAAACACTTTGTTGAATCTGGAAGTGGACATTTGGATAGATTTGAAGATTTCGTTGGAAACGGGAATATCTTCATATCAAATCTAGACAGAAGCATTCTCAGAAACGTCTTTGTCATGTTTGCATTCAACTCATAGAGTTGAACATTCCCATTCAGAGAGCAGCTTTGAAACACTCTTTTTGTAGTATGTGCAAGTGGATATTTGGAGCGCTCTGAGGCCTACGGTGAAAAAGCAAATATCTTCCCATAACCACTAGACAGAAACATTCTCAGAAACTCCTTTATGACGTATGCACTCACCTAACAGAGAAGAACCTTCCATTTGACAGAGCAGTTTTGATACACTCTTTTTGTAGAATCTGCAAGTGGATATTTGGATAGCTGTGAAGATTTCGCTGGAAACGGGAATATCTTCCTGTAAAATCTAGACAGAAGCATTCTCAGAAACTGCTCTGTGATGTCTGCATACAAGTCACAGAGTTGAACATTGCCTTTCATAGAGCAGGTTTGAAACGCTCTTTTTGTAGTATATGTAAGTAGACGTTTCGGACGGTTTGAGGCCCATGGTGATAAAGGGAATATCTTCCCCTACAAGCTAGAAAGAAGCATTGTGTGAAACTTGTTTGTGATGTGTGTACTCAACTAACAGAGTTGAACGTTTGTTTTTACAGAGCAGTTTTGAAACACTCTTTTTGTAGAATCTGCGAGGGGATATTTGGATACATTTCAGGATTTCGTTGGAAACGGGAATATCTTCATATAAAATCTCGACAGAAGCATTCTCAGAAACTTCTTTGTGATATCTGCCTTTAAGTCACAGAGTTGAATATCCCCTTTCACAGAGTAGGTTTGAAACACTCTTTTTGTAGTATCTGGAAGTGGACATTTGGAGCGCCTTGACACCTACGGTGAAAAGGGAAATATCTTCCCATAAAAACTAGACAGAAGCAATCTCAGAATCTTCTTTGTGATATATGCACGCAGCTAACAGAGTTGAACATTTCTATTGACAGAGCAGCTTTGAAACACTCTTTTGTGGAATCTGCAAGTGGATATTTGGATAGCTTGGAGGATTTCGTTGGAAACGGGATTACGTATAAAAATTAGACAGCAGCATCCTCAGAAACTTCCTTGTGATGTGTGCATTCAAGTCACAGAGTTGAACATTACCTTTCGTACAGCATTTTTGAAACACTCTTTCTGTAGTATCTGGAAGTGAACTTTATGAGAGCTTTCAGGTCTATAGTGAGAAAGGATATATCTTCAAATAAAAACTAGACAGAAGAGTTCTGATAAACTTGTTTGCGAAGTGTGAACTCAGGTAACAGAGGTGGATCTTTCTTTTGATACAGCAGTTTTGAGAAACACTTTGTTGAATCTGCAAGTGGACATTTGGATAGATTTGAAGATTTCGTTGGAAACGGGTATATCTTCATATCAAATCTAGACAGAAGCATTCTCAGAAACGTCTTTGTGATGTTTGCATTCAACTCATAGAGTTGAACATTCCCTTTCAGAGAGCAGCTTTGAAGCACTCTTTTTGTAGTATGTGCAAGTTGATATTTGGAGCGCTCTGAGGCCTAAGGTGAAAAAGCAAATATCTTCCCATAACCACTAGACAGAAACATTCTCAGAAACTCCTTTATGACGTATGCACTCACCTAACAGAGAAGAACCTTCCTTTTGACTGAGCAGGTTTGATACACTCTTTTTGTAGAATCTGCAAGTGGATATTTGGATAGCTGTGAAGATTTCGTTGGAAACGGGAATATCTTCCTATAAAATCTAGACAGAAGCATTCTCAGAAACTGCTCTGTGATGTCTGCATTCAAGTCACAGAGTTGAACATTGCCTTTCATAGAGCAGGTTTGAAATGCTCTTTTTGTAGTATATGGAAGTGGATGTTTCGGACGGTTGGAGGCCCATGGTGATAAAGGGAATATCTTCCCCTACAAGCTAGAAAGAAGCATTGTGTGAAACTTGTTTGTGATGTGTGTACTCAACTAACAGAGTTGAACCTTTCTTTTTACAGAGCAGTTTTGAAACACTCTTTTTGTAGAATCTGCGAGGGGATATTTGGATAGATTTCAAGATTTCGTTGGAAACGGGAATATCTTCATATAAAATCTCGACAGATGCATTCTGAGAAACTTCTTTGTGATATGTGCATTCTAGTCACAGAGTTGAATATTCCCTTTCACAGAGTAGGTTTGAAACACTCTTTTTGTAGTATCTGGAAGTGGACATTTGGAGCGCCTTGACGCCTACGGTGAAAAGGGAAATATCTTCCCATAAAAACTAGACAGAAGCAATCTCAGAATCGTCGTTGGGATATATGCACGCAGCTAACAGAGTTGAACCTTTCTATAGACAGAGCAGTTTTGAAACAGTCTTTCTGTGGGATCTGCAAGTGGATATTTGGATAGCTTGGAGGATTTCGTTAAAAACGGGATTACGTATAAAAAGTAGACAGCAGCATCCTCAGAAACTTCTTTGTGATGTGTGCATTCAAGTCACAGAGTTGAACATTCCCTTTCGTACAGCAGTTTTGAAACACTCTTTCTGTAGTATCTGGAAGTGAACATTAGGACAGCTTTCAGCTCTATGGTGAGAAAGGAAATATCTTCAAACAAAAACTAGACAGAAGCATTCTCATAAACTTGTTTGTTATGTGTGAACTCAGCTAACAGAGGTGGATCTTTCTTTTGATAGAGCAGTTCTGAAAAACACGTTTTGTTGAATCTGCAAGTGGACATTTGGATAGATTTGAAGATGTCGTTGGAAACGGGAATATCTTCATATCAAATCTAGACAGAAGCATTCTCAGAAACGTCTTTGTGATGTTTCCATTCAACTCATAGAGTTGAACATTCCCTTTCAGAGAGCAGCTTTGAAGCACTCTTTTTGTAGTATGTGCAAGTGGATATTTGGAGCGCTCTGAGGCCTACGGTGAAAAAGCAAATATCTTCCCATAACCAGTAGACAGAAACATTCTCAGAAACTCCTTTATGACGTATGTACTCAACTAACAGAGAAAAACCTTCCTTTTGACAGAGCAGTTTTGATACACTCTTTTTGTAGAATCTGCAAGTGGATATTTGGATAGCTGTGAAGATTTCGTTGGAAACGGGAATATCTTCCTATAAAATCTAGACAGAAGCATTCTCAGAAACTGCTCTGTGATGTCTGCATTCAAGTCACAGAGTTGAACATTGCCTTTCATAGAGGAGGTTTCAAACACTCTTTTTGTAGTATATGGAAGTGGACGTTTCAGACGGTTTGAGGCCCATGGTGATAAAGGGAATATCTTCCCCTACAAGCTAGAAAGAAGCATTCTGTGAAACTTGTTTGTGATGTGTGTACTCAACTAACAGAGTTGAACCTTTCTTTTTACAGAGCAGTTTTGAAACACTCTTTTTGTAGAATCTGCGAGGGTATATTTGGATACATTTCAGGATTTCGTTGGAAACGGGAATATCTTCATATAAAATCTCGACAGAAGCATTCTCAGAAACTTCTTTGTGATATGTGCATTCAAGTCACAGAGTTGAATATTCCCTTTCACAGAGTAGGTTTGAAACACTCTTTTTGTAGTATCTGGAAGTGGATATTTGGAGCGCCTTGACGCCTACGGTGAAAAGGGAAATATCTTCCCATAAAAACTAGACAGAAGCAATCTCAGAATCTTCTTTGGGATATATGCACGCAGTTAACAGAGTTGAACCTTTCTATTGACAGAGCAGTTTTGAAACAGTCTTTCTGTGGAATCTGCAAGTGGATATTTGGATAGCTTGGAGGATTTCGTTGGAAACGGGATTACCGTATAGAAAGTAGACAGCAGCATCGTCAGAAACTTCTTTGTGATGTGTGCATTCAAGTCACAGAGTTGAACATTCCCTTTCGTACAGCAGTTTTGAAACACTCTTTCTGTAGTATCTGGAAGTGAACATTAGGACAGCTTTCAGCTCTATGGTGAGAAAGGAAATATCTTCAAATAAAAACTAGACAGAAGCATTCTCATAAACTTGTTTGTGATGTGTGAAATCAGCTAACAGACGTGGATCTTTCTTTTGATATAGCAGTTTTGAAAAACACTTTTTGTTGAATCTGCAAGTGGACATTTGGATAGATTTGAAGATTTCGTTGGAAACGGGAATATCTTCATATCAAATCTAGACAGAAGCATTCTCGGAAACGTCTTTGTGATGTTTGCATTCAACTCATAGAGTTGAACATTCCGTTTCAGAGAGCAGCTTTGAAGCACTCTTTTTGTAGTATGTGCAAGGGGATATTTGGAGCGCTCTGAGTCCTAAGGTGAAAAAGCAAATATCTTCCCATAACCAATAGACAGAAACATTCTCAGAAACCCCTTTATGACGTATGTACTCAAATAACAGAGAAGGACCGTCCTTTTGACAGAGCAGTTTTGATACACTCTTTTTGTAGAATCTGCAAGAGGATATTTGGATAGCTGTGAAGATTTCGTTGGAAACGGGAATACCTTCCTATAAAATCTAGACAGAAGCATTCTCAGAAACTGCTCTGTGATGTCTGCATTCAAGTCACAGAGTTGAACATTGCCTTTCCTAGAGCAGGTTTGAAACGCTCTTTTTGTAGTATATGGAAGTGGATGTTTCGGACGGTTGGAGGCCCATGGTGATAAAGGGAAAATCTTCCCCTACAAGCTAGAAAGAAGCATTCTGTGAAACTTGTTTGTGATGTGTGTACTCAACTAACACAGTTGAACCTTTCTTTTTACAGAGCAGTTTTGAAACACTCTTTTTGTAGAATCTGCGAGGGGATATTTGGATAGATTTCAGGATTTCGTTGGAAACGGGAATATCTTCATATAAAATCTCGACAGAAGCATTCTCAGAAACTTCTTTGTGATATCTGCATTCAAGTCACAGAGTTGAATATTCCCTTTCACAGAGTAGGTTTGAAACACTCTTTTTGTAGTATCTGGAAGTGGACATTTGGAGCGCCGTGACACCTACGGTGAAAAGGGAAATATCTTCCCATAAAAACTAGACAGAAGCAATCTCAGAATCTTCTTTGGGATATATGCACGCAGCTAACAGAGTTGAACCTTTCTATTGACAGAGCAGTTTAGAAACAGTCTTTCTGTGGAATCTGCAAGTGGATATTTGGATAGCTTGGAGGATTTCGTTGGAAACGGGATTACGTATAAAAAGTAGACAGCAGCATCCTCAGAAACTTCTTTGTGATGTGTGCATTCAAGTCACAGAGTTGAACATTCCCTTTCGTACAGCAGTTTTGAAACACTCTTTCTGTAGTATCTGGAAGTGAACATTAGGACAGCTTTCAGGTCTATGGGGAGAAAGGAAATATCTTCAAATAAAAACTAGACAGAAGCATTCTCATAAACTTCTTTGTGATGTGTGAACTCAGCTAACAGAGGTGGATCTTTCTTTTGATAGAGCAGTTCTGAATAACACTTTTTGTTGAATCTGCAAGTGGACATTTGGATAGATTTGAAGATTTCGTTGGAAACGGGAATATCTTCATATCAAATCTAGACAGAAGCATTCTCAGAAACGTCTTTGTGATGTTTGCATTCAACTCATAGAGTTGAACATTCCGTTTCAGAGAGCAGCTTTGAGGCACTCTTTTTCTAGTATGTGCAAGTGGATATTTGGAGCGCTCTGAGGCCTACGGTGAAAAAGCAAATATCTTCCCATAACCACTAGACCGAAACATTCTCAGAAACTCCTTTATGACGTATGCACTCACCTAACAGAGAAGAACCTTCCTTTTGACAGAGCAGTTTTGATACACTCTTTTTGTAGAATCTGCAAGTGGATACTTGGATAGCTGTGAAGATTTCGTTGGAAACGGGAATATCTTCCTATAAAATCTAGACAGAAGCATTCTCAGAAACTGCTATGTGATGTCTGCATTCAAGTCACAGAGTTGAACATTGCCTTTCCTAGAGCAGGTTTGAAACACTCTTTTTGTAGTATATGGAAGTGGACGTTTCGGACGGTTTGAGGCCCATGGTGATAAAGGGAATATCTTCCCCTACAAGCTAGAAAGAAGCATTCTGTGAAACTTGTTTGTGATGTGTGTACTCAACTAACAGAGTTGAACCTTTCTTTTTACAGAGCAGTTTTGAAACACTCTTTTTGTAGAATCTGCGAGGGGATATTTGTATAGATTTCAGGATTTCGTTGGAAACGGGAATATCTTCATATAAAATCTCGACAGAAGCATTCTCAGAAACTTCTTTGTGATATGTGCATTCAAGTCACAGAGTTGAATATTCCCTTTCACAGAGTAGGTTTGAAACACTCTTTTTGTAGTATCTGGAAGTGGACATTTGGGGCGCCTTGACGCCTATGGTGAAAAGGGAAATATCTTCCCATAAAAACTAGACAGAAGCAATCTCAGAATCTTCTTTGGGATATATGCACGCAGCTAACAGAGTTGAACCTTTCTATTGACAGAGCAGTTTTGAAACAGTCTTTCTGTGGAATCTGCAAGTGGATATTTGGATAGCTTGGAGGATTTCGTTGGAAACGGGATTACGTATAAAAAGTAGACTGCAGCATCCTCAGAAACTTCTTTGTGATGTGTGCATTCAAGTCACAGTGTTGAACATTCCCTTTCGTACAGCAGTTTTGAAACACTCTTTCTGTAGTATCTGGAAGTGAACATTAGGACAGCTTTCAGGTATATGGTGAGAAAGGAAATATCTTCAAATAAAAACTAGACAGAAGCATTCTCATAAACTTGTTCGTGATGCGTGAACTCAGCTAACACACGTGGATCTTTCTTTTGATAGAGCAGTTCTGAAAAACACTTTTTGTTGAATCTGCAAGAGGACATTTGGATAGATTTGAAGATTTCGTTGGAAACGGGAATATCTTCATATCAAATCTAGACAGAGGCATTCTCAGAAACGTCTTTGTGATGTTTGCATTCAACTCATAGAGTTGAACATTCCCTTTCAGAGAGCAGTTTTGAAGCACTCTTTTTGTAGTATGTGCAAGTGGATATTTGGAGCGCTCTGACGCCTACGGGGAAAAAGCAAATATCTTCCCATAACCACTAGACAGAAACATTCTCAGAAACTCCTTTATGACGTATGCACTCACCTAACAGAAGAAGAACCTTCCTTTTGACAGAGCAGTTTTGATACACTCTTTTTGTAGAATCTGCAAGAGGATATTTGGATAGCTGTGAAGATTTCGTTGGAAACGGGAATATCTTCCTATAAAATCTAGACAGAAGCATTCTCAGAAACTGCTCTGTGATGTCTGCATTCAAGTCACAGTGTTGAACGTTGCCTTTCATAGAGCAGGTTTCAAACACTCTTTTTTTAGTATATGGAAGTGGACGTTTCGGACGGTTTGAGGACCATGGTGATAAAGGAAATATCTTCCCCTACAAGCTAGAAAGAAGCATTGTGTGAAACTAGTTTGTGATGTGTGTACTCAACTAACAGAGTTGAACCTTTCTTTTTACAGAGCAGTTTTGAAACACTCTTTTTGTAGAATCTGCGAGGGGATATTTGGATACATTTCAGGATTTCGTTGGAAACGGGAATATCTTCATATAAAATGTCGACAGAAGCATTCTCAGAAACTTCTTTGTGATATCTGCCTTCAAGTCACAGAGGTGAATATTCCCTTTCACAGAGTAGGTTTGAAACACTCTTTTTGTAGTATCTGGAAGTGGACATTTGGAGCGCCTTGACGCCTACGGTGAAAAGGGAAATATCTTCCCATAAAAACTAGACAGAAGCAATCTCAGAATCTTCTTTGGGATATATGCACGCAGCTAACAGAGTTGAACCTTTCTATTGACAGAGCAGTTTTGTAACAGTTTTTCTGTGGAATCTGCAAGTGGATATTTGGATAGCTTGGAGGATTTCGTTGGAAACGGGTTTACGTATAAAAAGTAGACAGTAGCATCCACAGAAACTTCTTTGTGATGTGTGCATTCATGTCACAGTGTTGAACATTCCCTTTCGTACAGCAGTTTTGAAACACTCTTTCTGTAGTATCTCTAAGTGAACATTAGGACATCTTTCAGGTCTATGGTGAGAAAGGAAATATCTTCAAATAAAAACTAGACAGAAGCATACTCATAAACTTGTTTGTGATGTGTGCACTCAGCTAACAGAGGTGGATCTTTCTTTTGATAGAGCAGTTCTGAAAAACACTTTTTGTTGAATCTGCAAGTGGACATTTGGATAGATTTGAAGATTTCGTTGGAAACGGGAATATCTTCATATCAAATCTAGACAGAAGCATTCTCAGAAACGTCTTTGTGATGTTTGCATTCAACTCATGGAGTTGAACATTCGGTTTCAGAGAGCAGCTTTGAGGCACTCTTTTTGTAGTATGTGCAAGTGGATATTTGGAGCGCTCTGAGGCCTACGGTGAAAAAGCAAATATCTTCCCATAACCACTAGACAGAAACATTCTCAGAAACTCCTTTATGACGTATGCACTCACCTAACAGAAAAGAACCTTCCTTTTGACAGAGCAGTTTTGATACACTCTTTTTGAAGAATCTGCAAGTGGATATTTGGATAGCTGTGAAGATTTCGTTGGAAACGGGAATATCTTCCTATAAAATCTAGACAGAAGCATTCTCAGAAACTGCTCTGTGATGTCTGCATTCAAGTCACAGAGTTGAACATTGCTTTTCATAGAGCGGGTTTGAAACGCTCTTTTTGTAGTATATGGAAGTAGACGTTTCGGACGGTTTGAGGCCCATGGTGATAAAGGGAATATCTTCCCCTACAAGCTAGAAAGAAGCATTCTGTGAAACTTGTTTGTGATGTGTGTACTCAACTAACAGAGTTGAACCTTTCTTTTTACAGAGCAGTTTTGAAACACTCTTTTTGTAGAATCTGCGAGGGGATATTTGGATAGATTTCACGATTTCGTTGGAAACGGGAATATCTTCATATAAAATCTCGACAGAAGCATTGTCAGAAACTTCTTTGTGATATGTGCATTCAAGTCACAGAGTTGAATATTCCCTTTCACAGAGTAGGTTTGAAACACCCTTTTTGTAGTATCTGGAAGTGGACATTTGGAGCGCCTTGACACCTACGGTGAAAAGGGAAATATCTTCCCATAAAAACTAGACAGAAGCAATCTCAGAATCTTCTTTGGGATATATGCACGCAGCTAACAGAGTTGAACCTTTCTATTGACAGAGTAGTTTTGAAACAGTCTTTCTGTGGAATCTGCAAGTGGATATTTGGATAGCTTGGAGGATTTCGTTGGAAACGGGATTACGTATAAAAAGTAGACAGCAGCATCCTCAGAAACTTCTTTGTGATGTGTGCATTCAAGTCACAGAGTTGAACATTCCCTTTTGTACAGCAGTTTTCAAACACTCTTTCTGTAGTATCTGGAAGTGAACATTAGGACAGCTTTCAGCTCTATGGTGAGAAAGGAAATATCTTCAAATAAAAACTAGACAGAAGCATTCTCATAAACTTGTTTGTGATGTGTGAACTCAGCTAACAGAGGTGGATCTTTCTTTTGATAGAGCATTTCTGAAAAACACTTTTTGTTGAATCTGCAAGTGGACATTTGGATAGATTTGAAGATTTCGTTGGAAACGGGAATATCTTCATATCAAATCTAGACAGCAGCATTCTCAGAAACGTCTTTGTGATGTTTGCATTCAACTCATAGAGTTGAACATTCCCTTTCAGAGAGCAGCTTTGAAGCACTCTTTTTGTAGTATGTGCAAGTGGATATTTGGAGCGCTCTGAGGCCTACGGTGAAAAAGCAAATATCTTCCCATAACCACTAGGCAGAAACATTCTCAGAAACTCCTTTATGACGTATGCACTCACCTAACAGAGAAGAACCTTCCTTTTGACACAGCAGTTTTGATACACTCTTTTTGTAGAATCTGCAAGTGGATATTTGGATAGCTGTGAATATTTCGTTGGAAACGGGAATATCTTCCTATAAAATCTAGACAGAAGCATTCTCAGAAACTGCTCTGTGATGTCTGTATTCAAGTCACAGAGTTAAACATTGCCTTTCATAGAGCAGGTTTGAAACGCTCTTTTTGTAGTATATGGAAGTGGATGTTTCGGACGGTTGGAGGCCCATGGTGATAAAGGGAATATCTTCCCCTACAAGCTAGAAAGAAGCATTCTGTGAAACTTGTTTGTGATGTGTGTACTCAACTAACAGAGTTGAACCTTTCTTTTTACAGAGCAGTTTTGAAACACTCTTTTTGTAGAATCTGCGAGCGGATATTTGGATACATTTCAGCATTTCGTTGGAAACGGGAATATCTTCATATAAAATCTCGACAGAAGCATTCTCAGAAACTTCTTTGTGATATGTGCATTCAAGTCACAGAGTTGAATATTCCCTTTCACACAGTAGGTTTGAAACACTCTTTTTGTAGTATCTGGAAGTGGACATTTGGAGCGCCTTGACGCCTACGGTGAAAAGGGAAATATCTTCCCATAAAAACTAGACAGAAGCAATCTCAGAATCTTCTTTGGGATATATGCACGCAGCTAACAGAGTTGAACCTTTCTATTGACAGAGCAGTTTTGAAACAGTCTTTCTGTGGAATCTGCAAGTGGATATTTGGATAGCTTGGAGGATTTCGTTGGAAAAGGGATTACGCATAAAAAGTAGACAGCAGCATCCTCCGAAACTTCTTTGTGATGTGTGCATTCAAGTCACAGAGTTGAACATTCCCTTTCGTACAGCCGTTTTGAAACACTCTTTCTGTAGTATCTGGAAGAGAACATTAGGACAGCTTTCAGCTCTATGGTGAGAAAGGAAATATCTTCAAATAAAAACTAGACAGAAGCATTCTCATAAACTTGTTTGTGAAGTGTGAACTCAGCTAACACAGGTGGATCTTTCTTTTGATACAGCAGTATTGAAAAACACTTTGTTGAATCTGCAAGTGGACATTTGGATAGATTTGAAGATTTCGTTGGAAACGGGAATATCTTCATATCAAATCTAGACAGAAGCATTCTCAGAAACGTCTTTGCGATGTTTGCATTCAACTCATAGAGTTGAACATTCCGTTTCAGAGAGCAGCTTTGAGGCACTCTTTTTGTAGTATGTGCAAGTGGATATTTGGAGCGCTCTGAGGCCTACGGTGAAAAAGCAAATATGTTCCCATAACCACTAGACAGAAACATTCTCAGAAACTCCTTTATGATGTATGCACTCACCTAACAGAGAAGAACCTTCCTTTTGACAGAGCAGTTTTGATACACTCTTTTTGTAGAATCTGCAAGTGGATATTTGGATAGCTGTGAAGGTTTCGTTGGAAACGGGAATATCTTCCTATAAAATCTAGACAGAAGCATTCTCAGAAACTGCTCTGTGATGTCTGCATTCAAGTCACAGAGTTGAACATTGCCTTTCATAGAGCAGGTTTGAAACGCTCTTTTTGTAGTACATGGAAGTAAACGTTTCGGACGGTTTGAGGCCCATGGTGATAAAGGGAATATCTTCCCCTACAAGCTAGAAGGAGCATTCTGTGAAACTTGTTTGTGATGTGTGTACTCAACTAACAGAGTTGAACCTTTCTTTTTACAGAGCAGTTTTGAAACACTCTTTTTGTAGAATCTGCGAGGGGATATTTGGATAGATTTCAGGATTTCGTTGGAAACTGGAATATCTTCATAGAAAATCTCGACAGAAGCATTCTCAGAAACTTCTTTGTGATATGTGCATTCAAGTCACAGAATTGAATATTCCCTTTCACAGAGTAGGTTTGAAACACTCTTTTTGTAGTATCCGGATGTGGACATTTGGAGCACCTTGACGCCTACGGTGAAAAGGGAAATATCTTCCCATAAAAACTAGACAGAAACAATCTCAGAATCTTCTTTGGGATATATGCACGCAGCTAACAGAGTTGAACCTTTCTATTGACAGAGCAGTTTTGAAACAGTCTTTCTGGGGAATCTGCAAGTGGATATTTGGATAGCTTGGAGGATTTCGTTGGAAACGGGATTACGTATAAAAAGTAGACAGCAGCATCCTCAGAAACTTCTTTGTGATGTGTGCATTCAAGTCACAGAGTTGAACATTCCCTTTCGTACAGCAGTTTTGAAACACTCTTTCTATAGTATCTGGAAGTGAACATTAGGACAGCTTTCAGCTCTATGGTGAGAAAGGAAATATCTTCAAATAAAAACTAGACAGAAAGCATTCTCATAAACTTGTTTGTGATGTGTGAACTCAGCTAACAGAGGTGGATCTTTCTTTTGATAGAGCAGTTCTGAAAAACACTTTTTGTTGAATCTGCAAGTGGACATTTCGATAGATTTGAAGATTTCGTTGGAAACGGGAATATCTTCATATCAAATCTAGACAGAAGCATTCTCAGAAACGTCTTTGTGATGTTTGCATTCAACTCATAGAGTTGAACATTCCGTTTCAGAGAGCAGCTTTGAGGCACTCTTTTTGTAGTATGTGCAAGTGGATATTTGGAGCGCTCTGAGGCCTACGGTGAAAAAGCAAGTATCTTCCCATAACCACTAGACAGAAACATTCTCAGAAACTCCTTTATGACGTATGCACTCACCTAACAGAGAAGAACCTTCCTTTTGACAGAGCAGTTTTGATACACTCTTTTTGTAAAATCTGCAAGTGGATATTTGGATAGCTGTGAAGATTTCGTTGGAAACGGGAATATCTTCCTATAAAATCTAGACAGAAGCATTCTCAGAAACTGCTCTGTGATGTCTGCATTCAAGTCACAGAGTTGAACATTGCCTTTCATAGAGCAGGTTTGAAACGCTCTTTTTGTAGTATATGGAAGTAGACGTTTCGGACGGTTTCAGGCCCATGGTGATAAAGGGAATATCTTCCCCTACAAGCTAGAAAGAAGCATTCTGTGAAACTTGTTTGTGATGTGTGTACTCAACTAACAGAGTTGAACCTTTCTTTTTACAGAGCAGTTTTGAAACACTCTTTTTGTAGAATCTGCGAGGGGATATTTGGATACATTTCAGCATTTCATTGGAAACGGGAATATCTTCATATAAAATCTCGACAGAAGCATTCTCAGAAACTTCTTTGTGATATGTGCATTCAAGTCACAGATTTGAATGTTCCCTTTCACAGAGAAGGTTTGAAACACTCTTTTTGTAGTATCTGGAAGTGGACATTTGGAGCGCCTTGACGCCTACGGTGAAAAGGGAAATATCTTCCCATAAAAACTAGACAGAAGCCATCTCAGAATCTTCTTTGGGATATATGTACGCAGCTAATAGAGTTGAACCTTTCTATTGACAGAGCAGTTTTGAAACAGTCTTTCTGTGGAATCTGCAAGTGGATATTTGGATAGCTTGGAGGATTTCGTTGGAAACGGGATTACGTATAAAAAGTAGACAGCAGCATCCTCTGAAACTTCTTTGTGATGTGTGCATTCAAGTCACAGAGTTGAACATTCCCTTTCGTACAGCAGTTTTGAAACACTCTTTCTGTAGTATCTGGAAGTGAACATTAGGACAGCTTTCAGGTCTATGGTGAGAAAGGAAATATCTTCAAATAAAAACTAGACAGAAGCATTCTCATAAACTTGTTTGTGATGTGTGAACTCAACTAACATAGGTGGATCTTTCTTTTCATACAGCAGTTTTGAAAAACACTTTTTGTTGAACCTGCATGTGGACATGTGGATAGATTTGAAGATTTCGTTGGAAACGGGAATATCTTCATGTAAAATCTAGACAGAAGCATTCTCAGAAACGTCTTTGTGATGTTTGCATTCAACTCATAGAGTTGAACATTCCCTTTCAGAGAGCAGCTTTGAAGCACTCTTTTTGTAGTATGTGCAAGTGGATATTTGGAGCGCTCTGAGGCCTACGGTGAAAAAGCAAATATCTTCCCATAACCACTACACAGAAACATTCTCAGAAACTCCTTTATGACGTATGCACTCACCTAACAGAGAAGAACCTTCCGTTTGACAGAGCAGTTTTGATACACTCTTTTTGTAGAATCTGCAAGTGGATATTTGGATAGCTGTGAAGATTTCGTTGGAAACGGGAATATCTTCCTATAAAATCTAGACAGAAGCATTCTCAGAAACTGCTCTGTGATGTCTGCATTCAAGTCACAGAGTTGAACATTGCCTTTCATAGAGCAGGTTTGAAACGCTCTTTTTATAGTATATGGAAGTGGACTTATCGGACGGTTTGAGGCCCATGGTGATAAAGGGAATATCTTCCCCTACAAGCTAGAAAGAAGCATTGTGTGAAACTTGTTTGTGATGTGTGTACTCAACTAACAGAGTTGAACCTTTCTTTTTACAGAGCAGTTTTGAAACACTCTTTTTGTAGAATCTGCGAGGGGATATTTGGATAGATTTCAGGATTTCGTTGGAACCGGGAATATCTTCATATAAAATCTCGACAGAAGCATTCTCAGAAACTTCTTTGTGATATCTGCATTCAAGTCACAGAGTTGAATATTCCCTTTCACCGAGTAGGTTAGAAACACTCTTTTTGTAGAATCTGGAAGTGGACATTTGGAGCGCCTTGACGCCTACGGTGAAAAGGGAAATATCTTCCCATTAAAACTAGACAGAAGCAATCTCAGAATCTTCTTTGGGATATATGCACGCAGCTAACAGAGTTGAACCTTTCTATTGACAGAGCAGTTTTGAAACAGTCTTTCTGTGGAATCTGCAAGTGGATATTTGGGATAGCTTGGAGGATTTCGTTGGAAACGGGATTACGTATAAAAAGTAGACAGCAGCATCCTCAGAAACTTCTTTGTGATGTCTGCATTCAAATCACAGAGTTGAACATTCCCTTTCGTACAGCAGTTTTGAAACACTCTTTCTGTAGTATCTGGAAGTGAACATTTGGACAGCTTTCAGGTCTATGGTGAGAAAGGAAATATCTTCAAATAAAAACTAGACAGAAGCATTCTCATAAACTTGTTTGTGATGTGTGAACTCAGCTAACAGACGTGGATCTTTCTTTTGATAGAGCAGTTTTGAAAAACACTTTTTGTTGAATCTGCAAGTGGACATTTGGATAGATATGAAGATTTCGTTGGAAACGGGAATATCTTCATATCAAATCTAGACAGAAGCATTCTCAGAAACGTCTTTGTGATGTTTGCATTCAACTCATAGAGTTGAAAATTCCGTTTCAGAGAGCAGCTTTGAAGCACTCTTTTTGTAGTATGTGCAAGTGGATATTTGGAGCGCTCTGAGGCCTACGGGGAAAAAGCAAATATCTTCCCATAACCACTAGACAGAAACATTCTCAGAAACTCCTTTATGACGTATGCACTCACCTAACAGGAGTAAGAACCTTCCTTTTGACAGAGCAGTTTTGATACACTCTTTTTGTAGAATCTGCAAGTGGATATTTGGATAGCTGTGAAGATTTCGTTGGAAACGGGAATATCTTCCTATAAAATCTATACAGAAGCATTCTCAGAAACTGCTTTGTGATGTCTGCATTCAAGTCACAGAGTTGAACATTGCCTTTCCTAGAGCAGGTTTGAAATGATCTTTTTTAGTATATGGAAGTGGACGTTTCAGACGGTTTGAGGCCCATGGTGTTAAAGGGAATATCTTCCCCTACAAGCTAGAAAGAAGCATTCTGTGAAACTTGTTTGTGATGTGTGTACTCAACTAACAGAGTTGAACCTTTCTTTTTACAGAGCAATTTTGAAACACTCTTTTTGTAGAATCTGCGAAGGGATATTTGGATAGATTTCAGGATTTCGTTGGAAACGGGAGTATCTTCATATAAAATCTCGACAGAAGCATTCTCAGAAACTTCTTTGTGATATCTGCATTCAAGTCACAGAGTTGAATATTCCCTTTCACAGAGTAGGTTTGAAACACTCTTTTTGTAGTATCTGGAAGTGGACATTTTGAGCGCCTTGACACCTACGGTAAAAAGGGAAATATCTTCCCATAAAAACTAGACAGAAGCAATCTCAGAATTTTCTTTGGGATATATCCACGCAGCTAACAGAGTTGAACCTTTCTATTGACAGAGCAGTTTTGAAACAGTCTTTCTGTGGAATCTGCAAGTGGATATTTGGATAGCTTGGAGGATTTCGTTGGAAACGGGATTACGTATAAAAAGTAGACAGCAGCATCCTCAGAATCTTCTTTGTGATGTGTGCATTCAAGTCACAGAGTTGAACATTCCCTTTCGTACAGCAGTTTTGAAACACTCTTTCTGTAGTATCTGGAAGTGAACATTAGGACAGCTTTCAGCTCTATGGTGAGAAAGGAAATATCTTCAAATAAAAACTAGACAGAAGCATTCTCATAAACTTGTTTGTGTTGTGTGAACTCAGCTAACAGAGGTGGATCTTTCTTTTGATAGAGCAGTTCTGAAAAACACTTTTTGTTGAATCTGCAAGTGGACATTTGGATAGATTTGAAGATTTCGTTGGAAACGGGAATATCTTCGTATCAAATCTAGACAGAAAGCATTCTCAGAAACGTCTTTGTGATGTTTGCATTCAACTCATAGAGTTGAACATTCCGTTTCAGAGAGCAGCTTTGAAGCACTCTTTTTGTAGTATGTGCAAGTGGATATTTGGAGCGCTCTGAGGCCTACGGTGAAAAAGCAAATATCTTCCCATAACCACTAGACAGAAACATTCTCAGAAACTCCTTTATGACGTATGCACTCACCTAACAGAGAAGAACCTTCCTTTTGACAGAGCAGTTTTGATACACTCTTTTTGTAGAATCTGCAAGTGGATATTTGGATAGCTGTGAAGATTTCGTTGGAAACGGGAACATCTTCCTATAAAATCTAGACAGAAGCATTCTCAGAAACTGCTCTGTGATGTCTGCATTCAAGTCACAGAGTTGAACATTGCCTTTCATAGAGCAGGTTTGAAACGCTCTTTTTGTAGTATATGGAAGTGGATGTTTCGGACGGTTTGAAGCCCATGGTGATAAAGGGAATATCTTCCCCTACAAGCTAGAAAGAAGCATTCTCATAAACTTGTTTGTGATGTGTGTACTCAACTAACAGAGTTGAACCTTTCTTTTTACAGAGCAGTTTTGAAACACTCTTTTTGTAGAATCTGCAAGGGGATATTTGGATACATTTCAGGATTTCGTTGGAAACGGGAATATCTTCATATAAAATCTCGACAGAAGCATTCTCAGAAACTTCTTTGTGATATGTGCATTCAAGTCACAGAGTTGAATATTCCCTTTCACAGAGTAGGTTTGAAACACTCTTTTTGTAGTATCTGGAAGTGGACATTTGGAGCGCCTTGACGCCTACGGTGAAAAGGGAAATATCTTCTCATAAAAATTAGACAGAAGCAATCTCAGAATCTTCTTTGGGATATATGCACGCAGTTAACAGAGTTGAACCTTTCTATTGACAGAGCAGTTTTGAAACAGTCTTTCTGTGGAATCTGCAAGTGGATATTTGGATAGCTTGGAGGATTTCGTTGGAAACGGGATTACGTATAGAAAGTAGACAGCAGCATCCTCAGAAACTTCTTTGTGATGTGTGCATTCAAGTCACAGAGTTGAACATTCCCTTTCGTACAGCAGTTTTGAAACACTCTTTCTGTAGTATCTGGAAGTGAACATTAGGACAGCTTTCAGGTCTATGGTGAGAAAGGAAATATCTTCAAATAAAAACTACACAGAAGCATTCTCATAAACTTGTTTGTGATGTGTGAACTCAGCTAACAGAGGCGGATCTTTCTGTTGATAGAGCAGTTCGGAAAAACACTTTTTGTTGAATCTGCAAGTGGACATTTGGATAGATTTGAAGATTTCGTTGGAAACGGGAATATCTTCATATCAAATCTAGACAGAAGCATTCTCAGAAACGTCTTTGTGATGTTTGCATTCAACTCATAGAGTTGAACATTCCGTTTCAGAGAGCAGCTTTGAGGCACTCTTTTTGTAGTATGTGCAAGTGGATATTTGGAGCGCTCTGAGGTCTACGGTGAAAAAGCAAATATCTTCCCATAACCACTAGACAGAAACATTCTCAGAAACTCCTTTATGACGTATGCACTCACCTAACAGAGAAGAACCTTCCTTTTGACAGAGCAGTTTTGATACACTCCTTTTGTAGAATCTGCAAGTGGATATTTGGATAGCTGTGAAGATTTCGTTGGAAACGGGAATATCTTCCTATAAAATCTAGACAGAAGCATTCTCAGAAACTGCTCTGTGATGTCTGCATTCAAGTCACAGAGTTGAACATTGTCTTTCATAGAGCAGGTTTGAAACGCTCTTTTTGTAGTATATGGAAGTGGATGTTTCGGACGGTTGGAGGCCCATGGTGATAAAGGGAATATCTTCCCCTACAAGCTAGAAAGAAGCATTCTGTGAAACTTGTTTGTGCTGTGTGTACTCAACTAACAGAGTTGAACCTTTCTTTTTACAGAGCAGTTTTGAAACACACTTTTTGTAGAATCTGCGAGGGGATATTTGGATAGATTTCAGGATTTCGTTGGAAACGGGAATATCTTCATATAAAATCTCGACAGAAGCATTCTCAGAAACTTCTTTGTGATATCTGCATTCAAGTCACAGAGTTGAATATTCCCTTTCACAGAGTAGGTTTGAAACACTCTTTTTGTAGTATCTGGAAGTGGACATTTGGAGCGCCTTGACACCTACGGTGAAAAGGGAAATATCTTCTCATAAAAACTAGACAGAAGCAATCTCAGAATCTTCTTTGTGATATATGCACGCAGCTAACAGAGTTGAACCTTTCTATTGACTGAGCAGATTTGAAACAGTCTTTCTGTGGAATCTGCAAGTGGATATTTGGATAGATTGGAGGATTTCGTTGGAAACGGGATTACGTATAAAAAGTACACAGCAGCATCCTCAGAAACATCTTTGTGATGTGTGCATTCAAGTCACAGAGTTGAACATTCCCTTTCGTACAGCAGTTTTGAAACACTCTTTCTGTAGTATCTGGAAGTGAACATTAGGACAGCTTTCAGGTCTATGGTGAGAAAGAAAATATCTTCAAATAAAAACTAGACAGAAGCATTCTCATAAACTTGTTTTGGATGTGTGAACTCAGCTAACAGAGGTGGATCTTTCTTTTGATAGAGCAGTTCTGAAAAACACTTTTTGTTGAATCTGCAAGTGGACATTTGGATAGATTTGAAGATTTCTTTGGAAACGGGAATATCTTCATATCAAGTCTAGACAGAAGCATTCTCAGAAACGTCTTTTTGATGTTTGCATTCAACTCATAGAGTTGAACATTCCCTTTCAGAGAGCAGCTCTGAAGCACTCTTTTTGTAGTATGTGCAAGGGGATATTTGGAGCGCTCTGAGGCCTACGGTGAAAAACCAAATATCTTCCCATAACGACTAGACAGAAACATTCTCAGAAACTCCTTTATGAAGTATGTACTCAACTAACAGAGAAGAACCTTCCTTTTGACAGAGCAGTTTTGATACACTCTTTTTGTAGAATCTGCAAGTGGATATTTGGATAGCTGTGAAGATTTCGTTGGAAACGGGAATATCTTCCTATAAAATCTAGACAGAAGCATTCTCAGAAACTGCTCTGTGATGTCTGCATTCAAGTCACAGAGTTGAACATTGCCTTTCATAGAGCAGGTTTCAAACACTCTTTTTTTAGTATATGGAAGTGGACCTTTCGGACGGTTTACGGCCCATGGTGATAAAGGAAATATCTTCCCCTACAAGCTAGAAAGAAGCATTCTGTGAAACTTGTTTGTGATGTGTGTACTCAACTAACAGAGTTGAACCTTTCTTTTTACAGAGCAGTTTTGAAACACTCTTTTTGTAGAATCTGCGAGGGGGTATTTAGATAGATTTCAGGATTCCGTTGGAAACGGGAATATCTTCATATAAAATCTCGACAGAAGCATTCTCAGAAACTTCATTGTGATATCTGCATTCAAGTCACAGAGTTGAATATTCCCTTTCACAGAGTAGGTTTGAAACACTCTTTTTGTAGTATCTGGAAGTGGACATTTGGAGCGCCTTGACGCCTACGGTGAAAAGGGAAATATCTTCCCATAAAAACTAGACAGAAGCAATCTCAGAATCTTCTTTGGGATATATGTACGCAGCTAATAGAGTTGAACCTTTCTATTGACAGAGCAGTTTTGAAACAGTCTTTCTGTGGAATCTGCAAGTGGATATTTGGATAGATTGGAGGATTTCGTTGGAAACGGGATTACGTATAAAAAGTAGACAGCAGCATCCTCAGAAACTTCTTTGTGATGTGTGCATTCAAGTCACAGAGTTGAACATTCCCTTTCGTACAGCAGTTTTGAAACACTCTTTCTGTAGTATCTGGAAGTGAACATTAGGACCGCTTTCAGGTCTATGGTGAGAAAGGAAATATCTTCAAATAAAAACTAGACAGAAGCATTCTGATATACTTGTTTGTGAAGTGTGATCTCAGCTAACAGAGGTGGATCTTTCTTTTGATAGAGCAGTTCTGAAAAACACTTTGTTGAATCTGCAAGTGGACATTTGGATAGATTTGAAGATTTCGTTGGAAACGGGAATATCTTCATATCAAATCTAGACAGAAGCATTCTCAGAAACGTCTTTGTGATGTTTGCATTCAACTCATAGAGTTGAACATTCCGTTTCAGAGAGCAGCTTTGAAGCACTCTTTTTGTAGTATGTGCAAGTGGATATTTGGAGCGTTCTGAGGCCTACGGGGAAAAAGCAAATATCTTCCCATAACCACTAGACAAAAACATTCTCAGAAACTCCTTTATGACGTTTGTACTCACCTAACAGAGAAGAACCTTCCTTTTGACAGAGCAGTTTTGATACACTCTTTTTGTAGAATCTGCAAGTGGATATTTGGATAGCTGTGAAGATTTCGTTGGAAACGGGAATATCTTCCTATAAAATCTAGACAGAAGCATTCTCAGAAACTGCTCTGTGATGTCTGCATTCAAGTCACAGAGTTGAACATTGCTTTTCATAGAGCAGGTTTGAAACGCTCTTTTTGTAGTATATGGAAGTAGAAGTTTCGGACGGTTTGAGGCCCATGGTGATAAAGGGAATATCTTCCCCTACAAGCTAGAAAGAAGCATTCTGTGAAACTTGTTTGTGATGTGTGTACTCAACTAACAGAGTTGAACCTTTCTTTTTACAGAGCAGTTTTGAAACACTCTTTCTGTAGAATCTGCGAGGGGATATTTGGATAGATTTCAGGATTTCGTTGGAAACGGGAATATCTTCATAGAAAATCTCGACAGAAGCATTCTCAGAAACTTCTTTCTGATATCTGCATTCAAGTCACAGAGTTGAATATTCCCTTTCACAGAGTAGGTTTGAAACACTCTTTTTGTAGTATCTGGAAGTGGACATTTGGAGCGCCTTGACACCTACGGTGAAAAGGGAAATATCTTCCCATAAAAACTAGACAGAAGCAATCTCAGAATCTTCTTTGGGATATATGCACGCAGCTAACAGAGTTGAACCTTTCTATTGACAGAGCAGTTTTGAAACAGTCTTTCTGTGGAATCTGCAAGTGGATATTTGGATAGCTTGGGGGATTTCTTTGGAAACGGGATTACGTATAAAAAGTAGATAGCAGCATCCTCAGAAACTTCTTTGTGATGTGTGCATTCAAGTCACAGAGTTGATCATTCCCTTTCGTACAGCAGTTTTGAAACACTCTTTCTGTAGTATCTGGAAGTGAACATTAGGACAGCTTTCAGGTCTATGGTGAGAAAGGAAATATCTTCAAATAAAAACTAGACAGAAGCATTCTCATAAACTTCTTTGTGATGTGTGAACTCAGCTAACAGAGGTGGATCTTTCTTTTGATAGAGCAGTTCTGAAAAACACTTTTTGTTGAATCTGCAAGTGGACATTTTGATAGATATGAAGATTTCGTTGGAAACGGGAATATCTTCATATCAAATCTAGACAGAAGCATTCTCGGAAACGTCGTTGTGATGTTTGCATTCAACTCATAGAGTTGAACATTCCGTTTCAGAGAGCAGCTTTGAGGCACTCTTTTTGTAGTATGTGCAAGTGGATATTTGGAGCGCTCTGAGGCCTTCGGTGAAAAAGCAAATATCTTCCCATAACCACTAGACAGAAACATTCTCAGAAACTCCTTTATGACGTATGCACTCACCTAACAGAGAAGAACCTTCCTTTTGACAGAGCAGTTTTGATACACTCTTTTTGTAGAATCTGCAAGTGGATATTTGGATAGCTGTGAAGATTTCGTTGGAAAAGGGAATATCTTCCTATAAAATCTAGACAGAAGCATTCTCAGAAACTGCTCTGTGATGTCTGCATTCAAGTCACAGAGTTGAAAATTACCTTTCATAGAGCAGGTTTGAAACGCTCTTTTTGTAGTATATGGAAGTGGATGTTTCGGACGGTTGGAGGCCCATGGTGATAAAGGGAATATCTTCCCCTACAAGCTAGAAAGTAGCATTCTGTGAAACTTGTTTGTGATGTGTGTACTCAACTAACAGCAGTTGAACCTTTCTTTTCACAGAGCAGTTTTGAAACACTCTTTTCGTAGAATCTGCGAGGGGATATTTGGATAGATTTCAGCATTTCGTTGGAAACGGGAATATCTTCATATAAAATCTCGACAGAAGCATTCTCAGAAACTTCTTTGTGATATGTGCATTCAAGTCACAGAGTTGAATATTCCCTTTCACAGAGTAGGTTTGAAACACTCTTTTTGTAGTATCTGGAAGTGGATATTTGGAGCGCCTTGACACCTACGGTGAAAAGGGAGATATCTTCCCATAAAAACTAGACAGAAGCAATCTCAGAATCTTCTTTGGGATATATGCACGCAGCTAACAGAGTTGAACCTTTCTATTGACCGAGCAGTTTTGAAACAGTCTTTCTGTGGAATCTGCAAGTGGATATTTGGATAGCTTGGAGGATTTCGTTGGAAACGGGATTAAGTATAAAAAGTAGACAGCAGCATTCTCAGAAACTTCGTTGTGATGTGTGCATTCATGTCACAGAGTTCAACATTCCCTTTCATACAGCAGGTTTCAAACACTCTTTCTGTAGTATCTAGAAGTGAACATTAGGAGAGCTTTCAGGTCTGCGGTGAGAAAGGAAATATCTAAAAATAAAAACTAGACAGGAAGCATTCTCATAATCTTGTTTGTGATGTCTGAACTCAGCTAACAGAGGTGGATCTTTCTTTTGATAGAGCAGTTCTGAAAAACACTTTTTGTTGAATCTGCAAGTGGACATTTGGATAGATTTGAAGATTTCGTTGGAAACGGGAATATCTTCATATCAAATCTAGACAGAAGCATTCTCAGAAACGTCTTTGTGATGTTTGCATTCAACTCATAGAGTTGAACATTCCCTTTCAGAGAGCAGCTTTGAAGCACTCTTTTTGTAGTATGTGCAAGTGGATATTTGGAGTGCTCTGAGGCCTACGGTGAAAAAGCAAATATCTTCCCATAACCACTAGACAGAAACATTCTCAGAAACTCCTTTATGACGTATGCACTCACCTAACAGAGAAGAACCTTCCTTTTGACAGAGCAGTTTTGATACACTCTTTTTGTAGAATCTGCAAGTGGATATTTTGATACCTGTGAATATTTCGTTGGAAACGGGAATATCTTCCTATAAAATCTAGACAGAAGCATTCTCAGAAACTGCTCTGTGATGTCTGCATTCAAGTCACAGAGTTGAAAATTGCCTTTCATAGAGCAGGTTTGAAACGCTCTTTTTGTAGTATATGGAAGTGGATGTTTCGGACGCTTGGAGGCCCATGGTGATAAAGGGAATATCTTCCCCTACAAGCTAGAAAGAAGCATTCCTGTGAAACTTGTTTGTGATGTGTGTACTCAACTAACAGAGTTGAACCTTTCTTTTTACAGAGCAGTTTTGAAACACTCTTTTTGTAGAATCTGCGAGGGGATATTTGGATACATTTCAGGATTTCGTTGGAAACGGGAATATCTTCATATAAAATCTCGACAGAAGCATTCTAAGAAACTTCTTTGTGATATCTGCATTCAAGTCACAGAGTTGAATATTCCCTTTCACAGAGTAGGTTTGAAACACTCTTTTTGTAGTATCTGGAAGTGGACATTTGGAGCGCCTTGACGCCTACGGTGAAAAGGGAAATATCTTCCCATAAAAACTAGACAGAAGCAATCTCAGAATCTTCTTTGGGATATATGCACGCAGCTAACAGAGTTGAACCTTTCTATTGACAGAGCAGTTTTGAAACAGTCTTTCTGTGGAATCTGCAAGTGGATATTTGGATAGCTTGGAGGATTTCTTTGGAAATGGGACTACGTGTAAAAAGTAGACAGCAGCATCCTCAGAAACTTCTTTGTGATGTGTGCATTCAAGCCACAGATTTGAACATTCCCTTTCGTACAGCAGTTTTGAAACACTCTTTCTGTAGTATCTGGAAGTGAACATTAGGACAGCTTTCAGGTCTATGGTGAGAAAGGAAATATCTTCAAATAAAAACTAGACAGAAGCATTCTCATAAACTTGTTTGTGATGTGTGAACTCAGCTAACAGAGGTGGATCTTTCTTTTGATAGAGCAGTTCTGAAAAACACGTTTTGTTGAATCTGCAAGTGGACATTTGGATAGATTTGAAGATTTCTTTGGAAAAGGGAATATCTTCATATCAAATCTAGACAGAAGCATTCTCAGAAACGTCTTTGTGATGTTTGCATTCACCTCATAGAGTTGAACATTCCGTTTCAGAGAGCAGCTTTGAAGCACTCTTTTTGTAGTATGTGCAAGTGGATATTTGGAGCGCTGTGAGGCCTACAGTGAAAAAGCAAATATCTTCCCATAACCACTAGACAGAAACATTCTCAGAAACTCCTTTATGACGTATGTACTCACCTAACAGAGAAGAACCTTCCTTTTGACAGAGCAGTTTTGATACACTCTTTTTGTAGAATCTGCAAGTGGATATTTGGATAGCTGTGAAGATTTCTTTGGAAACGGGAATATCTTCCTATAAAATCTAGACAGAAGCATTCTCAGAAACTGCTCTGTGATGTCTGCATTCAAGTCACAGAGTTGAACATTGCCTTTCATAGAGCAGGTTTGAAACGCTCTTTTTGTAGTATATGGAAGTGGACATATCGGACGGTTTGAGGCCCATGGTGATAAAGGGAATATCTTCCCCTACAAGCTAGAAAGAAGCATTCTGTGAAACTTGTTTGTGATGTGTGTACTCAACTAATAGAGTTGAACCTTTCTTTTTACAGAGCAGTTTTGAAACACTCTTTTTGTAGAATCTGCGAGGGGATATTTGGATAGATTTCAGGATTTCGTTGGAAACGGGAATATCTTCATTTAAAATCTCGACAGAAGCATTCTCAGAAGCTTCTTTGTGATATGTGCATTCAAGTCACAGAGTTGAATATTCCCTTTCACAGAGTAGGTTTGAAACACTCTTTTTGTATTATCTGGAAGTGGACATTTTGAGCACCTTGACGCCTACGGTGAAAAGGGAAATATCTTCTCATAAAAAGTAGACAGAAGCAATCTCAGAATCTTCTTTGGGATATATGTACGCAGCTAATAGAGTTGAACCTTTCTATTGACAGAGCAGTTTTGAAACAGTCTTTCTGGGGAATCTGCAAGTGGATATTTGGATAGCTTGGAGGATTTCGTTGGAAACGGGATTACGTATAAAAAGTAGACAGCAGCATCCTCAGAAACATCCTTGTGATGTGTGCATTCAAGTCACAGAGTTGAACATTCCCTTTCGTACAGCAGTTTTGAAACACTCTTTCTGTAGTATCTGGAAGTGAACTTTAGGACAGCTTTCAGGTCTATAGTGAGAAAGGATATATCTTCAAATAAAAACTAGATGGAAGAATTCTGATAAACTTGTTTGTGAAGTGTGAACTCAGCTAACAGAGGTGGATCTTTCTTTTGATACAGCAGTTTTGAAAAACACTTTGTTGAATCTGCAAGTGGACATTTGGATAGATTTGAAGATTTCGTTGGAAACAGGAATATCTTCATATCAAATCTAGACAGAAGCATTCTCAGAAACGTCTTTGTGATGTTTGCATTCAACTCATAGAGTTGAACATTCCGTTTCAGAGAGCAGCTTTGAAGCACTCTTTTTGTAGTATGTGCAAGTGGATATTTGGAGCGCTGTGATGCCTACGGTGAAAAAGCAAATATCTTCCCATAACCACTAGACAGAAACATTCTCAGAAACTCCTTTATGACGTATGCACTCACCTAACAGAAAAGAACCTTCCTTTTGACAGAGCAGTTTTGATACACTCTTTTTGTAGAATCTGCAAGTGGATATTTGGATAGTTGTGAAGATTTCGTTGGAAACAGGAATATCTTCCTATAAAATCTAGACAGAAGCATTCTCAGAAACTGCTCTGTGATGTCTGCATTCAAGTCACAGAGTTGAACATTGCCTTTCATAGAGCAGGTTTGAAATGCTCTTTTTGTAGTATATGGAAGTGGACGTTTCAGACGGTTTGAGGCCCATGGTTTTAAAGGGAATATCTTCCCCTACAAGCTAGAAAGAAGCATTCTGTGAAACTTGTTTGTGATGTGTGTACTCAACTAACAGAGTTCAACCTTTCTTTTTACAGAGCAGTTTTGAAACACTCTTTTTGTAGAATCTGCGAGGGGATATTTGGATACATTTCAGGATTTCGTTGGAAACGGGAATATCTTCATATAAAATCTCGACAGAAGCATTCTCAGAAGCTTCTTTGTGATATGTGCATTCAAGTCACAGAGTTGAATATTCCCTTTCACAGAGTAGGTTTGAGACACTCTTTTTGTAGTATCTGGAAGTGGACATTTGGAGCACCTTGACGCCTACGGTGAAAAGGGAAATATCTTCTCATAAAAAGTAGACAGAAGCAATCTCAGAATCTTCTTTGGGATATATGTACGCAGCTAACAGAGTTGAACCTTTCTATTGAGAGAGCAGTTTTGAAACAGTCTTTCTGTGGAATCTGCAAGTGGATATTTGGATAGCTTGGAGGATTTCGTTGGAAACGGGATTACGTATAAAAAGTAGACAGCAGCATCCTCAGAAACTTCTTTGTGATGTGTGCATTCAAGTCACAGAGTTGAACTTTCCCTTTCGTACAGCAGTTTTGAAACACTCTTTCTGTAGTATCTGGAAGTGAACATTAGGACAGCTTTCAGGTCTATGGTGAGAAAGGAAATATCTTCAAATAAAAACTAGACAGAAGCATTCTCATAAACTGGTTTGTGATGTGTGAACTCAGCTAACAGAGGTGGATCTTTCTTTTGATAGAGCAGTTCTGAAAAACACTTTTTGTTGAATCTACAAGTGGACATTTGGATAGATTTGAAGATTTCGTTGGAAACGGGAATATCTTCATATCAAATCTAGACAGAAGCATTCTCAGAAACGTCTTTGTCATGTTTGCATTCAACTCATAGAGTTGAATATTCCCTTTCAGAGAGCAGCTTTGAAGAACTCTTTTTGTAATATGTGCAAGTGGACATTTGGAGCGCTATGAGGCCTACGGGGAAAAAGCAAATATCTTCCCATAACCACTAGACAGAAATATTCTCAGAAACTCCTTTATGACGTATGCACTCAGCTAACAGAGAAGAACCTTCCTTTTGACAGAGCAGTTTTGATACACTCTTTTTGTAGAATCTGCAAGTGGATATTTGGATAGCTGTGAAGATTTCGTTGGAAACGGGAATATCTTCCTATAAAATCTAGACAGAAGCATTCTCAGAAACTGCTCTGTGATGTCTGCATTCAAGTCACAGAGTTGAACATTGCCTTTCCTAGAGCAGGTTTGAAACGCTCTTTTTGTAGTATATGGAAGTGGACGTTTCCGACGCTTTGAGGCCCATGGTGATAAAGGGAATATCTTCCCCTACAAGCTAGAAAGAAGCATTCTGTGAAACTTGTTTGTGATGTGTGTACTCAATTAACAGAGTTGAACCTTTCTTTTTACAGAGCAGTTTTGAAACACTCTTTTTGTAGAATCTGCGAGGGGATATTTGGATACATTTCAGGATTTCGTTGGAAACGGGAATATCTTCATATAAAATCTCGACAGAAGCATTCTCAGAAGCTTCTTTGTGATATGTGCATTCAAGTCACAGAGTTGAATATTCCCTTTCACAGAGTAGGTTTGAAACACTCTTTTTGTAGTATCTGGAAGTGGACATTTGGAGCACCTTGACGCCTACGGTGAAAAGGGAAATATCTTCTCATAAAAAGTAGACAGAAGCAATCTCAGAATCTTCTTTGGGATATATGTACGCAGCTAACAGAGTTGAACCTTTCTATTGACAGAGTAGTTTTGAAACAGTCTTTCTGTGGAATCTGCAAGTGGATATTTGGATAGCTTGGAGGATTTCGTTGGAAACGGGATTACGTATAAAAAGTAGACAGCAGCATCCTCAGAAACTTCTTTGTGATGTGTGCATTCATGTCACAGTGTTGAACATTCCCTTTCGTACAGCCGTTTTGAAACACTCTTTCTGTAGTATCTCTAAGTGAATATTAGGACATCTTTCAGGTCTATGGTGAGAAAGGAAATATCTTCAAATAAAAACTAGACAGAAGCATTCTCATAAACTTGTTTGTGATGTGTGAACTCAGCTAACAGAGGTCTATCTTTCTTTTGATAGAGCAGTTCTGAAAAACACTTTTTGTTGAATCTGCAAGTGGACATTTGGATAGATTTGAAGATTTCGTTGGAAACGGGAATATCTTTATATCAAATCTAGACAGAAGCATTGTCAGAAACGTCTTTGTGATGTTTGCATTCAACTCATAGAGTTGAACATTCCCTTCCAGAGAGTAGCTTTGAAGCACTCTTTTTGTAGCATGTGCAAGTGGACATTTGGAGCGCCCTGAGGCCTACGGGGAAAAAGCAAATATCTTCCCATAACCACTAGACAGAACATTCTCAGAAACTCCTTTATGACGTATGCACTCACCTAACAGAGAAGAACCTTCCTTTTGACAGAGCAGTTTTGATACACTCTTTTTGTAGAATCTGCAAGTGGATATTTGGATACCTGTGAAGATTTCGTTGGAAACGGGAATATCTTCCTATAAAATCTAGACAGAAGCATTCTCAGAAACTGCTCTGTGATGTCTGCATTCAAGTCACAGAGTTGAACATTGCCTTTCATAGAGCAGGTTTGAAACGCTCTTTTTGTAGTATATGGAAGTGGACTTATCGGACGGTTTAAGGCCCATGGTGATAAAGGGAATATCTTCCCCTACAAGCTAGAAAGAAGCATTCTGTGAAACTTGTTTGTGATGTGTGTACTCAACTAACAGAGTTGAACCTTTCTTTTTACAGAGCAGTTTTGAAACACTCTTTTTGTAGAATCTGCGAGGGGATATTTGGATAGATTTCAGGAATTTCGTTGGAAACGGGAATATCTTCATATATAAATCTCGACAGAAGCATTCTCAGAAACTTCTTTGTGATATGTGCATTCACGTCACAGAGTTGAATATTCCCTTTCACAGAGTAGGTTTGAAACACTCTTTTTGTAGTATCTGGAAGTGGACATTTGGAGCGCCTTGACGCCTACGGTGAAAAGGGAAATATCTTCCCATAAAAACTAGACAGAAGCAATCTCAGAATCTTCTTTGGGATATATGCACGCAGCTAACAGAGTTGAATCTTTCTATTGAGAGAGCAGATTTGAAACAGTCTTTCTGTGGAATCTGCAAGTGGATATTTGGATAGATTGGAGGATTTCTTTGGAAATGGGATTACGTATAAAAAGTAGACAGCAGCATCCTCAGAAACTTCTTTGTGATGTGTGCATTCAAGTCACAGAGTTGAACATTCCCTTTCGTACAGCAGTTTTGAAACACTCTTTCTATAGTATCTGGAAGTGAACATTAGGACAGCTTTCAGGTCTATGGTGAGAAAGGAAATATCTTCAAATAAAAATTAGACAGAAGAATTCTGATAAACTTGTTTGTGAAGTGTGAACTCAGCTAACACAGGTGGATCTTTCTTTTGATACAGCAGTTTTGAAAAACACTTTGGTGAATCTGCAAGTGGACATTTGGATAGATTTGAAGATTTCGTTGGAAACGGGTATATCTTCATAACAAATCTAGACAGAAGCATTCTCAGAAAACGTCTTTGTGATGTTTGCATTCAACTCATAGAGTTGAACATTCCGTTTCAGAGAGCAGCTTTGAGGCACACTTTTTGTAGTATGTGCAAGTGGATATTTGGAGCGCTCTGAGGCCTACGGTGAAAAAGCAAATATCTTCCCATAACCACTAGACAGAAACATTCCCAGAAACTCCTTTATGACGTATGCACTCACCTAACAGAGAAGAACCTTCCTTTTGACAGAGCAGTTTTGATACACTCTTTTTGTAGAATCTGCAAGTGGATATTTGGATAGCTGTGAAGGTTTCGTTGGAAACGGGAATATCTTCCTATAAAATCTAGACAGAAGCATTCTCAGAAACTGCTCTGTGATGTCTGCATTCAAGTCACAGAGTTGAACATTGCCTTTCATAGAGCAGGTTTGAAATGCTCTTTTTGTAGTATATGGAAGTGGACGTTTCGGACGGTTTGAGGCCCATGGTGATAAAGGGAATATCTTCCCCTACAAGCTAGAAAGAAGCATTCTGTGAAACTTGTTTGTGATGTGTGTACTCAACTAACAGAGTTGAACCTTTCTTTTTACAGAGCAGTTTTGAAACACTCTTTTTGTAGAATCTGCGAGGGGATATTTGGATAGATTTGAGGATTTCGTTGGAAACGGGAATATCTTCATAGAAAATCTCGACAGAAACATTCTCAGAAACCTCTTTGTGATATCTGCATTCAAGTCACAGAGTTGAATATTCCCTTTGACAGAGTAGGTTTGAAACACTCCTTTTGTAGTATCTGGAAGTGGACATTTGGAGCACCTTGACGCCTACGGTGAAAAGGGAAATATCTTCCCATAAAAACTAGACAGAAGCAATCTCAGAATCTTCTTTGGGATATATGCACGCAGCTAACAGAGTTGAACCTTTCTATTGACAGAGCAGTTTTGAAACAGTCTTTCTGTGGAATCTGCAAGTGGACATTTGGACAGCTTGGAGGATTTCGTTGGAAACGGGATTACGTATAAAAAGTAGACAGCAGCATCCTCAGAAACTTCTTTGTGATGTGTGCATTCAAGTCACAGAGTTGAACATTCCCTTTCGTACAGCAGTTTTGAAACACTCTTTCTATAGTATCTGGAAGTGAACATTAGGACAGCTTTCAGGTCTATGGTGAGAAAGGAAATATCTTCAAATAAAAACTAGACAGAAGCATTCTCATAAACTTGTTTGTGATGTGTGAACTCAGCTAACAGACGTGGATCTTTCTTTTGATACAGCAGTTTTGAAAAACACTTTTTGTTGAATCTGCAAGTGGACATTTGGATAGATTTGAAGATTTCGTTGGAAACGGGAATATCTTCCTATAAAATCTAGACAGAAGCATTCTCAGAAACGTCTTTGTGATGTTTGCATTCAACTCATGGAGTTGAACATTCCGTTTCAGAGACCAGCTTTGAAGCACTCTTTTTGTAGTATGTGCAAGTGGATATTTGGAGCGCTCTGAGGCCTACGGTGAAAAAGCAAATATCTTCCCATAACCACTAGACAGAAACATTCTCAGAAACTCCTTTATGACGTATGTACTCAACTAACAGAGAAGAACCTTCCTTTTGACAGAGCAGTTTTGATACACTCTTTTTGTAGGATCTGCAAGTGGATATTTGGATAGCTGTGAAGATTTCGTTGGAAACGGGAATATCTTCCTATAAAATCTAGACAGAAGCATTCTCAGAAACCGCTCTGTGATGTCTGCATTCAAGTCACAGAGTTGAACATTGCCTTTCCTAGAGCAGGTTTGAAACGCTCTTTTTGTAGTATATGGAAGTGGACGTTTCGGACGGTTTGAGGCCCATGGTGATAAAGGGAATATCTTCCCCTACAAGCTAGAAAGAAGCATTCTGTGAAACTTGTTTGTGATGTGTGTACTCAACTAACAGCAGTTGAACCTTTCTTTTTACAGAGCAGTTTTGAAACACTCTTTTTGTAGAATCTGCGAGGGGATATTTGGATAGATTTCAGGATTTCGTTGGAAACGGGAATATCTTCATATAAAATCTCGACAGAAGCATTCTCAGAAACTTCTTTGTGATATGTGCATTCAAGTCACAGAGTTGAATATTCCCTTTCACAGAGTAGGTTTGAAACACTCTTTTTGTAGTATCTGGAAGTGGACATTTGGAGCGCCTTGACGCCGACGGTGAAAAGGGAAATATCTTCCCATAAAAACTAGACAGAAGCAATCTCAGAATCTTCTTTGGGATATATGCACGCAGCTAACAGAGTTGAACCTTTCTATTGACAGAGCAGTTTTGAAACAGTCTTTCTGTGGAATCTGCCAGTGGATATTTGGATAGCTTGGAGGATTTCGTTGGAAACGGGATTAAGTATAAAAAGTAGACAGCAGCATCCTCCGAAACTTCTTTGTGATGTGTGCATTCAAGTCACAGAGTTGAACATTCCCTTTCGTACAGCAGTTTTGAAACACTCTTTCTGTAGTATCTGGAAGTGAACATTAGGACAGCTTTCAGGTCTATGGTGAGAAAGGAAATATCTTCAAATAAAAACTAGACAGAAGCATTCTCATAAACTTGTTTGTGATGTGTGAACTCAGCTAACAGAGGTGGATCTTTCTTTTGATAGAGCAGTTCTGAAAAACACTTTTTGTTGAATCTGCAAGTGGACATTTGGATAGATTTGAAGATTTCGTTGGAAACGGGAATATCTTCATACCAAATCTAGACAGAAGCATTCTCAGAAACGTCTTTGTCATGTTTGCATTCAACTCATAGAGTTGAACATTCCCTTTCAGAGAGCAGCTTTGAAACACTCTTTTTGTAGTATGTGCAAGTGGATATTTGGAGCGCTCTGAGGCCTAAGGTGAAAAAGAAAATATCTTCCCATAACCACTAGACAGAAACATTCTCAGAAACTCCTTTATGACGTATGCACTCACCTAACAGAGAAGAACCTTCCTTTTGACAGAGCAGTTTTGATACACTCTTTTTGTAGAATCTGCAAGTGGATATTTGGATACCTGTGAAGATTTCGATGGAAACGGGAATATCTTCCTATAAAATCTAGACAGAAGCATTCTCAGAAACAGCTCTGTGAAGTCTGCATTCAACTCACAGAGTTGAACATTGCGTTTCATAGAGCAGGTTTGAAACGCTCTTTTTGTAGTATATGGAAGTGGACGTTTCGGACGGTTTGAGACCCATGGTGATAAAGGGAATATATTCCCCTACAAGCTAGAAAGAAGCATTCTGTGAAACTTGTTTGTGATGTGTGTACTCAACTAACAGAGTTGTACCTTTCTTTTCACAGAGCAGTTTTGAAACACTCTTTTTGTAGAATCTGCGAGGGGATATTTGGATAGATTTCAGGATTTCCTTGGAAACGGGAATATCTTCATATAAAATCTCGACAGAAGCATTCTCAGAAACTTCTTTGTGATATCTGCATTCAAGTCACAGAGTTGAATATTCCCTTTCACAGAGTAGGTTTGAAACACTCTTTTTGTAGTATCTGGAAGTGGACTTTTGGAGCACCTTGACACCTATGGTGAAAAGGGAAATATCTTCCGATAAAAACTAGACAGAAGCAATCTCAGAATCTTCTTTGGGATATATGCACGCAGCTAACAGAGTTGAACCTTTCTATTGACAGAGCAGTTTTGAAACAGTCTTTCTGTGGAATCTGCAAGTGGATATTTCGATGGCTTGGAGGATTTCGTTGGAAACGGGATTACGTATAAAAAGTAGACAGCAGCATCCTCAGAAACTTCTTTGTGATGTGTGCATTCAAGTCACAGAGTTGAGCATTCCCTTTCATACAGCAGTTTTGAAACACTCTTTCTGTAGTATCTGGAAGTGAACATTAGGACAGCTTTCAGCTCTATGGTGAGAAAGGAAATATCTTCAAATAAAAACTAGAGAGAAGCATTCTCATAAACTTGTTTGTGATGTGTGAACTCAGCTAACAGAGGTGGATCTTTCTTTGGATAGAGCAGTTCTGAAAAACACTTTTTGTTGAATCTGCAAGTGGACATTTGGATAGATTTGAAGATTTCGTTGGAAACGGGAATATCTTCATATCAAATCTAGACAGAAGCATTCTCAGAAACGTCTTTGTGATGTTTGCATTCAACCCATAGAGTTGAACATTCCGTTTCAGAGAGCAGCTTTGAAGCGCTCTTTTTGTAGTATGTGCAAGGGGATATTTTGAGCGCTCTGAGGCCTAAGGTGAAAAAGCAAGTATCTTCCCATAACCACTAGACAGAAACATTCTCAGAAACTCCTTTATGACGTATGCACTCACCTAACAGAGAAGAAACTTCCTTTTGACAGAGCAGTTTTGATACACTCTTTTTGTAGAATCTGCAAGTGGATATTTGGATAGCTGTGAAGATTTCATTGGAAACGGGAATATCTTCCTGTAAAATCTAGACAGAAGCATTCTCAGAAACTGCTCTGTGATGTCTGCATTCAAGTCACAGAGTTGAACATTGCCTTTCATAGAGCAGGTTTGAAACGCTCTTTTTGTAGTATATGGAAGTGGATGTTTCAGACGGTTTGAGGCCCATGGTGATAAAGGGAATATCTTCCCCTACAAGCTAGAAAGAAGCATTGTGTGAAACTTGTTTGTGATGTGTGTACTCAACTAACAGAGTTGAACCTTTCTTTTTACAGAGCAGTTTTGAAACACTCTTTTTGTAGAAACTGCGAGGGGATATTTGGATACATTTCAGGATTTCGTTGGAAACGGGAATATCTTCATATAAAATCTCGACAGAAGCATTCTCAGAAACTTCTTTGTGATATGTGCATTCAAGTCACAGAGTTGAATATTCCCTTTCACAGAGTAGGTTGGAAACACTCTTTTTGTAGTATCTGGAAGTGGACATTTGGAGCGCCTTGACACCTACGGTGAAAAGGGAAATATCTTCCCATAAAAACTAGACAGAAGCAATCTCAGAATCTTCTTTGGGATATATGCACGAAGCTAACAGAGTTGAACCTTTCTATTGACAGAGCAGTTTTGAAACAGTCTTTCTGTGGAATCTGCAAGTGGATATTTGGATAGCTTGGAGGATTTCGTTGGAAACGGGATTATGTATAAAAAGTAGACAGCAGCATCCTCAGAAACTTCTTTGTGATGTGTGCATTCAAGCCACAGATTTGAACATTCCCTTTCGTACAGCAGTTTTGAAACACTCTTTCTGTAGTATCTGGAAGTGAACATTAGGACAGCTTTCAGGTCCATGGTGAGAAAGGAAATATCTTCAAATAAAAACTAGACAGAAGCATTCTCATAAACTTGTTTGTGATGTGTGAACTCAGCTAACAGAGGTGGATCTTTCTTTTGATAGAGCAGCTCTGAAAAACACTTTTTGTTGAATCTGCAAGTGGACATTTGGATAGATTTGAAGATTTCGTTGGAAACGGGAATATCTTCATATCAAATCTAGACAGAAGCATTCTCAGAAACGTCTTTGTGATGTTTGCATTCAACCCATAGAGTTGAACATTCCGTTTCAGAGAGCAGCTTTGAAGCACTCTTTTTGTAGTATGTGCAAGGGGATATATGGAGCGCTCTGAGGCCTAAGGTGAAAAAGCAAATATCTTCCCATAACCACTAGACAGAAACATTCTCAGAAACTCCTTTATGACGTATGCACTCACCTAACAGAAAAGAACCTTCCTTTTGACAGAGCAGTTTTGATACACTCTTTTTCTGGAATCTGCAAGTGGATATTTGGATAGCTGTGAAGATTTCGTTGGAAACGGGAATATCTTCCTATAAAATCTAGACAGAAGCATTCTCAGAAACTGCTCTGTGATGTCTCCATTCAAGTCACAGAGTTGAACATTGCCTTTCATAGAGCAGGTTTGAAACGCTCTTTTTGTAGCATATGGAAGTGGATGTTTCGGACGGTTGGAGGCCCATGGTGATAAAGGGAATATCTTCCCCTACAAGCTAGAAAGAAGCATTCTGTGAAACTAGTTTGTGATGTGTGTACTCAACTAACAGAGTTGAACCTTTCTTTTTACAGAGCAGTTTTGAAACACTCTTTTTGTAGAATCTGCGAGGGGATATTTGGATAGATTTCAGGATTTCGTTGGAAACGGGAATATCTTCATATAAAATCTCGACAGAAGCATTCTCAGAAACTTCTTTGTGATATGTGCATTCAAGTCACAGAGTTGAATATTCCCTTTCACAGAGTAGGTTTGAAACACTCTTTTTGTAGTATCTGGAAGTGGACATTTGGAGCGCCCTGACGCCTACGGTGAAAAGGAAAATATCTTCTCATAAAAAGTAGACAGAAGCAATCTCAGAATCTTCTTTGGGATATATGCACGCAGCTAACAGAGTTGAACCTTTCTATTGACAGAGCAGTTTTGAAACAGTCTTTCTGTGGAATCTGCAAGTGGATATTTGGATAGCTTGGAGGATTTCGTTGGAAACGGGATTACGTATGAAAAGTAGACAGCAGCATCCTCAGAAACTTCTTTGTGAGGTGTGCATTCAAGTCACAGAGTTGAACATTCGCTTTCGTGCAGCAGTTTTGAAACACTCTTTCTGTAGTATCTGGAAGTGAACATTAGGACAGCTTTCAGGTCTATGGTGAGAAAGGAAATATCTTCAAATAAAAACTAGACAGAAGCATTCTCATAAACTTGTTTGTGATGTGTGAACTCAGCTAACAGAGGTGTATCTTTCCTTTGATAGAGCAGTTCTGAAAAACACGTTTTGTTGAATCTGCAAGTGGACATTTTGATAGATTTGAAGATTTCGTTGCAAACGGGAATATCTTCATATCAAATCTAGACAGAAGCATTCTCGGAAACGTCTTTGTGATGTTTGCATTCAACACATAGAGTTGAACATTCCGTTTCAGAGAGCAGCTTTGAAGCACTCTTTTTGTAGTATGTGCAAGTGGATATTTGGAGCACTCTGAGACCTAGGGTGAAAAAGCAAATATCTTCCCATAACCACTAGACAGAAACATTCTCAGAAACTCCTTTATGACGTATGTACTCAACTAAGAGAGAAGAACTTTCCTTTTGACAGAGCATTTTTGATACACTCTTTTTGTACTATCTGCAAGTGGATATTTGGATAGCTGTGAAGATTTCGTTGGAAACGGGAATATCTTCCTATAAAACCTAGACAGAAGCATTCTCAGAAACTGCTCTGTGATGTCTGCATTCAAGTCACAGAGTTGAACATTGCCTTTCCTAGAGCAGGTTTGAAACGCTCTTTTTGTAGTATATGGAAGTGGACGTTTCGGAGGGTTTGAGACCCATGGTGATAAAGGGAATATATTCCCCTACAAGCTAGAAAGAAGCATTCTGTGAAACTTGTTTGTGATGTGTGTACTCAACTAACAGAGTTGAACCTTTCTTTTTACAGAGCAGTTTTGAAACACTCTTTTTGTAGAATCTGCGAGGGGATATTTGGATAGATTTTAGGATTTCGTTGGAAACGGGAATATCTTCATATAAAATCTCGACAGGAAGCATTCTCAGAAACTTCTTTGTGATATGTGCATTCGAGTCACAGAGTTGAATATTCCCTTTCACAGAGTAGGTTTGAAACACTCTTTTTGTAGTATCTGGAAGTGGATATTTGGAGCGCCTTGACACCTACGGTGAAAAGGGAAATATCTTCCCATAAAAACTAGACAGAAGCAATCTCAGAATTTTCTTTGGGATATATGCACACAGCTAACAGAGTTGAACTTTTCTATTGACATACCAGTTTTGAAACAGTCTTTCTGTGGAATCTGCAAGTGGATATTTGGATAGCTTGGAGGATTTCGTTGGAAACGGGATTACGTATAAAAAGTAGACAGCAGCATCCTCAGAAACTTCTTTGTAATGTGTGCATTCAAGTCACAGAGTTGAACATTCCCTTTCGTACAGCAGTTTTGAAACACTCTTTCTGTAGTATCTGGAAGTGAACATTAGGACAGCTTTCAGCTCTATGGTGAGAAAGGAAATATCTTCAAATAAAAACTAGACAGAAGCATTCTCATAAACTTGTTTGTGATGTGTGAACTCAGCTAACAGAGGTGGATCTTTCTCTTGATAGAGGAGTTCTGAAAAACACTTTTTGTTGAATCTGCAAGTGGACATTTGGATAGATTTGAAGATTTCGTTGGAAACGGGAATATCTTCATAT